>NC_000014.9:65066258-65369288 GCF_000001405.40 Homo sapiens
GTCCGTCTTCCCAGGAGCTGACCTGACAGCAGCCAGCTTTCTCCAACCTGGCCCAGGCACATCTAACAGGTTCCTGCACATCCTCACACTTTCCTGCAGTAACCCTCCTTGCCTCTGTTTTCCACCAGCTGGGGAACTGGGGCCAGGTGGCCTCACGTTCCTCCCTCCCGCTTCTCTGGCACATCCAAGAACAAAACCAGGCAGGGCAGGGACAGGGCGCTCATCATTAGCCCAGCTTAATGGAAACTTTCCCTTGCCCTCTGCTCCCCCTGAGGAAATACAGCGCTTACAAAATAACAATAAGAAAAATGCATGGCCGGGTGTGGTGGCTCACGCCTGTAATCCCAACACTTTGGGAGGCCAAGACAGGCAGATCACCTAAGGTTGGGAGTTCATGACCAGCCTGACCAACATGGAGAAACCCCGTCTCTACTAAAAATACAAAATTAGCCGCGCATGGTGGTGCATACCTGTAATCCTAGCTACTCGGGAGGCTTAGAGGCTTAGGTAGGAGAATCGCTTGAACCCAGGAGGCAGAGGTTGTGGTGAGCTGAGATTGCACCCTTGCACTCCAGCCTTGGCAACAAGAGTGAAATTCCATCTCAAAAAAAAAAAAAAAAACAATGTATTTTTTAGTTCGGGTGTGATGGCTCATGACTGTAATCCCAACACTTTGGGAGGCCAAGGCTGGAAGATCACTTGAACTCAGGAGTTTGAGACCAGCCTGAGCGACATAGCCACACTCTGTCTCTACAAAAATTAAAAAAAAAAAAAAAAATTAGTCGGATGCGGTGGCACACACCTGTGCTCACAGCTACTTGGGAGGCTAAGATGGGGGGTCACTTGAGCCTGAGAAGTAAAGGCTGCAGTAAGCCATGATTATGCCACTGTACTCCAGCCTGGATGACACAGCAAGACCCTGTCTTAAAAAAAAAAAAAAAGCATTTTAAAAAATAAACATTTTGGAATAGTTTGAGATTGACAGAAAAATTGCAAAGATAGTACACAGAGTTCCCACAGACCCATTAGTCAGTTTTCCCTATTAACATCTTCCACTAATAGGTGGCATTTGCCATAATGAATGAACCAATTTTGATACATTACTAAAGAAAGTCCATACCTTATTTGAATTCCCCTAGTTTTTACCTAATGGCCTTTTTCTGTCCCAAGATCCCACCCAGGACACTACATTACACTGAGCTGTCATGTCTCATGTCTCCTTAGACTCCTCTTGGTTTTGACGGTTTCTCATTCTTTCCTTGTTTTTGATGACTTTGACAGTTTTGAAAAGTATGGCCAGGTATTTTGTAGAACATCCCTCAGGTGGGATTTGTTTGATGTTATCCTTATGACTAGATGGGTTTATGTTTTTTTTTTTTTTTCCAAGAGACAGTGTCTTGCTCTGTCGCCCAGGCTAGAGTACAGTGGATCATGGCTCACTGCAGCCTCAACCTCCTGGGCTCAAGCAATCCTCCTGGTCAGCTTCCTGAGTAGGTGGGACCACAGGCACACACCACCATGTGCAGCTAATTACATTTTTTTTTTTTTTTTTTTGGTAGAGGCAGGCTCTTGCTATGTTGCCCAGGCTGGTCTTGAACTGCTAGACTTAAGCAATCATCCTCCCTTGGCCTCCCAAAGTGCTATGATTACAGGCATGAGCCACCGTGCCCAGACCATGCGTAACAGTTTTTTGGAGGAAGGCCACAGAGGTAAAGTACCATTCTCATCACACATCAAGGATACATACTATCAACCTGCTTCATCATGTTTATGCTGATGTTACCCTTCATCGCCTGGCTGAGGTAGTTTGTCAGGTTCCTCCATAAGGTTACTTTTTGTCCCTTTCTTGAATGTGTCCTTTAGAAGGTAGCTACTATATGCAGTCCACGCTTAAGAAGTGGGGAGGTGGCTCACGCCTGTAATCCCAGCACTTTGGCAGGCTGAGGCAGGTGGATCACTTGAGGTCAGGAGTTCGAGACCAGCCTGGCCAACATGATGAAACCCCATAGCAACTAAAAACACAAAAATTAGCCTGGTGTGGTGGCATACACCTGTAATCTCAGCTACTCGAGAAGCTGAGGCAGGAGAATCGCTTGAACCTGGGAGGCAGAGGTTGCAGTGAGCTGAGATTGTGCCACTGCACTCCAACCTGGGCGACAGCGTGAGACTCTGTCTCAAAACAACAAACAGAAGTGGGGAGTTATGCTCCATATGTTTGAAGGCAGAGCACCTGCATAAACTACCCGGAATTCTACATGGGAGATGTTTATTCTCAATTTATTCAACCATTTCTTTCACTATGGACTCGTTTATTTTATACTTCATATTATGTTCCAATGCTACATTATTTATTTTGTTGCTCAAATTGTTGCAGTTTTGGCCTTTGGGAGCTTTCTCAGTGGGCTCCTTTGTCTGTTTAACAGACCCCACACTTTCTTACTTTCAATAATAGTGCATTTTTATCATCCCTTTTCTTTCAACGAGTACTGCATGTTGATAATTGTTCACACTATGTAATGGGTACATTTGGGTTCAGTATACTATTCTCTCAACCCTTGATCACACAGTCTTTCCATAAGTATTGCATGTTGGTTACCCCGAGTGTGAGACTTCATTGCTACCTTCTGTACCCATGATGGCCTGGGCTGATGGGACAAAGGAGGCAAGGGGAGGCTGGGCCCTCAGCTACCAGACCAGGGCAGGGTTCAATGTCACAGCTCTGTCAAGGGAGAAGGGCTGCAAGGGTGCTGCTCCCAGGTGTGCTGAACAGAGAGGTAGCCAGGTAAGGCAGATGCCGATGGTGATGACGTAAGTGCTAGGTGTCCATGCTCCTTGCGAGGCTCCATCCCCCCAGCCCCTCTCCTCACTCTCTGGAGCAGTGGCTGCCATGTGCCTGGATACCAAGGGACCAGTGAAAGTGGTGGAATAGAATCGTGACCCAACCTGTGCAGAGCAGATGGCTCTGGCCCACCCTCCCTTCACCAACAGCCCCCCACCCCCAGCCTGTCTGGACAGCTAGATGGGGAGCCCAAGGCTGGGCTCTTGTGGGCAGGACAGAAGGAGAGCCCATCAAGAGCTTGAGAAGCGATGACCTGGTGGCCCTGCCCCTCCCATAGTGCCAAACCGCTCTCACTGAGGGCCCATCTCCTGAACTCCTCTGGCATTCAGAGCCCAGACGTGCATTTGTGCTAAATGCCTAACCTCATCTCTAAGCTTCTTCAAGGCAAGGCCCAGCCTTTATAAGCTGCCTAGATTGCCCCAGTAGCCAGCACAATGCTGGGCTGAGGCTACGTGCTGCTCAAATACCCGAGGGTTGAACTCACGCAGAGGCAACCCTGGAACCGCCCTATCAAGGGCACAGAGATGAAGGTACATCACAAGGCTGGAGTCCACTGGCACACGCACATATGCATGCAGCATTTGTAGAGTACCCACCACAAGCCAAGCACAGTGCTAGGAGTCCAGTAACAAGTGCACAGACCAGCCACTGACTCTGTGGGGGCTCCCAGTTGGAAATACTTGCTCACCACCACTCTCTGCACAGAGGTCCCTGGATGGGAAACATGGTCAAGTTGTTGGAAACAGGGTCCTTCCTCTCCAAAGTCTCCTACAGCCTTGCTGCAGTAGGTATTCGCTGTGGACATGACATTCCTCCTCTTAGCTGGCTGGTCTTGTTGTGGCCTTTTGGCCCAAAGCTGTTGGCCACTGTCCTTTAGCCCAAGATCTGCCCCTGCCACCCCAGAGCTGTTGATGGCACCAGCAGACAGGAAACAATGAAGCTCTCAAGCACTGTGCATGGGAGCCATGGGCTGCCGGGCTGCCAGGCTGCCAGCCGGATTCCGGATGAGTGACTGGGGGTGCATGCCCATTGGGTTATTTTTTGAATCAGACTTTGCATGGCTCATTCCATACTCCTGGGTTCCTGCAGAAGTAGGCTTTCTGGAGAGAAGGCACACCTCCCTCTATCAGTCTACAGGCTGTCAGGCTTGTTTTTCTTGATAGGAGGCTTAATCCTTCACCATGTTCAGCACTGGAGTAGAAGGTTTGGGCTCAGATTTCTTAATATTGGATCCTTGATTTTTCTTCTTCTTCTTCTCTAGCCTTTAATTTACTGGAAAAAATTAATAGCAGAGACCGTGCTACATAATTTTGCCCAGAGCAGGCTGTGGGTATACAAGAGCCCCACCCTGCAAAGGACAGCAAAGGAAAACAATCCTAAATGGGGCCTGGCAGTCACAACAGGCCTGCTGGGGCAGCTGGCATCTAGCACAGGGCGCAGGAGGGGACCTGCTCGGCTGGTTGTGAATTGTCCAAGGCCACCTGCTCGGCATTCTTCTAGACACGCCCATCCTGCTGGGTGTGTTGTGTGTGCGAGCGTGCACATGGGATCCAGAGTGAGCTAGAGCATGCGGGCCCCTCGGCCCAGTCATGAGGCTCATCTGCTCCACCTCACCCACCAGGCAGATTCTGCTCAAGGGGTCCCTGAAGGGGAAGGCTGAAAAACGATGGCTGACCACTGTCATAACCAGCCCTGGGCAAGAAACACGGGGCAGACACCAGATGCACTTGCAGTATCTGCACCTGGCACAGTGCCTGCCACCCGGCACTGCAGAAATGCAAACTGAAACTGGAATGAAGAACAGGGCAAAGTCGCCAGTATGTTAATGGTTAATGGCTCTGAGCCAGCCTGCAAGGGTATATTTCATTCCTCAACTCCTTTTTTTTCTCCAAAAGGTAACAGATTTGTGGTCTTGCTCAAGTTCTTTCAGAAAACATGCAAATTTTTACTGCCTTTTAGCATTCAACATACATTTACCTCCCCTTTCAAGGATTTTAATATACTAAACTCTTATTACATCAGCGAAAAGGAGAGTTTATTCACTCCACATTTTTTTTTTTCTGAGAAGGAGTCTTGCTGTGTCACCCAGGCTGGAGTGCAGTGGCGTGATCTTGGCTCACTGCAACCTCTGCCTCCTGGGTTCAAGCGATTCTCCTGCCTCAGTCTCCCGAGTAGCTGGGACCACAGGCATGCAACACTATGCTCGGCTAATTTTTTTGTATTTTTAGTAGAGACGGGGTTTCACCACATTGACCAGGCTGGTCTCAAACTCCTGACCTCAAGTGATCCGCCCACCTTGGCTTCCCAAAGTGCTGATATTACAGGTGTGAGCCTCTGCGCCCAGCTTCATTCCACATTTTAACAAAACTAAAAAATGGCTGCACTACCCAGGACATCTGATGGCAGACACATCTAAGATTTGACAGTATTTATTGAGTATTAAATGCCAGGAACAATTCATGGGCTTCTCACACTCCTTTAAGCCTCACAATGGCACTTGGTGCTATTATTGTCCTCACATAATGGCACAGGAAGCCAGAGCAATGTCACCCCAAAGGTAAGGGTTGTAGCTGGCATGGCAGTCCAGACAGGCGGGCTCAGAGCCCCTAGCCCTACCCGCTCTGGCAGTCATTCTGAAGCTCCCTGGGCTCCTTCCCAACACCGACCCCAATGAAACACCAAGCAAGGACAACACTTACCAGCAGGGTGATAAGGGTTTGCCAGGAGAGCCTCCAAAACCCATGCACAGGCCTGCCTGGTGCAGTCACCCAGTCCTACCTATAGTTAAGCCTGGCTTAGCCAAATTGGTTTTCTCCCTGAGGAAGTTAACTAGAAACTATTTTTTATTCCCTTCCCAAGGGAACTTTGGGGATGTATGAGTTAGCCGCTGCCCTAGTAAACCCTAGACACTGAAGGAAATTCTCTATTCGCTATCTAGCAGTGTAGACATTGACAAACTCTTTTTTCCTACCTGGGTTTCCTCTTCAGGCTAGAGAAACAGTTTTGAAGAAAGGAATGCTCTAGTTTCATGTTCCCAGAGGCTTTTGAGAATGCATCCTGGTGACCAGGCCTGAGAGAGACCCTTGCTCTGGCTGGATTATAAAACCTGCCTGGGGACCAGAGGCCAGCCTAGGCATGCTACAGAAATGAGTGCTGCCCCATGTCATTACCCCTGCTTGGGGCTTCTAAAGGGGCTAGTGTAGGCAGCCCTCAGCTTTCTTCCTTCTCAAGTTTAAAAACTGGGTAGCTCAGCCAGCCCCCTAGAGCATTGGAGGCATGCTGGGAGCACGTAGACTCATCAAGGCAGCTCTAAGGGTTGAACTATTTAACAAGCCCGCCTCCCCCACCTTCATCCTGACCTCAGAACCACTTCGCTAATTCAGCTCAGCTGTGCCTAACTTCCCCAACAGCGTCCTTTTGGTTCCCCGGGTTATATTACTGTTGGGAGTCAAACCTGAGTGACTTGAGGACCACCTGAAAGAGCTTGTTAAACTGACTGGTGAGCCACGGCACACTTTAGATTAGAGGGGTTAGAGCCCAGGAATCCTTTTAACAAGCAGCCCTGGGCATGATCCAAGGATCCCACTTTGAGTAACACCACATGGGGCTTCTGAGCAGTTCTGCCTGGGCCTCCAAAAGTGTCCAAACCTGAGAGATGCCACTGAATCGTGGTGGGAGGGAATGGGCAGAGCCTCACTCGAGTTGACACCAGATCTAATTAATGTACCCACAGGGGCTGCTTTAGTCTCGAAGAGTTTGTCAGTCCAGTCCTGGTGTCACCTTGCTCTCTTTAGTCACTGTGCCTGGTAAGGATGGGGCACATCTCTGAGGAGTGGGAAGCATTTGTGATATACCAAGAAGTCAACCCTTACTCACTTTAGGAAAGGTGTCTGGGAGCTGGCTTTTTCCACCTTGCTGAGTCAGCCCTGGTTACATGCTTTGTGTAGATAATGACAGCAGAGGCACCTCAGTGCTTGCTTGGTCCTGAGGTCAAGCACATTATAAGCATTATCTCATTTAAGCCTCATAACCATCTCATGAGGCTAGTGCTATTATTATCCTCATTTTATAGATAAAGATGCTGAGGCTGGGAGAAGTAACACAGCCACCGAGTGGCAGAGACAGGACTGTGAACCCAGCCAGTCTGCTTTCAGAGGCCAAGCATAAAACACACATGATACTATCAGAAACAGAATTCTGCTTACTTCAGTCCCAGTTCAGGGCTCTGGCTCCTATTGTCTACTCAGTCTTGTTTTTTAAACCTGTCTCAGCTAAGATGACAGCTCTGTGAGCTTAGATTCTTTACCTAAGAAGTTGTTGATGTTTTACAATGGGGTTAGCGTATCAAGAACTTTAAAAACTGGGCCATTTTAAATACCCTTGCACTTGGGGCAACTGTAAAGGTAGGGAAATAGCACGCTTAACAGACTCCTCAGTGAAGCCACCTGCCACAGTGACCAAGCAAATCTACAGCTTATCTGGTTTTGTGTAAGTGAGTGTCCAGAGTAATATAAAAAATAAACCAGAGATTACCATTACTGTGAGAGAGTAAGCTATGGTCCGACTTTGGTATCCTGAGGGAATACTCACACTCGCTTCCTAGACACACATACCAGAAGGGGCTTGCTTGGCTGTGACTTTGACTTGGCCTTTTCAGCTGAGCAGTTTCCAGGCGGAGCTCCCCTGCCCTGTGTTCCTGCCCAGGAAGCTGCTTCCAGTGGTACCTCCACCCTGTGCCAAAGTCCGCTCACCATGTCAATCAGGTGGTTTGGATTTTCCTAGGTGAACCAGCCACCTAGCCACTGTGCCCCTTGTCTGAACTGGTTTACTGAAATCTAGAGAAGCCTAAACTCAATCCTTTGTCCAGCCAATACACTGGAGCCAGGGACTGGCTCTCAGGGACACCACCTGTCCTCATGCTGGCTTGACTGCCCCTTCCTGTTTGCTATCTCCCTACTGGGTGCCAGCTTCACATGCCTTCCATCTCTGCATCAACATGGCTTCACCCACAGCTCACTTCTAACACCAATACTAAGCAAACCAACTGTATACTTAAGCCCAGATATACAAAGAGATATAGTTAAGGGCAATGAAAAAGAGGAAAGCATGTTAACCTTGAGGGCTTTAGGCAATAAGCTGATTCTCATTTCCATTTCTTCCTTACTGCAGTTTCTTTCCTCTATCTTGAAAAGAAGTGCCTTTATAAATGGGATCTTGCTTTCCCAGCATTTTTCTTTTCCTTAATGTAATCATGGCCTTTGGAGGCTTGATCATGTTTCAAATTGACAAGACCCATCTGCCCCAGCTCCCATTAAACAAAAAAAGATATTACGGATTTGACATACAATTGATAGGAGCCACAGTGCTCTCCACCACTCTAAAGATGGTGACAAATCCAAGAACTGATTTGACTTGACTTCCTCTCTGGGTCTAGGAACAGCAGTATTTCCTGTCAGCCAGACAGGAAAACCAACACTGAGCTGCGTTCTGGCCATAATTCCTTTTTCTTCCAAGGTCAAACAAGTTCAGGCTGGTGTTGGGTCCCAGTCTGAGTAGAGCTAACTCGGTGCAGTTGGAGCCTTCTTGACTTCCAGTCCTTGGCAGCTCTGCTGCCTCCTCTTAATAAACTGGAACTATCTAGAAACTGAAAGGTCCTGGAGAACAGCCACCTCTGAACTGGGCACTCATTACCAGGAGAACCTGAACCACAGCTCTGGGCTACCAATTCCCCCAAAGGTCACTTGCTTAGCAGAAACTAGATCTAGAAATGTTGCCACAGCTAAGGCTACATCCCTGTTGAACCTCAAAAGCCTCATCCAATGAACAAAGCCATCACCACCCATTTACTCTCTCAGGCTGAGCTGAGAAAGGGGAAGCAACTCTGGCTTATGGCTGCTCCTGGTTCTGCAAGACCGGGTAAGCCACCTCCACTTCTCACTCAGACTTACATTGAGGCCCTAACAGCTTCCAGAGGGGTCTCTCATCAACCACCTTGGCCTTAACAAGGGTAAGAAGACACCACCACCAAGAAGGATAAAATAAGTTTTTATTTATAGTCTTATAGTAAAGGGGGAAGCCTTAACTTGCAAGACAATTCTTCGGCAGTATGTACAACATACTTTTTATTTCCATGGAATGGAATCAAACACGAACTGAGACTACAGAGTATACACTAGAAATCAGCAAATGCCAGGAACGGAGTAGGAAAAAGACAAAGAAATGAGGCCTAAACACACAAAACCCTTCACTGGCATCTGCTGACCACAGCCAGAACCAGGGCTGGATCACACAATGGAGACAGGTTCCAGGACAGTAGGAAAGGAAGTGGGATGAGGGCTGGGAAGGGTCCGCACTGGGGTGCGGGTTTAGTACCAGGTAAATTGCTCTTGGTATTTACATACAAAATCAGTTGGCTCTATTTCTTAGAAATACACACGGGAAGAAAGAAAGATTTCATCATTACTTTATGAATCTGTCGCTTTGCAAGACCGACATCATCAGAAATAGGTACAATTCACTCAGATTCAAATTTAAGTAGCAGGAAATAAATATCAAAACATCATCACTGGCCCTCAATACAAAACCTCTATGCCACCCAAAACACCCTCCCTGTCCCAACCCCAAATGGCCACTCCCTGGTGGCTGCTGCTTCACTGCTGCCATCTCCCATACATACCACGAGAGTGTCACACGGCCCTCCGTGAGGCTGGCGCCGCAGGCTTAAACAGCTGGCTGAGAGAAGCAGGAGTGAAACATGCCAGCGACTCTGTGCTGCGAATCTGTCCCCACTTCCTTTTTATACCACAAACTTCTCTAAGGATCTGGTCTTTCAATAGGAGCGATACATAGCTTTTTAGAAAAAGGAAAAAAAAAAAACCCTTAAAAAGGAGGAGGGTTCATTCTGATTACTCCAAACCGGTCATCTTCTCAAAGTAGAGCAGTTCAGATTCACAAAGTCTATCAGAGGTGAGGGCGGGCCAGGAGGCCACCTGGGCAGGGCAGGCGTCCCCCGGGCATGTGCCCGGCAGGGCTGGAGGAGCTGGTAGGGTGGGCAGGACACTATGTGCTCAGAGGTCCGGCCGGCCGTCTGTCCTCCACAGAAAAAGCTGCCAAGTTGGGGTGTTTTGGTTTAAAAATTCCTGTTGGGGACAGGGAATCCCTGAAGGGAATACATTAAAAAATATACAGTGGAAATGGGGAAGGAGAACGAGAGCTGTTGTCCAAGAGCTTCTACGTAAAAATAAAAATTTAAAAAAAAAAGGGAGAAAGAGAAAAATAAAGAGTCTCTTAAATGGTTCTGAGGGCTCTACCAACGAACTGAAAGGAGGATGAGACGATGGAGACAGACAGTTTTTATTGCTGGCCTGCCCCGAGTGGCTTAGCTGGCCTCCATCCGGAGCTTCTTCCTGCTTTGGGGCTCTTCAGGCTCAGACTCCGAGCTGGAGTCCGAGCCCCCATCGAAGGCAGAGATGGTGCTGCCCTTGGCGTTGGTGTAGAGGCTGTTGTCTGAGGAGGGGTAGTTGGTCTGCAGTTGGGCACTTGACCTCGCCTTCTCCAGTGCACGGACTAAAAGGCAACCAAGGGAGTGTGTTACTGCCTTCTGGAGACTTGGGGAGTAACCGAGTCTCAGACTCAGGGTCCAGCCTGTTCTTCCTAAGGGCTTGCTTGTTGGCCCCCGAGGCTCAAGATGCTCAGAAGTAGCTCCCTTCGGGTGGCTGTTCACTCACACACTTCATTTCCCTCCCGCCTTTCCCAGCTGGACCTGGGAGCCAGCAGACACTCTGCAATCCCACCCAACTCTGAAGAGAAGGCTTGTGATGTCACCGTCCTGCCGTGGAAGCCCCGTGGAGAGACTGGAGCGTGAGCTCCCTGTGGGATTCAGCAGTGCAATAACAGAGGAGAAGCTGGCCCAGGAGCATGAGGCTCCACAAGGTGTGAGGCCACACAACAGCAGGAAAGGATGACATAAGACGTATCAGCCAAAGAACAGTTTTGGCTTAGCTCTCGTGTACAAGATCCACTTGGAATGACAAGCTGGACACTTGGAAGCAAGTCACCAATACACATAAAATACCTGGGCTTTTCAAATAGCCCCTACATGCAGGCTGCCTGGCCCAGTAACCAACCCACTGACACCACCCACTGCCCATCCCTTGGTTCAGCTCAGCTTGAGCCTGGAAGGTCAACCCATTTAATTTATTTTATTTTATTTTATTTGAGGTTTTCTAACCCAGGTGGTTACTTGCATTTCCTTTTACTTGCATCTTCCATGAGGGAGGAAGAGAAGTGAATTCCCCAGGAACAAAGAACTTGATCAGCTCTCGCTTTCCCCTGTGGTTGTAGGAAAAGGCGGGTGTGAGCATTGAGAACAGCATGGGCCTAGCCCATAGGCTGCCCTGATTGGACTACCATTGACAATGGGGAGGGCTCACTGTCCCTGAACACCTGGAGTCTCTGGTACTTACACAGCACATTCCACTCCAAGGACCTCAAAGCTCTTTTCAGACACCTGATGCCAGGTGTGATCCCTACTGCAGGCAGAGCACCTGAGCCCCAAGAAGGGGAGAGGTCAGGCCAGAAAAGATACAAGTCTCCAGATGTCCAACTTCCTAGCTTCCACTGTCTCCTCACTGGCGCCTCAGGTCCTTCCTCAGGACGGCTCTAACACTCAGTTACTCAGGCCCCAAGAAGCAGGACCAAGCCTGCTACTGAGCACATACTCCATGACTGGCTCTGACTCTGCAGGCCCAGGTGCCAAAGCCTGACCTGGCTGGAGCACAGCAGGGCCAGCTGCCCCACGAGCTCGGGTGCTCACCTTGCTGCTCCAGAAGAGCATTCTGCCGCTTGAGGTCGTCAATATCTTGCTGGTGTGTGTGGTTTTTCCTTCGCATATACTGGATATATTCTGTGGCTTTGTCTAGGATTTGGGCCCGGGATGCCTGTGGCAATATGAGAAAAAGCACAGGGGACAAAATAAAAACCCAATCCAGGCAGTGAGGGAACCTGGCCTGCAGCAACTGCTTGGGTGGCTGGAAACGAGAGGGTAAGGTGGGAAAAGGCTGAAGAAATACAATAATGGCTACTGTAGGCTTTATTTATTTATTTATTTTTTTATTTTTTTGAGACAGAGTTTCGCTCTTGTTGCCCAAGCTGGAGTGCAACAGCGTGATCTTGGCTGACAGCAACCTCCGCCTCCTGGGTTCAAGTGATTCTCCTGCCTCAGCCTCCTGAGTAGCTAGGATTATAGGTGTGCGCCACCACGCCCATCTAATTTTTTTGTATTTTTAGTAGAAATGCGGTTTCACCATGTTAGCCAGGCTGGTCTCAAACTCCTGGCCTCAGGTGATCTGCCCACCTTGGCCTCCCAAAATGCTGGGATTATAGGTCACAGGTGTGAGCCACTGCGCCCAGCCTGTTGTTGTTGTTGTTGTTGTTGTTTTTTTTTTTTTGGAGACGTAGTCTCGCTCTGTTGCCCAGGCTGGAGTAGAGTGGTGTGATCTCAGCTCACTGCAACCTCCACCTCCCAGGTTCAAGTGATTCTTCTGCCTCAGCCTCCAGAGTAGCTGGGATTACAAGTACATGCCACGTTGCCTGGCTAATTTTTACATTTTTAATAAAGATGGGGTTTCACCATGTTGGCCAGACTGGTCTCAAACTCCTCACCTCAGGTGATCCACCTACCTCGGCCTCCCAAACTGCTGGGATTACAGGCGTGAGCCACTGCATCCGTGAAGGCCTTCTTTGTGACATACAAGGTGCCAAGTGCTTTACAGAGCTTAACTCACAAGATTAGTCTCAGAGGTAGCTCTACTAAGAACCCAAGGATCAGAGAAGTACACCGCTTTATTCAAAATCACCAGCTGCACAGTAGCATGGCCTGGCTTTAAACTCAGAGCCATCCGACTCCTGAACTGTACTCCTCCCATCTCCTCTGGTTCTTTAGGTTGCTTTAAAGTCTTTAGCTTGGCTATGTCTGGAAACATTAAAATACTACTTAAATGAAAGCTTTAGGTCACTAATTCTGCTAGGGCCTGGCTTGAGACAGGAATGGGTACAATGTGTTTCATCAAGACCCAAGATTCCAGCCAAACTCTGAAACCACTGTTAACTATTCCGAACTGAACAATGCTGCTGTGTCACTACTTCAGCCTTCCTGGCTAAAGAGACTTTCATAAAAAGCTGTCGGTGCTTGATGTCAACACAGGAAGAGCATGAGATTGGGCCATTTCAGGAAACAACCACACCTCTACAATGGCTGTGGGTTGCCTGGGTACTGCCTTGCTAGAGTAAGTTCGTAAGTCAATAACATGGATGTCATGTTACTGTGCCCCTAGACATCAAACTTGTCTGGGAGATTCTCTCCAGGCTACAAACATAGTCAGAGTTACTTATGGCCAGGCAGCCAGCCAAACTGGTAGAATAGTACAAAGCCAAGCGAAGCTCAAGGCGGGGTAGCCTAGTAGCTTAAGTATGGCCTTCCAGCCAGAGACTCCTGAGCAGCCGGAAAGCTTCTTACTCAGGGTAGGGAGTGCTTGACAATTCTGTATTACAAGCCCAATGGGTCCTAAACAACCAGAACACAACAGCGGGAGAAAGACAAAGAAAACATGTACACCGTGGCTAGCAAAACCAGATCTACTCATATTAAATCCTAACAATCTCAATTTATAGGCCTCAGTTTGGGCTGAGTTTCAGAAAGGTTTGTAAGGCCCGTGCTTATTCATAAGTCCTCACAAGTACTAGAATTTCCAGGCTTTCCTCTTTAGCACCCTTAAGGTAATTTCCTCAAGGAAATTGTTCATAATCAACCATTTTTATCAGGTGCAAATTACGTACAAGATACTAGGCAGATACTGTGGGGAAACAAAATGTATTAGTCATGGCTTCTTTGCCCCAAAGCTTACTTACTATCTAGTTGAGGAGATAAATATGTCTATACATGGAAATATCACAGGGCAGTGCTGACAAGCGTAACCTGACTAGCAGAGACTAGAGACACCACGGGAAAGATGGCTTCTGGCTGGGGTGATTACCTACTGTGTGCTACGCATTGGCCTTGGTGCTGCATGTGTGCATGCAACACGCTCCTATCTGAAATGGTGAGCCCTGTGTTAGACCAAGGTGGCGTTTGGAATAGCACAGTCAAGATGGGATGGGGAAAAAGTGAGATGCGTTTCTTTAGTTGAGTCAGTCAGCTTATGCAGAAGGAATGAGAGTTCCTAGCCTAGCAATGGATACTTCAGACACTGTTTCCCATTTCTACAAAGGGACCTTATTAGGGTTTATTAGGTGACAAAATGGGGTGGAAAAAAGGAGCACATAATTAGAAGGGACTAATTAAAATACCTTCCTCTCTGGATACTGGAGATGGAATGAAAAATGATTAGTATTGATAAGAGGTGGTAGAGTGGCAAGGAAGAATTTGGGAATTAGAGGACAGAGGAGTGCTCTGCATGCTTGTCATTAATGGGTTCTGTAGCTGCAGACACATTTCTCACCTTGCCTATTCCTCATCTGACTAGAAATTCTCTAAGACCCCATCTAGCCCTCCAAAGTCTACCCTTTCCATCACTGATGTAATTTACATCCCTCTATTTAAATTTGCCTATGTAAAAGCTATTTTTTCAACTAATAGTTCCCAGAAGGCAACATTAGCTCTTAACTACCCATGTGCATCCGGGACAAGGGAAAAAATGCACAATCTCTGAAACCAGAGAGCACTTGCAAATGTTCAGTGATAACTTTTAATGAATGACCAGACTGAGTAACAGCCTTTTTGCTACCAGTTTCTCCTTCAAATATTTATACATGAAACCAGGGAATTAGGATCAAGAAGTGAAAAGTGAGCAGTAAGCACAGCAAAACAAGCCAGAAGAGAGAAAAAGATCTGTGAGGGATGGCAGTTTCCATTTCAGGGTAATTTTTGGATGAAGATAAAATTCATAGATGTTCAGAACATAGTGTCTTGGGAACAACAGGAGTCCAAAGAAGGCTGGATTGGTTTAAACTCAGAACGAGGCCTTCAGAATGCTAAGCACAGCCCTTCCTCCATCCTCTGCTGAAAGCAGAAGTGCCCCTGGTCACTTAGGGTGCCCTGATCCCTCAGCAAGTCCAAAAGAATGGTTCAGAGTTAACTTTATTTTACTCTTCCCAGGGTACCCAACAAGAATTAAGGCCCAACAAGAAAAAAATTTAAAGCACAAAATACAGAAATACCCCAAATTTGCATGTGCATGTAGTCCAGGAAAGAAAAAGCAAAAGGCTGAAGCTAAAAATGCTAGACTCACCTGCAATCCTCCCCTCCCATCTTTCCACTCCATACAAGATCATGTGGCCAAACACAGGATGAAGGTGGGGGCAGGGCCTTCCTTGTCTTTATGAGTTTATAATATGTGACCAGCAAACACGAAACCAGCAAGAAACCCTGGGATTTATGGCATGGACTATGGAATAACCCTGGACTTTCAGTTTCTGTTTTCTGAAAATTGCTCTAAGTCAGCTGAGTCAACTGCCTATCTTCATGTGAGTGTGACTGATCAGATAGAACTTGGTAAGTCAACATGTCCACAGAGCAAGTGCTGCCTTGGGTACTCAGTAAAAGCCTGAAAATTTTTTTCCTGATAGTTTTTATAATTAGCAGAATCATAATTTTGAGTCTGTCTTTGTGAACAGAAATGGCTCTTTAAATGGCTTGGATGGAGCCCTGAGACAGGGTGGATGGTGGCTGAAGGGACTGAAGAGGTAGCCAGGCCTCCCATGTAGCCATGTAAGCAAACGCAAAGGGCTCAGCAGGCCTCTCTCTCACCTCTGGGAGCCACACAAAGGGATACTGGGCAGCCTTGCGAGATCTTGCTCCAAAGCCATGGCTGCACATAGCAACACAAGTGACAATGATGATGGGGGTGGTAACAATGGCAGCACTAACACTTACTGAGTACTTACTAAGTGTCAGGCATCCTCACACAACCTTCTGATGTTTTCCCTATTTTATAAATGAGGAAACCGAGACACAGAGCTGTAATTTACCCAATGTTATGTAAACTAATAGGAAGTTGAGTCAGGATTTGAATCCAAGCCTCCAGGACACTCATACTTTGGGAACACAGGGGAAGCTATGGAACTAATTTAAAAAGATCAATAGAATTGCAGGGACACTGTTGTCATGGAGGGGAAAGTTGGAGGAGGAAAAGGACTACGAAAGTCACCTGATTTGCCTACAAGGACGTCAAATGGAAGACCCTAGTGAAGGTGGTTTTCTTGGAGGAGTGACAGCCGAAGCCCAATGGTAAATTGTCTCTGCACCGGTAACAGGCATAAGAATTGAGTTGCAAGTGAGGCAATGATGAAGACTAGTCTTCAGAATTTGGTTGAAAAGTAAGAAGTAGGCCAGGTGCAGTGGCTCATGCCTGTAATCCCAGCACCCTGGGAGGCTGAGGTGGGAGGATCACTAGGGCTCAGGTGTTGGGGACCAGCCTAGAAAACACAGCAAGACACTTGGGCTCTATAAAAAAATCAAAAGATTAGCTGGGCATGGTGGTACACGAATGTGGTCCCAGCTACTTGGGAGGCAAAGGTGGGAGGATCTCTTGAGCCCATGGGGCTGAAGCTGCAGTGAGACAGGCTTGTGCCAACACACTCCAGCCTGAAAAAAAAGAGTGAGACCCTGTATAAAAAAAAAAAAGTGAAAAATGGTAGTTTGTAATAGCAGGATAGCAGCATTGAAGGAAGGTTATTTTTCTTTCTATTTTAAAGACAGGTGAGAACTAAACAGGCTTCTAGCAGAAACACATTGAAAGGAAAAGCCTCAAGATGCAAGCGAGCTTGAGAGAACTGACCTAACCATCTGGTCTGGAGGGCAGAAGTGGAAGGTTAGGTGGGGGATGTCAGCTTCCCACAGTACACTGCTGGCTTCATTACCTCTTGGCAGCCCAGAAGGATAAAAGCAAAATGAATAATGTAGAAGGGACCCAGGGTGTGGCAGAGGGTCTGCCAGGTTCCTGTCCCTCCTACTGTTTATGCTGCAGCTACGTGTCCATTTGCATTCCCTCCCAAGGCAGTAAGCAGACAGAGGGAAGGCCAACCCTCTCAAGCAGAGGCACCCACTGTCAGACCTCTGCTTTTGAACAGCATCCACCCACCCCACACATCACAGCAAGAACTGACTACATATGTCACAAAAGGCCTCAGACCCAAAAGACTTGGATTCTAAATAGAACCGTTTAAGGCCCCAAATGACTCCTGAAGTTGTTAGCACTGATGCTTCAGACGAAGTCCAAGGTTATTAAATCTCATTTAAAGCAATGGTTCTCAAAAATTTTCAATGTAAGGCAAGAGTTCCAAATATTTCTGGAGTTATAAATTTTATCACAGTAACTTGGATTTCTGTAAAACTTCAAGTTGTTTTAGAAAGTGGGTGGGGAGAGGTGAGGAAAAGAATAGTAGTGCTAGATTGTTAACATTAGGAACACCACTGCCCTTCCCTAGGGTCCCAATGCTGACGTGAGAAACAATAATCTTAACTCTACTGAACACTTTTCCTCTTCAGTGCCCAAAACAGATGCCAGTGGGCTGATGTTACAGCTGTCTTGTTCCCCTAAGAACCAAAATGCCATATCTGGAGGGATGAAAAAAGAGGTACTGCTGGACTCAACAACTGACATCTGTTTTATTTTGTACTAGTTATTTTAGAGAAAATGAAACCATTTATTTTCTGAAACCTGTGTAAGCTTTTACACATATGAAGGTAAAGGGAGGGCCCAGGGCTAAACTGGTGTACATTTCCATGTGAATAAGCCATCTTTTGAAAACCAAAACGAAAGAATATGCACAATAAATTTGGATCCACATTAAACTAGTTCATTCAAAAATGGAACCCCATCAATGCCAGCAAAGGAGGCTGGAAGGTTGTAAGGCCAGAGTCAGCACAGACCCATGGCTCCTTGAAGGCTTCCTGCTGCCAGGGCCTCCCCAGCCACAGGACCATTTTGCTGATTACCAGGGTAAGGCAGAGCTATCAGCCCTCAAGCAGCTTAATTAAAGCCAGGAGTAAGACATTTGTGTAAGGGGTCAAAACAATCATTTTTTAAATCTTGCATTCTTTTTTCTTGTGCACTTGGTAGCTTGAAATGAAGGTGTGGCATTTCTGCATCAAACTTTGACGATGAAGGACAGGAGTACACAATTTCCAAAAGAGGAAATAGAGCTAGTAAATAAACATGTGGAAAAGCAATTAATTTCACAAGTAATAAATAGAATACAAAATTACTAACTTTTGTTTACTGAATTAGTTACCCTCTTCCAAAAAAAAAAATTCCAGTGATAATGAAACTGGTACTCTCAAAACACTACCAAAAGACTACTCTTTAGAATTTGCTTGAAAAAAAGAAAGAAATGGAAGAAAGAGGATATAAAAACAATCCTCTTGGAAAGCATTTTGGCAACACACGGAAAAAGGTCAGATGCTCGCACCCCTCAACCCAGAAATCCAACTTCTTGGAGTCTATGGAAATGGCTACATATACAGAGATGTCCATATTATAATTATAAATTTTAAATTTTAAAAATTGAATGCAACCCCAATTGCCCAAAAGAAACATGCCTAATGACTAAACATGAGCACACTGTATGACCTAGCGAAAAAATATATTATGTAAAAGCAGCAAGCTATAAATAGTACTTTCCCTGTGGGGAGCATGTAGATGAAGAGACCAGGAAGGAATACACAAATTGATAACACTATATTTCCTTGCTTGTTAGACTCCATCAATAAATCCATGGATTGAACAATAGCAGCTTTTGGGGAGAAAAAAAGGAGGCAGGTTTCTTTTCACATCCACTTTAAGATGATGTCTAATTTTAGTCACATTAAATGGGGCAGGGGGGGTACGGAGAGTCTATTTTTGGATTATACTATCTGATCTGATAGTCACTAGCCACATGTGGCTAATAAACACTTGAAATGTGAGTACTCTGAATTGAGATGTGCTGTTAAGTTGAATTTAAAGACTTGGTGAATAAATAATTTTAAATATATTGATTACATGTTGAGATCATACTTACTTTTGAATATTAGGCTAAATAAATTATATTATTCAAATTTTCACCTGTTTAACTTTTTAATTGGTTCTACTCGAAAATTTAATTGTATTTAAGTTATATTTAAAATGCAATTGTGACTCATGCTAAATTTCTGTTGGGCAGCATTTGTCATAGCCAAAGGGAAGGCTGTAGTTGTGTTAGAGGAAGGAGGGATTCATGTTTTTTCTTCTTCCCATTTTTCTAAAGTTTTTGCAATTTTGTTGGAGAAAACAAAAATGCTAAAGGCAAGGCCTAGTAATCAATCTCTATCCTTCCGAATCTCAAGATGCGAAAAATGTTAGGTGAAGAGCTCTCTAGTACTCTTGGGGGAGTGAGACCTCTCTCATTCTGTATGACAGTCTCCCAGAAGGAATAATTAGATTTCTGCCCTACAGGAGCATACCATTTAATTAGGTGATAAGTTAATCACAGAAATTAGGGAGACTGAGGAGAGGTCCCACAAAAGGCCACAGAGGTTCAAGGGAGAGTTCTAAGGGAGGGGCAGTATTTGATATTGGCCTCTAAGGCAAGGAGCTGGAGACTGAGGGAAGGGGGGAACTCAGGAAATAGAGGACAGGCTGCAGGTAGGCCTTGTGAGCAGGGCTCATCAATATGGAACCCCCAAGTCACCTGGGCAGTGTGGCTGGGGTTGGACCTTGAGAAAAGCAAAGCACTCAGATAAGCTGAGAATGAAATTCCTGGGCAAACAGAAGAGGGGTTGATATGGTTTGGCTGTGTCCCTACCCAAATCTCATCTTGAATTTAACTCCCACAATTCCCATGTGTCGGGGGAGGAACCTAGTGAGCAGTAATTGAATCATGGGGGTTGGTCTTTCCCATGTTGTTCTTGTGATAGGGAATAAATTTCGTGAGAGCTGATGGTTTTAAAAACAGCAGTTTCCCTGCACAAGTTCTCTTCGCCTGCTGCCATCCATGTAAAACGTGACTTGCTTCTCCTTGCCTTCCACCATGATTGTGAGGCCTCCCCAGCCATATGTAACTGTAAGTCATTAAACCTCTTTCTTTTGTAAATTGCCCAGTCTCAGGTATGTCTTTATCAGCAGCATGAAAATGGACTAAATGCAGTAAATTGGTACCAGTAGAGTAGGGCACTGCTGAAAAGATACCTGAAAATGTGGAAGCAACTTTGGAACTAGGTAACAGGCAGAGGTTGGAACAATTTGAAGGGCTCAGAAGAAGACAGAAAAATGTGGGAAAGTTTCAAACTTCCTAAGGACTTGTTGAATGGCTTTGCCCAAAATGCTGATAATGATATGGACAATAAAGTCCAGGCTGAGGTGGTCTCAGATGGAGATGAGGAACTTGTTGAGAACTAGAGCAAAGGTGACTCCTGTTACGTTTCAGCAAAGAGATTGGCAGCATTTTGCCCCTACGCTAGAGATAAGTGGAACTTTGAACTTCACAGAGATGATTTAGGGTATCTGGAGGAAGAAATTTCTAAGCAGCAAAGCATTCAAGAGGTGACTTGGGTGCTGTAAAAGGCATTCAGTTTTATAAGAGAAGCAGAGCATAAAAGTTCAGAAAATTTGTAGCCTGACAATGTGATAGAAAAGAAAATCCCATTTTCTGAGAAGAAATTCAAGCCAGCTGCAGAGATTTGCATAAGTAATGAGAAGCCGAATGTTAATCCCCAAGACAATGGGGAAAATGTCTCCAGGGCATGTCAGAGATCTTCACAGCAGCTGTTCCCATCACAGACCCAGAGGCCTAGGAGGAAAAACTGGTCTTGTGGGCTGGGCCCAGGGTCCACAGGTTGTATGCAGCCTAGGGACTTGGTGCCCTGCATCCCGGCCACTCCAGTCGTGGCTGAAAGGGCCCAATGCAGAGCTCAGGTTGCGGCTTCAGAGGGTGCCAGCCCCAAGCCTTGGCAGCTTCCTCATGGTATTGAGCCTGGGAGTGAACAGAAGTCAAGAATTGGGGTTTGGGAACCTCTGCCTAGATTTCAGAGGATGGAGTATGGAAACACCTGTATGTCCAGGGAGAAGTTTGCTGAAGGGACAGGGCCCTCATGGAGGACCTCTGCTACGGCAGTGCAGACAGGAAATGTGGGGTCAGAGCCCCCACACAGTCTCTACTGGGGCCCTCTCTAGTGGAGCTGTGAGAAGAGTGCCACCATCCTGCAGACCCCAGAATGGTAGATCCACTGACTGACATCTTGCACTGTGCACCTGGAAAAGCTGCAGACACTCAATGCCAGCCTGTGAAAGCAGCCAGGAAGGAGGCTGTACCTTGCAAAGCCACAAGGGTAGAGCTATGCAAGACCAAAGGAACCCACCTTTTGTATCAGCATGACCTCTATGTGAGACATGGAGTCAAAGGAGATCATTACAGGGCTTTTAGATTTGACTGCCCTGCTGGATTTTGGACTTGCATGAGGCCTGTAGCCCCTTTTTTTGACCGATTTCTCCCATTTGGAATGGCTGTGTTTATCCAATGCCTGTACCCCCACTCTATCTAGGAAGTAACTAACTTGCTTTTGATTTTACAGGCTCATAGGCAGAAAGGACTTGTCTTGTCCCAGATGAGACTTTGCACTGTGGACTTCTGAGTTAATGCTGAAATGAGTTAAGACAAGGCACGATTGGTTTTGAAATGTGAGGACATGAGATTTGGGAGGGGCCAGGAGCAGAATAATATAGTTTGGCTGTGTCTCCACCCAAATCTCATCTTGAATTGTAATTCCCATGTGTTGTGGCAGGAACTCGGTGGGAGGTAATTGAATCACGGGGACAGGTCTTTCCCATGCTGTTCTCGTGATAGTGAATAAGTCTTGCAAGATCTGATGGTTTTAAAAACAGGAGTTTCCCTGCACAAGCTCTCTCTCTTTGCCTGCTGCCATCCATGTAAGACATGACTTGCTCCTCCTTGCCTTCGCCATGATTGTGAGGCTTCCTTCCAGCCACGTGGAACTGTAAGTCCACTAAACCTCCTTCTTTTGTAAATTGCCCAGTCTCAGGTATGTCTTTATCAGCAGCACGAAAACGGACTAATACAAGGGTGTATAGTAACTGGAAGGTTAATGTCAGGAAGGAGGCGAAAAAGCAGGTAGGTAAGCTGGGTATCTTATTTACAGAACATGGAATACCAGTCCTTACCTAAATGGGCAATGAAAAGCCCTTGGAGGTTTTCAGCAGCATGCAAATAATTTATAAGAAATTAAATGCATTTACAATTGCTGAGCCTGGAGCCTAAGGGAGACTTGGGCAACTATGGGCAACAATTTAAGATGTAGAAACTTTAAAAAGATAATTGCCCAAGTTGGAGTCTGACTAGCTAATATAACCTTAATGAGTAATGAGGAGAAGTGGATAGGGCTATAGTTTACATTTCATTTAAACGACAATCCCTCTAGCAGCTCAGATATGCTATAGACATAGGTTACCGAATGAACTGTCAGCCTTAAACGCATCAACAGGAATGAGCCATCTCCCAAAATAATGTGGCCAGGTTGATGGGGGATTCCTCCCCTCAGTTAATAAATATTCACTATGCTCCCTACTATGTGCAGGCACTGAGGGAAGAAATATAACCAAAAGGAGACATTCTCCCTGCCTTCACGGTACTTATTGTAGTGTAGTGCCAGCAGACAGTCATTTAATAATCACACAAATATATATAAAACCTCATATATTAAGTATAATATATAAATGTGTGTACATAAAAGTATAAATGCTATGAGAGCCTTTATCCTTAAGAATCATGTTCCCTGCCATAAGGGAACTATTATATTTGGTTTCAACATCTACCTGTTAAGAAAACCAGATTTTAATGGAAATGAAACTGAGATTAACTCAATGTAAAGCTCTTATCTGATGCTCAGCATGTTATCTCATTATTGTTAATTGTTAGATGTAATCCTCTTTCCCAACAACAGAGCAAGACCCTCAAGGGTAGACACCATCTATTATGTCTTTTAACCTCTACAGCACTCACAAGGTCTTACTTATATAGTTGAGCACATAATATTGACTGTTGCTGTTTTCTTTAATGGCTGAGCAAGCCTGCTGTTTCCTCTGGCTCTCTCTCTCCACCACAATTTACTAACTGAGAACCTACTATGTGCCAGAATCTGTGATAGGAACTGACAGAGGCAGTGCCCTCAAATTCTCACCTCAAAATCAAGAAATTCTGTTTTTCTTTATTTTCATTTGAAGTTATATTCTCTCTCTCCAACACAGCTCTCCCCATAAGGGAGAAATGCAGAGCTCAACTGCCTGAGAGAGCAATGAGTTTGATAACAACAGGCACTGAGGGAGAGACTTAAAAGATGAGAAATTACTATAAACCACTGTAGAGCTACAAATGGCAATGATGAAAATAACCTACTGCTAAAGCCATCCATGATAAAGAGACAGTGTGGTTGGTTATAATCATTCTGGCTCAGGTACTGGGGCTTATGAGATGGAGGACAGAATTATACTCCCATGTAAAGGCTGGCTATCAGGTCTTGCTCCCCAACATAAGTATGGTGAGCTTAGTGCCAGTGAACCATTGTGTAACACTCCCTAGTACCCAAGCAAGGACACTTAAATAATACTTTCTATAAAAGTAGCATCTCTGTAAAAAAAAAAAAAAAAAAAAAAAAAAAAAAAAAAAAAAAAAAAAAAAGCGGGGAGGGGGCCACAGTTGATCTTGCCCTTACTCCATTACTCTGGTTGGCTGGCTGATGATTCTAATTCCATCCTATTGTTCCCAGTGGAACAACAGTGGAACTCCACATACAGTTGAGAAACTGCAAGGAACACAAAAGACTCAAACAACAGAGTTCGAGGGTCTACTTGCTAACTCTGGGACCTATGGCAAAACCCAAATGAACCACCAACTGTAATGGTCTATTTTCTTGAGCTCAGAGCAACTATGTGAACTCAGAAAGAAATTATAGGCTTTAAATGATCCTTAATACCCTGCATTTCAGTGTTACCTACATACGCCACCTCAGAGGATAGCATTTCTGTAGTAGCCGTGGTATGACACACTGCCAAGATTAATAGGCCTATCCAGGGGAAGCTCCCAGGACAATGACAAGATACAAGTATTTAAGCAAGATTTCTTTAAAATATCCTTAAACTGCTTACACATATGGTATAGGAAAAAGATGGAACTTGCAACTGGCAATCCTGAGTTCTAGCCCCTGTCCTGTTACAGATGGGATAGTGATCTTGAGCCTGTTAACAACACTGACAGGAGCAACAGCAGTAATAACTAACTGTCAAATAACAGTACCATACCTTATACAACTGCTGTGTGGATTTAATTTTACATTGCAATACAATGTCAATTATTACTGATTTTTTTCCTCAAGAAAAAGGTAATTCTTATTTTTTATTTTTTTGAGACAGGGTCTCACTCTGTCATCCAGGCTGGAGCGGTGCCATCACAGCTCACTGCAGCCTGGACCTCCCAGACTCAAGTGATCCTCCCACCACAGCCTCCCAAGTAGCCAGGACTACAGGTAAGCATCACCACGCCCAACTAATTTTTGTATTTTTTGTAGAGATGCAGTTTTGCCTTGTTGCTTAGGTTGGTCTCAAACGCCTGGGTTCAAGCGATCCACCTGCCTGTCTCCCAAAGTGCTGGTATTACAGGCATCAGCCACCATGCCCAGCCAACCATTTTTTAAAATGTTTAATTTATAGTAGAAATACAGAAAACAAAGGGTAAATAGAGTTTGGGTCCCACATTTAAAGCTTTCTTTCTTTTTTACACAAGTATCCCCTATTATTGGTTAGGATCCAATTCAATTAACATATTGCTTTCTCTTTAAAAAACAAAAGGCTTAGGACGCATATGACAGATAATCCAAATGCTAAGGGAGAAGTCAGCTGAAACATAAAGATGCTTAAGTCAAAGGAGACTGGAACACAGAGAGACCCAAATCAAAGGCTTTCCCTTTAAGAATCTAAGTTTCCCAAAACTCACATGGTAAAATAATCATTTCATGATTATTTACATAATGTCATAACCTTAATTACCACAATCTAAGAATGAGCCTATTTCCTTTAGTTCAAATACCACACTTAAAAAAACGCCAGGTTTAGTGAGAACTGATAAGTCTAAGGGACCAAAATATTCTGTTCGACTCACGGCACCTATGAAACAGCGCTGGCAGCTCGCTTTTTAAAGAGGAAGAGGTTGAGAGCTTATAGACATTTCCTTCATTCACTGTCAGTAGGACATATTTGGATTATAACACAGGATAGGAGGATTCTGAAATTAGAATGGTATCTAGTAAATTCTCAAATTGGGGTTTTGTTGACTGGCTCTAGAATCTGGTTCCCCTGGACCACTCCTCTCTCCTAGTCCTGCTACTTTTCTGCCAGCATCTCCTGCCACCATCCCTTCACTCATTCCACTCTACCCACTCTGGCCTCTGTTTTCCCTGCCTGGCCCAGGAATGCTTACAGGTTCCTGTCTCAGTGCTACCACACTTGCATTCCCTCTGCCTGGAATGCTCATTACCAGACAGATGCACTACTCTTTGCTTCACTTTGTTCAAAGCTTTGCTAAAATGTCACCTTGCCAGCAACACTCTTCTTCTCTGCCATAATTAAAATTGCAACTCTTCTTCTCTGTTTTTCTCCATGGTACTTACCTGACATAATACATATATTTTAAATTCTTACTTCATTTTTTAATCATTTCCTCATCAGAGCAAGAGCTCCTGTTATTGTCTGTTTTGTTTACTGCTGTACTCCCAGTATCTAGGATAGTGCCTGGCATGTAGCAGACCCTCAGTAAGTATGTGTTGAATGGCATGAATGAGTAAATAAATGAGCCACAACAAATGACAGACTATTCCATTTGTAAGACTACCAAATTCAAACCTTTAACTTCCTTGAAGAAAGAAAGGAGAAAATAGGATTTAGAATAATGTAATTATAAGGACTTAAGGAAGAATGTTATGGCATTGTAAAATAGGCTGGATAAGGAAAAGGTATAGTTGTGATCCTATGACCCACCTCTCCCAATGTATTCAAACTTAAGAATGCCTAAGAATCATCTGACTGCTTGTTATAAATACAGATTCCCAGGTTTCCATCCAGAAAGGCTGATTCAGTAGTGAATCGTATGTGGGTGGTCCGCAACTCACCCCTTGAGAAACACTGCCCCAGTGCCACTCCTGGTTAGGTGAGACTTAGGAGAAGGCAGCTCTTTTCCATATAGTTTACCAAAGCAATTTTAATTGATACTATGGTACAGGAATAAGCACCAACTGTCAACAGGTCAAAGAAGCCTAAGAGATAATCTTTGGCATGTGTTTACTTTGACTAAAGGGGTGAGTCTGTCTCTAGTCATAAAGATTTCCGTGGTACTTAGTGTTGTACCCAGGAAGGTTGTTATTCCAGGTAAGTACCTTGGTTTAAGGTCATTAAATCAAGTCCACACTAAGTAGGCTTAACCCATGGCAAATTCTGGTTTTGCAATACCAGGTATGTACATGGCCTGTTTTGTTCTTTATAAAGGTCAGAACTTCTCCATGTTTACGCCACATGGAAAGCCACACCTTAGATAAAGTATAGAGGCCATAACTTACCAGAGTGACAATATAAAAAATGAAAGCATAAGGGTTCCAAATTTGATCTTGGATAACCAAACAAATCCAGGACCCCCACCACAGAACTAAATCAAAGTGCACCCAAAAGCAAAGATTGTTCTTAACAGAATAGTTCCTTCTTTATAAAACACTGGATCACTAAAGCAAAAACACAGGTCCTCTTCCCAGCTTGCCAGTTATTCCAATGAATTGCTACAGACAACTACACTCTCTGTCAAGGATGGAACTAGCCATGCAGATGTTTTCTCCAAATTCCAGGGAGTGACCCTAACCCATAGGCTTTTACTCAAAGCTTCTAATTTTGTTTTTCAAATGTAGAAACAGCTGGTGCCTAGCCCTCCAGGGAAAACACTAGGTTCCAGAAGGGAGTGGGGAAGAATGGTTATTTTTTTTCTGTTTCACATGAACATGTCTCTTCACTCAAGTCTTTTGTCCCACAGCTTAAAATGCTCTTTATACGCCTTGGAAATAACAATTATTGGGGCTGGAAAATCAATGGTGCCCAGGTTGTTTTTCACATACATTACACACATTTCTGCAAGTGCTCATTTACAATAAAGTATTAACTTTGAACCATAGGAAAGGAATTCTCATGGAGGTCTAGGGTATTAATGACCTCTGGAATCTTTACTGTTATCCCAAACGAACTCTTGGCCACTCTTTATACTATAGTGTATAGTTATAATTTCTTGAATTTATTACAAATAATACAAATTTTAAAAGATAACTCCTACCATTATCTCACAAATAGCTCCATTATATCTGACATATTTTGTTAAGGATAAACTGGAGTACGTAAGGTGTGCAGTGATCCTCCAAACAGTCAAAAATAAGGCAACCATGCTACCTGAATATCTCTGACTACATTTCCTTCCCAATAGGTGAGTGCTCTGCTAAGCTCTGCAACAAGTTCCAAGCTAGTAGTGGCCAGCTACTCAGCTTTCTCAGGAAACTCACCTTCTCTCCTTGGAGTGATGGGACTGAGTCCCGCAAACTGTGAAAGCTGTCTTTGATGTGGTCCCTACGTTTTCGTTCCAGTGCATTATGATGAGCCCGTTTGTCAGCCTAGAAGAATGGGAGAAAGAACACATTAGGAATGTCACTCCTTTTGCTTGGTACAAGGTGGGTGGGGTACAGCCTGGAAGTACACGCTGTCAGCACTGTCCCTGGCGAGTGGACTGGGAAGGATTTCTCGAGGTGGGCAGTTAGGAGTCTCCAGAATTAGGCTCTGCTAAAGGGGGAGAAAGGGGTGAGCAACGCTTGCGACAGGAACATCCAAAGTAGCTCGATGCATCCAGCTCATGCATAAGTAAAATAAAAGTTATTCAGGGGGACAAAGTGTGACTCTCCTGTAACATCAGTGGTCCCCCCCAACTTGCTTATGTGACAGAAGAGCCACCAGTCTGTGGTTAGGAAGTGACTAGAGAAAGCTCCAGTGGCCCCTTCTTAAGATGTGATCACCTCCACTGTAAGAGATTCCCCAGATGGGTGTCCAGGGGAAGAAAGAGTTAAGTCACTGGTGCTTCTTTAATGTGAAACCATCACCATGAGTCCCAAGCCCACTAAAAGGCACTAGTTTAAGACCTTCTCACCAAATCATACAACAGAAGCTAAAACCTCTATAAAACCTAGATGCATGAATCTGAGATCATTATGACAGAGCTGATAAGATGACAACTGAATTCTGAGTTCCTATTTTTTAAAAGTAGATCCAAGGTGCTATCCTGCCAAGGGCTTCCTTGCACACAGGCAGTGCCTGACAGGCAGTTCTTAGAGGGCACAACTTCTGACACCACATACTCAGAATAAATTCTCTCAGGTACCTGTGGCAGGTCAGGCTAACTGGCAGTATCTAAATATCCAAGTCAAAGCCTTAGCCTGCTTGGAATCACAAAGAACGGTCAGCTGGAGATGGACCAAAACTGCCAACACCAAATCAGGAATGGCAAAATGCTCTGGCTTCAGGCAGAAGAGATAGCGCTGGAGAGCATGATAAGAGCACTTCAGCAGGTCCCCATCAGAGGGGTCTCCCCTCCAAATGGAACACAAACAACCCAAAGCAAGAAGAACTTCATCACACCTACACTCTAGGAATTACGGAAATTATGCTCTGAACATTCACCTTGAATGCACAACGTTGCACTGAGCTAATCTAGAGAGCCAGTCTGTACATGGGAAGTTCAGGTAGCTTAAATCTATACAAACAGAGGGCCAGAAATTCAAAAAATGGAACAAGAGTAAATAACTTGGCTTAGCACAAGAATAATGCTGCCTCACATTAATCCTTGTACTAGAGAAGATGTACAGACAAAAATCTATCAAGAGTTGTGAAAACGAAAGGACTTGAAATTCTCCTGTTATTTAATCCTAAAAGTCCCAGTCATTACAGAGGAAGAGGAGACTGGGAGCACCTGTAGTCATCTGAGTTACTTCCTGGTCTCTTAAACATAATACCTCACCTACAGCTCTGTTGAACTGGACATGTGGTTCCCATGACAACCATGGTTCTCCATAGCATATCTCTCTTTTTGGGGCAGATGCCTGGAGCACTTCTAAAGTTGTCCTAATCTTGTTAAGTCTGGATTCACTGTAAAATGAATGTTTACTGAACTATAGTGACATGAAATATGAAGCTGAGAGGACAGTCAAGTTTGGAACACCACATAACCTGAGGGTAGAGGTAGGTACTCTGTATCATACAACTTTAGCGCAAAATTATAGATGCCTTCTAACAGTAGCATGAAATAGTGCGACAGAATTGAACCTATTTAAGTATCTAGTCCTTTTGAACTTACTGTTGTTCCCTCTGATCATCTACATAAAGATAAGTTGGGCTGCGACTATACCTAAGGAGCTTAAAGGCCAAGAGACAATATTTGGCATGTGTCTGCGGCTCCTGTTTGCTATATACTACCTAAGGTGGTTTATTTACATGCAAATTAATTGCCCATCTTTGGTCTCCAGAGCAGCCCAAGATACTCCTGTCTACTAAATCACCCTGATTCTTGGCCCTCCTCCCAGCTAAGAGCTGTGCACCAGAATTACCCACAATCCCTCTTGTTGATACAAATAAAATTCTAATTGTCTGTTTTCTTTCTGGGAGAGCCCTGCAAATCTCAAACAGCTAGAATGAAGTTGCACTTGGTTTCACGTGGACCTGCACTAAAGGGGTGGAGCTAAGTATAATCTAACACCAAAATCATCCCCACAATGCACTACCCCCTCCCATTCACTGAGCTCTGAAAGGACTCAAATGGACAAGTCTCTCGGTTGGAGGATTGTAAGTGAACTTGGCTGTAGATCATGAGCAGAAATCTTGGCTTCTCATCTGGGGAGCCAGCCAAGTTTGAGAAGTTGGCTCAACAAGGAAAGGCAGCAGTCCACTGCCTGGTAGAAAGCCTGGGCTGGGGACTGTTGTTCTCAAAGTAGTGGATGGAATTTCTGTAGTGGTTCCAGGCCCAATTTAACTAGCAGAAGAGTGGAATCTTACACCAATCCCTGCTGCCATGTCCATCCCTGAGCTACTAGTGGAGTCAATTTTAAATCTCTCAGAGACAATGGCAAGGATGTATTTTTCTCTTCCCCAAGCTTGATTTGAAAGAACAAGTTAAAAACATGCAGAACTAACAAGCCTAATTCCAGGCAACTGTGAATTAAATGTTATCACTAATGTTTTGAAAGAGCACATGAAAAACAGAAAAACCTTTACACAAGGCTGAGAATTCTCTGTGGGAAACATTTCCAAACCACAGATCCACCCAGACCAATAACACTGCCCGCGCCTCATCCCCACCCCCATTGGAGGACTAGTTTGCAGGCTTTATCACTGCCTTGTTAACTGTCTTTGCTTGCTGGCAACCCTTTTTGAGAGGGCCAAGATTTCAGAGTTGAAGAAGAAAAACTGGGTGAAGACTCCCAGTGTAAGGCATCTAATATCCTCCCCCAAATGCAAAACTGGTTTTAAAAAACAAGCCCAAACAATTGTCTTGAACAAATAAAACTCTACTCAGATGAGCCTGTACTGAGAATGATGTTCAGTAATGAAAACAAATGGTACGGAAAACCCCCTTGTGGAATTAATTAGGCCCTATTCTAGGAGACCACAGAGGTATTCTTGGACTGTACAGCAGGCTCCCAAACATCTCCCCTACACATCCTATGGTTACAGTGGCTGGATGCTGCCCACTCTTCTAGTACGCTGGATTTGTACGTCTGGATGTCTGCCAGAAAACCCTTCCTCCAGGGCATCCCTAACAGAAATACTAAGGGGCTATGCAGTGGTCCACAGATGCTCAACAGAAACTCCCGCACCAAATCACTTCCAGCTTTGACATCTCTGCCAAAGTTTTTATTCAGCCTCTCAGTTATATTTCTACCCAACTTTCCACACTGGTAGACAGAATAAAAATCTTCACCTACAATTTGTCCATCTTTGACACTACCAAGCACGTGTATCTTAAGTGTTGTTAGATGTTGAAGACAAACATTATTTTGTTAGCCAAGAAGTTGCTATGTTGGCAAGAAGTCATCTAGGCTAAGGAGGTCTGTTCAAAATTGAGGGAAATCTCTTAAAATTATTTCCTTCCAACTTACTGCAGAGAGACTGCATCTTTGTTCAAGGCATCACATCAGTCAGTAATCTTATTTCCTCCAAGTTCTAGGCAAATAGCACGGGGAAATAAATGCTTCATTATTCCAGGATGCACAAGGTTCTCCAGAACAATGCCATGTCTTACAGGCTACCTGACAGCTAACCCCACCTATAAGGGGAACCATCTCAATTCTAATACAGAAAATTCTCAGCATATAGGGAATTAGTTGCCCACTCAATATTTACTACCTTTACAAAATGTGAAGGTTGTATTTTAGAGGGAAGCTTGTGTTGCTTATGATTCTTATCAAGCTATTCTTATTAGAGACTAAGGACACGAGAATACACAGACCCAAAAATCTCATCCGAAAAGATCTATTTCTTACTTCTGATAGATAAGAACAAGATAGGATAAAGCTCAATTTCTAAGCAACTTAAAATATTCATTTTAATCAACCCAAAAATTATAACATAAAATAATAGGCAGGTAGGATGGGATAAACTCACCAAGCTCCCTAAGAGAAAGACATGGATTTCAATTTTCCAATACCTGTCCTGCTTGTAGCTGATTGCCTGGTATACATTTCCAACATTATCTAATGTATGTATTTGTTTTCAAACTTTTTTCTTTTGGTGCCTAAAATAACTGGCAAATGCTATAATCCAAACAGGGCCTCATACTATAGCCATTTCAGAGAAGGATGCCTTGGTCAGGAAATTTTAATTAAAAACCAAGCTGAATTCTTTGACCAACTATTTCACCGTTACTGGCATCTTGGAAAAATTCTTTTAGACATAAGAACAACTTTTACCCTAACACAGGCACATTTAGGAACTAACTCTGGCATTTGTTATCACTGTAAGCATCACTGTCAACACTCTAAGCAGAGAAAAAGTACATGCATTGTGCAGCACTTTTGCCATGCAACTGACTGCAGGTAAAACAGACAGTAGTTTCCTGAGTGAATTCCAATCTCGGAGGCTACCAAGCTCGTTCTCTTCTGAATATTCCTAAAGAAGCAAAGAGCTCTGAGAAGTTAAAAATATTTCATGCCAGAAAGGTCCAGAAGTGGAATTGCACAAATCTGTTTTCAAACCCCTCACAAGTATACTGCAACTGCAACTCAGTCAGGTGCCATCAAGGATGGTCACTGGAAAAAAAATTGCATTTCCTGACCAACACACTAACCCATACATTTCCTGTATACTTACACTCTTTCCTAAAGAAATTTCCCAAACAGAAATAAAGCAAAAGGAAGCCCTTGCAATATAATATACCTGTCCCACAAATTTATCTTTAAAATGCAACCTCTTCCCTCCAAAATATAATAAAAATAACATCAGTGGGATTTTGCGATGTACTGAATTTAGTAGTAAGAATACTCTTTGGGGTTACTTCCTTTAACAAAGCTTACTGGCCATTGGAGAAGCTGTTTTCCGTTTGTACTGAAGCAATAGAAAAAAATATTTGCCAAATCAGTTTCACTTTCTGTTAGAGTTAGCCTAACTTCCTAACTCTCTTCTCAGTATCTTACATTTCTCATGTAGTAAGGCCTATATATTGTAGTGACATTATAAAACATACATGAATGTTTTTATATTAGGATCCACAGAACCCTTTTCAAATAACTTTTTCAACATCTTCTGTAGTCCTGAATACCTAAGTATTTGGTTGTTCACAGTCCACATCTTTTTTTAAACCTTTTTTCTAAGGCAAAACTTAAGAATAGCTCCCTCTTAAATTTTAAAAAATATATTTATTATCCATATTAAATATTGAGAAGTAAGCAGATGCATTCACAGAGGGGAAAAAATGGAATCCTTTTTACCCTACACAGTCACAATAGTTGTTTGATATACTATAAAATTTGTTTATAACATATCTGCTTTTTCTCTCCATGCTGTTGTAATTACATTGTGCAGAGTAATATTTAGAAATATCAACAAATAGATGTGTTAAATTAAAAACAAAGTGTCAAACCAACTTCCTTTGCCTACCCCCAAAATCAAAAGGAAAAATCCTAGGCACCTTAACAGCAAACTAAAAACATCTAGACAAAACAATGAGATTAGCATTCCAGGAAAGCAGAAACATTATAATAATTTAATAACAAATTTATATCAACGATCATATGGATGAAAATTTTGAAAAGCAGAAAGCTTTCAAGAACTGCGAGCCAAAATTTCACCAAAAAAACAAACAAACAAACAAACAAACAAAAAAAACACAACTTTCTCTTACTGGGAAGTCAGTATAATTTCAATTCAAAGGATAATTCTGCAAAGGAAGGCTAAACGATCCTTACCCTCCAGCTCTGATCAAGCCCTAGCACAGATTTTACAACTGGAGACTTGCAGGGAAAAAAAAAGTTTTCAACAGACTAGGCCCCAAACATGAAGGATAAAAGTAAATGTGAAAAAGGAATTCAATTTTCAAATATATGCATAAGTATATGAGAATACTTCAAGGATAAATAAAATAAAACAAATTATCTTTAATGACTATTACCCAGGGATAATTTTTAAGACTTTTGGAACAACTACATCCCCGGATTTTATGGAAATATCAGCTCTCAATAAATAAGTTTTCTTAATGCCTATCTGCTTAGACAACCTGCACAATCTTTGCTTGCTCTAATGAAGAGCAGGTATAACTGAGATGGCTTGCCTTTACCCTGTGGTTATCAAGTTCTTATACCAGAGGTATCAAAGTGACATCCTGCAAATTCTAACAAGCCCCCAAACAGTTGTTCCACACATCATTTTAAAAATCAGAAAAATAACATAAAGTTTTAGATTTCTAATCTTTCTTAAAAAATAGGAAGATCGGCTGGGCGTGGTGGCTCATGCCTGTAATCCCAGCACTTTGGGAGGCCGAGGCTGGCAGATCACGAGGTTAAGAGATCGAGACCAGCCTGGCCAACATGGTGAAACCCCGTCTCTACTAAAAATACAAAAATTAGCTGGGTGTGGTGGCACGCGCCTGTAGTCCCAGCTATTCGGGAGGCTGAGGCAAGAGAATCGCTTGAACCCAGGAGGCGGAGGTTGCAGTAAGCCGAGATAGCGCCATTGCACTCCAGCCTGGTGACAGAGTGAGACTCTGTCTCAAAAATAAATAAATAAAATAAAATTAAAAATAGGAAGATCTGGCAATACTGACCCTTCACTCCTACTAACAAACCACTGGAGTTCAGTAGTGCTGACTTTTTAGAAGAGGCACTGCTCTCCAGTACCCAAGCCCTCACCTCTTCCTTCTTTATTCTTTATGGCCCTCATGGGCATTTGAACTTTTTACCCCCATTCTATACATTTCTTACTGCTCCCAACTATCAAATATTAGACACTCTGATATACTTATTTCTCTTCCCCTCGCTGATTCTGATTTATTCTGTGTGTATTCTTTTTTCCCTCAAATCTATTCATGAAACATCCATATTACTGTCTCAGACTCCAAAGACATGGAATTAGTGCTTATCTAAATCCACAGAACCATCTACTGAGAACATTAATATCAAAACCCTAAGAAATTATTGATAACACTCTATGGTCTCATCCATCACCTTTCAGCAAAGCTGTCTCTGCAATGCCACTTTTCTTCAGCTATTTTTTAATTTTCTTTATACCTTTTCTTCAAATACAGAGAATCAGACCATAATAACTTTATGTGACACTTTGATGATGTAACGTTTGGCTCCTCTACATTTCCAATTTTTGCATTAGAATACCATGTTGTGCTAGATTCTACGGGTCTATAGCAGTCACATGACTTGGTTAAAGGCGATTACCGCATGTGGCTTCAGCTTCACACAATTATACAGATATGGTTTAAAACCTACTTGTTCCTAAATAAATCTTCTGACCACTTTGCCCTGAAATAATACTACCAGACCAGAATGCTGCATTTCTCATTTCCACTTACATAGTGGCATCTGGATCCCCTATCTGAAAACTACAGAACAATTCAATTCTTTGCATACAGCTCCTCTTACTCACCTAGAATCACTGAACTTATCACCTGAGAATCTAGAATAATGGGATTTGCAACCCCCCCACCCTCCAGAACCAGGCCCCACCTCACCTTAGTGGTTAACATTAGAGTTTACTACAATATTAAAAGTAATAGTACGATCTCTTTTTCTCTCTGACCCCAAAAAGGAATAGAACTGAACGGAAATAAAAATGAAATGGAGAGTAGGAGACGTACCGCAGATTGAAACCTCGGTTGCTCTTCCTGGAATAAGAGAGAAAAAAAAAAATAGAAAATATAGAAGTTATTTTTACACTTAACATTCAATAATAAGAAAGAAAATGCCGGCGGCAGAGGAAGCGGAGGGTGGGGAGTCAGCCCGACACCCCTTCCTCCCTCCCCACCCCTTGCCCCCACCCTTCCACCCTCGGCGGGATCCGGTAGCAGGGTAGAGGGGTCCCGAGCGCCGCCCCTCCTTCCGGGATCCGACCTGGGCCAGAGGGGTCCCGAGCACTGTCTCCTCCCTGCAGACCCAGCTCGGGCATCTAGGCACCCCCAACCCCTCTCCGCCCTTCCCCGGCCCCCAGGATCCGCGGGTCACGGGAGGAGAGGATCGCAGTCCGAAGGGGCAGGTCCTGAACGCCGTCCCCTTCCCCTGGATCCGGACAATGGGATCCCGGGCGCCCCCCATCCTTGTCCCCCGGATCCTGAGCCGGGGAAGGTGGGAGCGGGAGGCCGCAGCACCCTCCCGCAAGGGAGGAGGTGGGGGTCCCAGAAGCCGCGTGTCTTCCCCCAACCTCCAGTCCCAGGAGGCCGCTCCGGCCAGGAGCCGGAGGGGAGCGAACCGGGAACGCGACGGAGGCACTCCTGGCCCCGAGGGGAAGGGGAAGGAGGCGGCGGCAGCCCGGCCCCCTCCCGCCGTCGCCCCGCTAAGAGCCCCGGCCGCTGTCCCCGCCTGACAACCCGCACGGGAAGGAAGAAGCCCCAGGACTCACGTCGCTCTCCACCTCGATGTCATCGTTATCGCTCATTTCCTACGGCCCAGGGAGCGGCCACTGCAGCGGCGGCGGGGAGGGGAAGGGGTGAAGGGGAGGGGGAAGTCACCGACAACAACAAGCCGAGTCCCCCCCACACACACACTCACTCACTCACTCACTCGCTCTCTCACTCACACACACACACAACACGGGCAAGAACCACCTCCTCACTGCAGCACCGGATCAACGGCGGCACGCACGCCCGGTCGGCCCCCGCCACGTGACCAGGCTCGCAGCGCTGGGGCAGCCGAGACTTGTAGTTCTTGTCCCTCTAACAGACGGCCCGGGTAGCTCCAGAAAAACTACAAATCCCGGAAGAAACCGCATCCAGGCGACGCCAGCCCGGCTTGTTGACGGAGCCCAAGGCGCCTGCGCGTCCCGGGGAGGGGGGGGGGGGCGGGGGGGGGCGGGGAGAGCCGCGGCGCGGCGCCTCCTGGGAGTCGTAGTCCGCAGACCGCGAGTTGTCAGGAGATTTTCCTCCCGAGGCGGCAGAGGAGGCTGCTGGGAAGACAGGACACGTGGAGGGAGCTGGAACTCCTGGAGCCGGGCACCGTCTGCGCGCTGGACGCCGGGCCCAGGGGACTGGGTGGAGTCTCTGGGGGAGTAGCCGGCTGTCTAAATAATGCTGCCTCTCTTTGGTGTGACTGGTTATACTTTGTCTTCTTCATACGGAGTGGTTCCGTTTTGCGCCTAGGGGCGTAACCCGCCCGGGAGGGAATCTGGCTGCGGCGGACCAGGGGGCGCGGCTCGGGATGCCTGCGCGAACCCTCGGGGGCTGGTGGGGAGGTGTCAGTGGCAGGTGTTTCGTGGTGCTACCGGACAGGCAGAATGACCGACCTCGCCGGGCGACCGCTCCCAGCCGCGAGAATCCTGTATTCGTTTATCTGGGAGTGACCATCCTCGCTACTCAGCTACTCACGTGAGGCTCCAGCGTTCACACAACGCGAACCCTCAACCACTATGGACGTGGAAGTAAAAGCCCCTTCAGAGTTTGTTGTAGCCCAGACAGTTTAGGCAATATCCCAGCTCAGAGTACCATAATTAAGATTGCAAAAAGGATCAATATGGGAAACTTTTGCAGTTCCCTGTCCAGTTAAAATCATATTTATATACTGTGGCATGAAGTGTAATCACATGCATTCCACCGATATTTATTGAACACCTAACTTGCCACAAGGGGATGCCATAACGGATAAGACCAAAACCATCCCTGCCTTCATGCAGCTCACAGCTGTGCAAGCAAGCGTGCCGGTCCTGCCGCCATTGTAAGAGTGTGCAACAAGTCCCATGGGAAGGAAGAAAACCATAACAGACACTTTCCACCCTGAGACAAAGTACCCATACTACTCCTTTACATCTGGTCTCCAAAGTGAATGACATCTTGAGCTTTTCCCATGAGTTACTGATTCCCGGATGAATACCATATTATCCCTGACTTTTGAATGTGGAAATTTGGGGATATGTCACACACAATTCTTGTGACACACATTCCTCAACGTGAGCATGTCATCTATGCTGAAAAGACAAATGTAAATGTGGTAATTTTTCCTTTACATTTTTTCCTTTAATATCTATTGTATTTCTTTCTCTCTCTCTTTTTTTTTTTTTTTTTTTTTGAGACGGAGTCTTACTTTGTCGCCCAGGCTAGAGTGCAGTGGCGCAATCTTGGCTCACTGCAACCTCCCTCTCCCGGATTCAAGCGATTCTCCTGCCTCAGCCTCCCGAGTAGCTGGGGCAGGCGCCCGCCACCGCGCCCAGCTAATCTTTGTATTTTTAGTAGAGACAGGGTTTCACCAACTTGGCCAGGCTGGTCTCGAAACTCCTGACCTCGTGATACACCCGCCTCGGCCTCCCAAAGTGCTCACGTGCTCACGCCTATAGCGTGAGCCACCGCTCGCGGTCTAATATCTGTTGTATTTCTTATTCAGTGATCCAGTCCTACTAAGTCTGCACATCTTTGCAAGTGAACTTACCTTTTCTACATGCTTTTGTCTCATAGTGTTCCTTTCCTGCTGAGTTGGGGAGACAGATATAAGCAGACCATTATGTGATAAGAGCTGATGGGCTATTGGGGAGACAGACGGCCACTTTTGAGTGAGTTAATTAACTGGATACTAGAAGTTAAAGCTAATTGATGATTACAACAGACAGTTCTTGGGTGCCTGCTATGAACAGAGCACTCTAGGGCAACCCCGGCTACAAGTTAAAATCATCCTAGGAGCTTAAAAAAGTTCCCATCCCCAGGCCACACCCCAAACCAATTAAGCCAGAACCTCTGAAGGGGAGATCCAGACTGAAGGATTTTTTTTTCCAGACTGAAGGATTTTTTAAAGCTCTTCCAGTAATTCCAGTGTGCACCCAAGACTGAGAACCACAGCTATAGACGATGCCAGAATAAATAAGATAGTTTCCCATTGAACTGTATGCTTTTAAAGAGTGAATTTTATGGTATGTCAATAACTATATTCCAATAAAACTGTTATAAAAGAAAAATAAGATAATCTTTACCCATGTGGAATTTAAAACCTGACAGGAGTAAATTATCAACTCAAATAATTGTGATGAAGACAAATTATGTAAGTGTCAAATTGTTTGTATAGACAGTGAATGCTGTAAGAGCTCAGAGGAGGAAGAAGGAGTGCCAGGTATGAGGTGGGGTTGGGGAGGTGTTGGTGACCAGGGAAGTCTTCTGAGGTTGTCAGTTGCATTAGGGTAAGGGCTGGGTCTGCAAAGGCCACGTAACATTTTGCTTATCGTGAATAACGTGGACTGAGGTGAGGAGGAAAGGCTTTCCTGGTAGGGAGACTGGAGATTTTAACACATCTCCTTTTAGGAATCAATAGAATATGAAGACCTGTCAACCTGATTAAGAAATTTGACCTAATAGACATAACACTGCACCCAACAGTTGTAGAATATGTTGTCTTCAAGCACTCATGGAACATTTACAAAAATTGACCATGTACTTAGCTATAAGGCAAATCTCAACAAGTGGTTTTTTTTGTTTTGTTTTGTTTTTTTGAGATGGAGTTTCGCTCTTGTTGCTCAGGCTGGAGTGCAATGGCGTGATCTCGGTTCACTACAACCTCCGTCTCCCGGGTTCAAGCAATTCTCCTGCCTCAGCCTCCCGAGTAGCTGGGATTACAGGCATGAGCCACCACGCCCGGCTAACGTTGTATTTTCTGTAGAGATGGAGTGTCTCCATGTTGGTCAGGCTGGTCTCGAACTCCTGACCTCAGGTGATCTGCCTGTCTCGGCCTCCCAAAGTGCTGGAATTACAGGTGTGAGCCACCCTGCCCAGCCAAATCTCAACAAGTTTTAAAGGACTATAATATTAGTGTATTCTTGGACCTAGTGCAATTAAAGTAGAAAAATAACAAAAAGTTAACTAGAAAAGTCTCATACATTTGGGATTTAAGAAACTTTTAGGCCGGGCACAGTGGCTCACTCCTATAATCCTAGCACTTTGGGAGGCCAAGGCGGGAGGATCATTTGAGATCAGGAATTCGAGACCAGCCTGACCAACATGGGGAAATCCCTTCTCTACCAAAAATACAAAAATTAGCCAGGTGTGGTGGCACACGCCTTTAATCCCAGCTACTCGGGAGGCTGAGGCAGGAGAATCACTTGAACCTGGGAGGTGGAGGTTGCAGTGAGCCTGGGCAATAGAGTGAGACTCAGTCTCAAAAAAAAAAAAAGCAAACTTTCAAATGACCCAAATGTAGGGATTTTCATGAGTGAGGCACATACACACAGGAAAGAACGAGGCAGATGAGAAGTTTCCTTAGTGTTCCTTTTCAGTGTTTCTCTGAGGTGCATCTAGGACCGCAAGAATTCATTTTCATCCACACTTGAGTGTCTTTGGTAAAACCCCAGGTGAGCTTATCGGGGCTGCACTGCAAACACATCACAAGGAAGCTGGTAAGAAATACAGAACCTCAGTCCCCACCCAGACCTACTAAATCAGATCTACATGATAACATTAGGCCCAGGTAATTCATATGCACATTGGAGTCTGAGAGCTGTGATGAAGAGGGAGTGGAGTAGCGGTGGTGTGAGCAGGTGGATTCCTTCCATTATCTCTTTAGCTCTTTTACAGTTTGGCTCCCACACTACCACTTGACTAAAATCACTCTTCCAGGCCACTAGCTACCACTTTGTTGCCAAATCCAAAGCCTTTATCTTATTTGACCTGATGTTGGCCATCTACGCTGTTGGCCGCCCCTCTCTTGAAGGCCAAGAATTCCTGTGCTTTTCTCCTTCCCACCATCACTGTTTGCGTTCCAGGGACCTTTTGGTTGGCACTTGCCTCTCTGTCTTCCACCCTCTGCCTGCTAGGACCCTCTACCTCCTGAGGCTTTGGTGACCAGCTCTCTGATGGTGACCCCAAGACCACACCTCTCTTTTTAATTCTAGATTGTTATATGCAATTTACTTCTGGACACATTTACTTGAATTATTCCACAGGAAACTCAAAACACAAGGCTTATGGATGAGTGAGAGAAAGCAAGGTTTTCTTTTTTTTCTTTCTTTTTTTATTTCCTGTGACACAGCCCTCAAGAGATCCTGAGAACATGTGTGCCAAAAGCAGGTTTTGATACAGCATTTAGAGTGTGACTCATTCATGTAAAATCGAGTATATCTGTAGGAGCATATATGTGTAGAGAAATATGTAGAATAGTATTAATCAAAAACTTTAATAGCTGGTTGAGCTTAGTAGCTCATGCCTATAATCCCAGCACTTTGGAGGCTGAGGTAGGAGGATTGCTTGAGGCCAGGACTTAGAAATCAGCCTGGGCAACATAAGGAGATCTTCATCTTCACACACACACACACACACACACACACACACACACACACACACAAAGAGAAAACATTTTAATAGTGTTTGTTTCCGAGAGGTGGGATTTTCAATGATTTTTTTTTAACTGAGTAGCATCATTCTCACCAAAATAGTAGAGCTATTAAAAGACAACTGCTATCTCAATAAGCCCACTATCTTTCCTGAGCAGCAAACTTCTCAAGCCATAACCCACAGGAAGACAGTCCTAATCATTTCCCATGTCAGTTGTGCTTGCTTTCTCTTTATCTGGGGGAAGGAGTGTGACTATCAAGGTTTCCCACAGGAACCAGCTGACACACTCAAATTAGGATTGTTTGAGTTTTTAATAAAGAGGTTGTTTGCAAATATGTGGGCAGGCTCTAAAGAAACTTCAAGGGATTGCACAGTACCATTGGGAATCTGTTCTCACCCTGAGGCCTACAGGGGAGAGGGGACAGAGTGGTGACCAGAACTGGGGGGTTGGGGGACTGTGTGTGTGGAGAGATCCCAAGAACAAGAACTTAGACCCATGGCCCAGAGTGGTTGGATCTAGAAGGCCAAATGGAAGATCTCTAAGCACAGTGAGGGACCCTTTCCTCCTCTTCTCGCATTTTTAGAGAAGGCTGAGAACTTCCAATCTACTCTACAGGAAAGGGAAAATATGGGAGGAATACTTCTGGCCTCTCTGCCCTCTCCTTCATTTCCCATTGGTGGGTGAGTGACTGAATCATCAACTTGGTGAGTTGCAAGGAGAAACTGGTCCCATGTGGCTCAGCCCTCTCTCCCTGAGCTGTAGGGAGCTGTCCTTGGGGAAGAGGCTCCCCTCTTCTGTGGGGGGCTGTCCTTGGGGAGGGGGCTCATGTTTGCCCAGTTTTGCTATGACTGTGTGGGTAGAGTTAATTCAAGAAATATTAAGGAGGCTGGGCACAGTGGTATACACCTGTAGTCCCAGCTACTTGGCTGAGGCAGGAGGATAGTTTGAGCCTAGGAGTTGAAGGCCAGCCTGGGCAACATAGTGAGACCCTGCCTCAAAACAAAAACAAAGACAAAACTAAAACAAAAAAAAGGTTAGAAAAAAAAAAAAGAGGCCGGGTGCAGTGGCTCACACCTATAATCCCAGCACTTTGGGAGGCCGAGCCGGGCAGATCACCTGAGGTTAGGAGTTCGAGACCAGCCTGGCCAATATGGCGAAACCCCGTCTCTACTAAAAGTACAAAAATCAGCTGGGTGTGGTGGTGGGCGCCTGAAATCCCAGCTACATGGGAGGCTAAGGCAGGAGAATTGCTTGAACCCAGGAGGCAGAGGTTGTGCAGTGAGCCAAGATCACACCGCTGCACTCCAGCCTGGGTGACAAGACCAAGACTGTCTCAAAAAAAAAAACAAGAAAGAAGAAAAAACAAAAAGAAGGCCGGGCGCAGTGGCTCACACCTGTAGTCCCAGCACTTTGGGAGGCCAAGTTGGGTGGATCACCTGAGGTCAGGAGTTGGAGACCAGACTGACCAACATGGAGAAACCCTGTCTCTACTAAAAATACAAAAATTAGCCAGGCGTAGTGGCACATGCCTGTAGTCCCAGCTACTTGGAAGGCTGGGGCAGGAGAATGACGTGAATCCGGGAGGCCGAGTTTGCAGTGAGCTGACATTGTGCTACTGCACTCCAGCTTGGGCAACACAGCGAGACTCCATCTCAAAAAATAAAATAAAATAAAATAATAAAAATAAATAATAAAAAAAGAAATGTCAGGGAAGCCACACAGGCTGAACCTTGTTCTCCAATTAAGCCTTATCAATAATGAAGCTACTACTTTTGTTTCCATCTGTCTGACTGTGTCTCTGTCTGAACTGGTTCCAAATTCGGGGTAGGAGACCTGGATGCTATTTATTGGCCCTCTTCAACCTCAAAATCCCTCCCTCACCTACCAATCCCTCATCTAGTCACTCAGCAAGCCTGCTATGTCCCAGGCCTTTCACACCCCTTGTTTCCACTGCAGATCCTGTCTCATTCAGGCCTCCGCCATCTCTCGTGGGCCACAGCCCCCTGGTGAGTCTCCATGCCACCTGCCATTCTCCACCAGTAGCCACAGTGATCTGTGCAGAATGAAGTATCTTCACTGAGTCGATAAAATGTTTCACTCCCTCCCAGTGACCTGGGGATAAGCCTAGCCTCCTTAGTCTGGCACTTAAGGACCTCCATGATTTGACTCCTGTGCCAACCTCATCTTTCAGCTCCTGCTCTCTCATCCTCCACACTCCAGCCATGTAGAATTTCTTGCCTTTCCCCCAAAGGACCATGTTTTCTTTTGCTTGCAGGAATTTCCACGTGCTGCGCTCTCTGCCTTGAGTGTTATCTCCCCCAAACTCCTCCTACTTATCTCCATTTTATTCTCATCCTTGGGGCTTATCCATCACCTCTTCCTGGCAGTCCTCCGGGATTCTCCAAGGCTGGATTAGGTGCCCATGTATTGTTCCCATTGCACCTGGTGCGTTCCTTCTCATAGGACTATTTTTGTTTTGTGACTTCCTGTTTGCATGTCTCTCTCCTGCACTAGATTGACTGTAAGCTCCTCAAAGTTAGTCCCTCTGCATCCTGGGGTGTCTTTATTCAGGTATACAAGGCTTTGCACTCAGTGGTTTTACTCTTATCTCACTGCCACGTTTGCTGACTCTTCTACCTGATTGGTTGCTGGAGATATTTGGGGTTCAGTTCTTTCCTCTAGATGTTCATGTCCACTGTCATGTATATGTTGATGGTCATCTAGCTCAGACCTTCCTTGAAGCCCTCCATTCATCCATAGCACTTGATATCTCCTGTTAGGAGATATCATCTCAGACTACCTCTGAGGCAGTAACTATCTCCTGTTAGGAGATAGCACCTCAGACTTACCTCTTCAAAACAACTTTTTTTTTTTTAAGATATGGGGTCTTGCCCATGTGGCCCAGGCTGGTCTCTACTCAGGCAATCCTCCCACCTCGGCCTCCCAAAGTGCTGGAATTACAGGCGTGGGCCACCACGTCTGACCCTGAAACAATTCTTGCATCCTCCCACCCCTCCCTGACCTGGTTTTCCACCTCTTTCCCAAGATGGTGCCACCATCCTCTCAGTTACCAAAACCAGAAACCTGGGAGTGAAATTCTGCTTTTTCTCTCTGCAGTGTCCCTGAATTCTCACTATGAGCGGGTCCTGTTGGCTTTCCCTCCAGAACAGAGCTCACTCTCTTTATTCATTTTCTTCCTTTTCTACCATCCCACATTAGTCAAGGAGCCTAGCATGTAGTAGGAATTTAATAAAAAGTTTTTGAATTAATAAAAAGTTGGTTTCCTACTTCTGTACTTTCTCCCATTTTAATCTGTTCTCCACTCAAACAGCCAGCATGATTATTTACAAAGGGAAATCAGATCATGTCGCTCCGTGCTTAACCTTCAATGACCTTGACATCACCTTTTTACCAGCCTGTGAGGTCCTGTGTGATCTGGCCCCTGCCTACCTCTCTGACCTCAGCTGTCACCGCCCCCACCTCGTCACTACCCCCAGGTCTGCCCTGGCCTCCCTTCAACTCCTTCCAGTCAGGGTCTTTGTGCTTGCAGCTCCCCCTGGCTGGATGCTTGTCACCCTGGCTTTGGAGTGGTCTGCTCACTTTTAGCTGCTCCAAGAGGGCTTCTTACCTTGTCAGGTAGGCTGCATTTATTGCCATAGTTTTATTTGTTTGTCTGTTTGTTTGTTTTGAGATGGAGTCTCGCTCTGTTGCCAGGCCAGGCTGGAGTGCAGTGGTGCGATCTCGGCTCACTGCAACCTCCAACTCCCCAGGTTCAACCAATTCCCCTGCCTCAGCTTCCTGAGTAACTGATACTATAGGCACGTGCCACCACACCCGGCTAATTTTTTGTATTTTTAGTCGAGATGGGGTTTCACCATGTTGGCCAGGATGGTCTCGATCTCCTGACTTCGTGATCCGCTGGCCTCAGCCTCCCAAAGCACCGGGATTATAGGCGTGAGCCACCGCGCCCGGACGACATCGATTATTATTTGGTGTTTGTTTATTTATTGGCTGCTGCCTTATTAGACCACGAAGAATAGATGGGATAAGTGCCCTTATAAAAGAGGCACAAGGAGCCAGGCGCGGTGGCTCATGTCTGTAATCCCAGCACTTTGGGAGGCCAATATGGGAAGATTGCTTGAGCCCAGGAGTTTGAGACCAGCCTGGGTGACAGAGCAAGACCCTGTCTGTATAAAAAAAGTAAAATAAAAAAGAATAATAAAAGAGGCACAAGGAAGCTCATCTGCCCTTTCCACTATGTGAGGATGCAGTGAGAAGGTGGTGTTCATGAGGAATGCATTGTCACCAGATACTGAATCTGTTGGTGACTTGATCTTAGACTTCTCAGCCTCCAGAGCTGAAAGAAATAAATGTTTGTTGTTTATATGCCACCTGGTTTATGGTATTTTGTCATATAGCAGCCTGAATGTTCTAAGACAATACTTGGGGACTGAACCTCACAAATGTTTATTTTAATTTCATCATATTTTACAGACTGCATAAATGTTAATTCACACCTAGAAGTACCTGGAAACAAATCATGAAGATTGTTTCACCTTTGCCAGGGAGCTAAGAAGAGCTTCCCTACCTGGAGGTAAGAGCAACCCATCCTGGGGTTGATGGATAACAAAGAAGCTGTTGGTTCAGGTCCTGTTCCACACAGTGTGCTTGGCAGGGCAGTCCCTGCTAATGATGGCTAGCTTTGAATTATTCTCCAAATGTGTTTACACAATCCTGAGGACTTAGGGGTCATGGTGGAGAGAAGGAGATTAATGTCAAGGGCTGATCTGTGCTTAGTCTATACCTTACTTGAAGTCCTTGAATTAATTTGACTCCTTTGTCAGAAAACCAAAGGCATTTGTTCACAGCCTTTGTAAGAAAAAGCCAGCAGAGGATGTTTTGTTAACACCAGGGTTAGTTCCCTAATATGCATTGTAAGTTTGTTGATGGAAGTTGATCGATCACTTTGGCTACTGTTAATAATATACAATAGATTTTATATGATACAGGATAAATTTTAATATAATGGAATAATATTGCACCCATTATAATATGTCCCATGCTATAGTCAAAGCCCAACTTACAAAGAACAAACAAACAAAAAATCACAGATCTTTAATGGAGATGTTTGAGGTTGAACAATAACTTCTTTTTTTTTTTTTGAGACGGAGTTTCACTCTTCTTGCCCAGGCTGGAGTAAAATGGCACGATCTCTCGGCTCACTGCGACCTCTGCCTCCCGGGTTCAAGCAATTCTCCTGCCTCAGCCTCCCTAGTAGCTGGGACTACAGGTGCGCGCCACCGCACCCAGCTAACTTTTTGTATTTTTAGTAGAGACAGGGTTTCACCATGTTGGCTAGGCTGGTCTTGAAACTCCTCACCTCAGGTGATCCACTTGCCTTGGCCTCCCAGAGTGCTGGGATTAAAAGCGTGAGCCACCGTGCCCAGCCCAGAACAATAACTTCTGTTTAAAATATAATTATGTCAGGGTCTCCATTCTGATGCTCTCCAAATTGCAAAATGTAGTTCAACAGACAGTTTAGAAGTGTTAACAGAAAAAATTATTCAATAACACTTGTTAAAGCACAGTAAGGAAGACTTTATTCAGGACCACCAAGTATGGGGACCACTGCAACCGGGTCTTGCAGAGGGGTAGAGAGATTGGGCTCAATGGGAGTTTGTAGCCAAGGAGCACTATAGGGATCAGTGGGTAGAAAATTACCAAGAAGAAACATCAGAGGTAAGGGAGATTCTGGCCAAACATACCTAATAGGATTCTTGCTGAAGACAGGCCAGGGTGATTAAACATTGCCTGGGGAATAATGGAGGATGAGGAACCTGATCAGATATTGAAGATGATATTGAGGATAGGACCTTCTTGATAAACGGACTTAGGGTTCTTTGCTAAAACCGGATTTTACAAGGAAGTGCACAGATGGGCCTAGCAGAAAATTCAGAAGCCTGAAAAAGGTATGGCCAAGCAAAGAATCTTTGTCAGAAGTCACTGCTGAGAAGTGTGACAGATTGCCCAGCTTTGACCCTGCTTTTTTCTTATCAAACCAAGAATATTTTGCCTACAAACTCCAAGTTCCTTTTATTTCAGAGTAACATGCCTGGGGCAGTTGGTTCCTCCAAACAGGTATTCCTTGTCTCCTCCCTGTGACAAAACTTGGGACTTTGAAAGGAGGTGGCTCTCTGGAGCTTTGCAGAATTCAGACACCCATTGCCAAACCTTTTTTTTTTTTTTTTTTGACAGGATCTCACTCTCCCACCTCCTGGGCTCAAGCGATCCTTTCACCTCAGCCTCTTGTGGCTGGGACCACCGGCATGCGCCACCACACTGAGCTAATTTTAAAATTGTTTATAGAAATGGGGTTCCACTATGTTGCCCACACTGGTCTCTTGAACTTCTGGGTTCAAGGGATCTACCCACTTCAGCCTCCCAGAGTGCTGGGATTACAAGTGTGAGCCACACCACACCTGGCCCAAATTTTTAGTTAACAAATTAATTTATCAATTATTGGTGTTATTTAGACTGATGACTTAAAACATTGGATATTCATGGGAAAGAGAGGGTGGGAGAGAGAAGTAACTCCAGGGGCTAAAGTCTTGGAGGCCTCACCAAATCAGAATGTAAATAGCTCCAGGCAAGGGGCCAGGGTCCCAAAGCCACTTGAGTTCCACTCCCCTCCACCAGCCTTACCTTCCCCCAGCACAAAGCAGAGAATCTGCCCTAGATGATAGAGATATGGGGATAAAATGAGATCAGATATGTGGCAGGATTTTGTTTTACTTTTCTTTTAATTGGGGCATAATTTACATAAAGTAAAATTTAGGGTGCAGCTCTGCCAGTTTTGACAAACAAATACAGTTATGCAAACTAGCACAATGAGGATACAGAACAGTTCCATCAACCCCTAAAATCCAGGTATGTTGGAATCCAGACAATGGACCCTTATAACATGTCCCCTCTGCCAGCCTACTGGCCTTTAGCTACTGATAGTTACTAGTTACTAACACTCTTCAGATTGCACCTTCTGCTTTTCCTTGCACACAAGAACTGGACCAAGAACATTGGGCAGAACTAAGGCTTTTTGCTAGGCAGCCCTGAGCCCTTGTGCTGCTGCTCTCTCATGGGGCTTCTCTTCTAGGCGCAGTCCTGGGCTCTCGACCTTACTGGCTTCCTCAGAACCATGCCATAAATTACATATCATTATCTTTAGAGATATTCTGGGAAGAAAGCCTCTTGTCAATCTAACTGTATGTGAGAAAGGGGTGTGGAATGACCATCCTTTCCTAGTTTGAGAAGGACTGAAAATGTTGTGCCAAGATACAGACTCCCTCTCCACTTTTTGCATTGATGTGGGTCCATTCTCACATTCACATGGAGGCACAATTTTAGGGAGATAATGTTGAGTGCTTCAGAAAACCTTAGAACCCTAACATCCACAGAGACATTGCTTGTCACTGACAGGGACCCTGGAGATCACATAGTCTCATCCCTTGTATCCACTAAAATAGATCACTGCTGTGCTGCAGTCCTGACTCCACCACTTATGGGTTGTGTGACCTTGGACAAGATGATTAACTCTCTGTGCCTATGTTTCTCTGTGCATAAGTGATACTTACTGTGGGGGCTAAAGTAACTCCATCATGGATGCTAATCTGCCATATTGACTTCTGATTAACCCTAGTTCTGGGAATGCCTCTAAGATTTCTCCTTTCATGTACTAACTATAAATCCTGTCCTCAGATGGGTGTGGTGGCTCATGTCTGTAAACCCAGCACTTTGGGAGTCCGAGACGGGCAGATCATCTGAGGTTGGGAGTTCGAGACCAGGCTGGCCAACATGGTGAAACCCCATCTCTACTGAAAATACAAAAATTAGCTGTGCATGGTGGCACACGTCTGTAATCCCGCTACTCGGGAGGCTGAGGCAGGGATAATTGCTCAAACCCAGGAGGTGGAGGTTGCAGTGAGCCGAGATTGTGCCATTGCACTCTAGCCTGGGTGATAGAGCGAGACTCTATCTCCAAAAAACGAAACAAAACAAAAAAACAAAAATCCTGGCCTTAGGCATAAACACATACATCCTGCCCCGGCCGGGTGTGGTGGCTCACACCTGTAATCCCAGCACTTTGGGAGGCAGAGGGGCGCAGATCACAAGGTCAGGAGTTCGAGACCAGCGTGGCCAATATGGTGAAACCCCATCTCTACTAAAAATGCAAAAATTAGCTGGGCGTGGTGGCGGGCACCTGTAGTCCCAGCTACTCGGGAAACTGAGGCAGAAGAATCGCTCGAAACCGGAAGGTGGAGGTTGCAGTGAGCCGAGATCGTGCCATTGCACTCTAGCCTGGGAGACAGAGAGAGACTCTGTCTCAAAAACAAAAAACAAACAAACAAAAATCCTGCCCTGTATTAGTCCATTCTCGCATTGCTATAAAGAACTACCTGAGACAGGGTAATTTACAAAGAAAAGAGGTTTGATTGACTCATGGTTCTGCAGGCTGTACGGGAAGCATGGCTGGGGAGGCCTCAGGAAACTTAAAATCACCGAGGTAGGCAAAGGGGAAGCAAGCATGTGTTACACGGCGGGAGAACGAGGAACAGAGAGAAGGGGGAGGTGCTACACATTTTTAAACAACCAGATCTCGTGAGAACTCACTATCACCAGAACAGCAAGGGAAAAGTCTGTCTTCATGATCCAATCACCTCCCACCAGCCCCCTCCTCCAGCATTGGGGATTACAATTTGACGTCAGAGTTAGGCCACGACACAAATCCAAACCATATCATGCCCTTAAGCAAATTCTCTATGGTATATAAGCCCTGGATCTGGGGGATAACCTTGAGGGGATCCACCATCCCGAGACTTGGTTTCTGTTAATAAGTTTCTACTAAATGTTTCTTTCTGAGAAACTGGATTTGTCAGGCTCTTTCTATGGCCTTTCAGCTTCCTCAGTCTTTGGGGGTAGGTTTGCAGAGACCTGCTGACTGCAGAACATTTACACATGGGGTGTTTTAAGGATTGGATGAATGATGATGAGAGCACAGTGCCAGGCAAATAGTAAGTGCTCAATAAACAATAGCTTAACATTAATACAACACAGAGATTTCTTTTATCTATTTTTGTTTTTGTTTTTGAGACAGAGTCTTGCTCTGCTGCCTAGGCTTGAATGCAGCAGCGTGATCTCAGCTCACTGCAACCTCTGCCTACCAGGCTCAAGAGATCCTCCCATCTCAGCCTCCCATGTAGCTGGGACTAGAGGCATGTACCAGCACACCAAGCTAATTTTTGTATTTCTTGAGATGGTGTTTTGCCATGTTGCCCAGGCTGGTCTCAAACTCCTGGATTCAAGCCATCCGCCTGCCTCAGCCTCCCAAAGTGTTGGCATTACAGGCATGAGCCACTGCACCTTGCTTAACCCAGAGATGTTAAGTGACTTACTTCTTTTTTTTTTTTTTTTTTTTTTGTGACTGAGTCTTGCTCTGTTGCCCGGGCTGGAGTGCAGTGGCACAATCTCAGCTCACTGCAACCTCCAGCTCCCAGGTTCAAGCAATTCTCCTGCCTCAGCCTCCCGGATAGCTGGGATTACAGGCATGTGCCACCATGCGTGGCCAATTTTTTGTATGTTTAGTAGAGACAGGGTTTCACCATGTTGGTCAGGCTGGTCTCCAACTTCTGACCTCAAGTGATCCAGCTGCCTCAGCCTCCCAAAGTGCTGGGATTACAGGCGTGACCCACTGCGCCCACATTTTATTTTACTTTTATTTTTAGAGATGAGGATTCTCACTATGTTGCCCAGGCTGGTATCAAATTAGGCTGGGCTCTAGTGATCCTCCCAAAGTGCTGGGATTACAGATGTAAGCTATCACGCCCAGCCTCAATAAATTTCTTAATAACAGTAACAATGATAGCCATGGTACTAAGCACCTTCCAGGTCCCAAGTGCTGTGCTGTGTCCTGCATCATACCACAGAAACCTCCCAGCAGCCCAGCAAAGATGAAACAGGCTGGGCAAAGTCAAGTAACTTGTCCAACAACACTTGGCAAGTAGGTGGCAGAACCAGGACCTGAGCCCAAGTTTCTGACACTGAAATGCATGTGCTCTCAACCATGGCACCGCTGCCTTGGATTAGAAACATAGTAAAGAATTTTAGAATGTGAAGGGCCCTACCAAAGTAGTTCTAGATGACAAGGATTATTTCTTTTCTTTCTTTTTTTTTTTTTTTTTGAGACAGAGTTTCACTCTTGCTGCCCAAGCTGGAGTACAATGGCACAATCTCAGCTCACTGCAACCTCCACCTCCCGGGTTTAAGTGATTCTCCTGCCTCAGCCTCCCAAGTAGCTGGGATTACAGGCATGAGCCACTGTGCCCGGCCTACAAGGATTATTTCCTATTTAGAGATGGTGACATTCTTGCAAAGTATGTAGACTGAAATAAATCACCATTGAAATAGCATCAACATGAACCTGCCCATCCCACTGAAGTTCCAAAATGTTTCATCATGTATAATTTCCATGTCTCTCTTTGATAACAATCTAATGATATCTAAACTAATGACAAAAAAAAAAAAAAAGAAAAATAATGTGAAAGGCCCTGAGAAACCCCAAACCACAGCTTTCGATCAACCACAGCATAGTGGCTGCGACCTCTCCAGTTCTGTCAGCTCCTCGCCGACTCCAGTTTGTAGAACAGTGATATGGAGAACTCCAGCATGTTAATTCCTTATGTGGATTGAGAGCGTTTTGTGGTCAGCACAGTCTGAAGCTGCCATGTACTTCACCAAGACAGGTGTTCCGGGGTGTCAGGGGAGAGAAGAGCAGCGGTCTGTGAACGAGAACCTGGGGGTCTAGAGCACTCAGGTGCTCTTTCTAGGGGTGAGTGGGCAAACACCACCCACACTGTCATGTAAGTTTCCACAATCCAGTTGTCACTTCCAGCTGCCAATGCTGAACTTCATGCTCCTGTCATTCCACTTTGGGCTTGGTAGAGATAGCAGCCCCTGGAGCAGGCTGTCTTGGCTGAATACATCTTACCCTCTCCTTCTGATCACTGCCAGTCGCTTGTGTGACCTTGAAAAGGTCTCTCAAGCATTAGTAGAACTGTTTAAGCTCGAAGTATATTGATTAAAATAATAGGAATTATAATGTGTGAACGAACAGTTGCTCGGTATTTATAGAAATATTTTCTTCTAGGGCACAGTCCTCCCTTTCTCCCCAGATCCTGTAGTGAAACTACAGGTCAAATGCTGTGGCAATTCAAGAGGATGAGAGGAAATATGCTTTGAAATAGGAGGATAAACTGACCTGGCTGGTTTGGTAAGAGGTCCAAGGAACACAGTGTCCTTTGGACGCTGACAGCTGCTGGAAGATGTCTGTTCTTCTAGTCGGTCAGGCCGACCCTCTCTGGCTAGCTGACCTATGGCAAGCAGAAGTGGTCAACATAATGGAAAGCCCATTCCATCCTTGACAGTGAGATGTGCTGATGTGGGAGAGGAGAGAGATTTTAATCTTCTGATAAAAGAGGAAAAGATGTCCAGAATGAAAAGTAATATGAATGAGGCAGGTTACAAAACAATATGTACTGTGGTATCATATTTACATATTTTTACAAATATAAATGAGTATATAAAAATAATCTGGAATAATAGTTACAAACTGTTAATAGAGCTAGGATTGAAAATGGCAAAGAGGAAATTTTTTTTAATTTTGTATATTTTTATATTCTTTGAGTTCTTTCTAAAGATAATGCATTACTTCCCCCCACCCCTAAAATATTTTTTGGTACTTATTATATTATTTTTTAAAAAGTTAGCTTCATTGAAGTAACACTTACATATAGTAAAATCACCCTATTAAAACTCTAGGGTGGGCTGGGTGCGGCGGCTCACGCCTATAATCTCAGCACTTTAGGAGCCGAGGCAGGTGGATCATGAGGTCAGGAGTTCAAGACCAGTCTGACCAACATGTTGAAACCCCATCTCTACTAAAAATACAAAAATTAGCCAGACGTGGTGGCACGCACCTGTAATCTCAGCTACTCAGGAGGCTGAGGCAGGAGAATTGCTTGAACCCAGGAGGCGGAGGTTGCAGTGAGCCGAGATCACGCCATTGCACTCCAGCCTGGGTGACAGAGCGAGACTCCATCTCAAAAAAAAAAAAAAAAAAAAAAGTCTGTGGTGCTGGGCACAGTGGCTCATGCCTGTAATCTCAGCACTTTAGGAGGCCAAGGCAAGAGAATCCCTTGAGCCCAGGAGTTTAAGTCCAGCTTGGACAACATAGTGAGACCCTGTCTCTACAAAAAATTTTAAAAAGTTAACCACATGTGGTGGCATGCGCCTGTAGTCTCAACTACTTGGGAGGTTGAGGTGGGAGGATCACTTGAGCCCAGGAGATTGAGGCTGCAGTGAGCTATGATTGTGCTACCGCACTCCAGCCTGTACAACAGAGTGAGACCCTATCTCAAAAAAAAAAAAAAAGTCTATGGTTAGATGAGTTTTGAGAAATGTACACAGTCATGTAACCACCACCTGAATCAAGATATAGAACACTTCCAGGCCAAGTGTGGTGGCTCCTGCCTGTAATCCCAGCACTTTGGGAGGCTGAGGCTGGTGGATCACCTGAGGTCAGGAGTTCAAGACCAGCCTAGCCAATATGGTGAAACCCCATCTCTACTAAAAGTACAAAAAATGAGCTGGGCATGGTGGCAGACCTCTGTAATCCCAGCTACTCGGGAGGCTGAGGCAGGACAATCACTTGAACCTGGGAAGCAGAGGTTGCAGTGAGCTGAGATCATGCCATTGCACTCCAGCCTGGGCAACAAGAGTGAAACTCCGTCTCAAAAAAAAAAAAAAAAACAAACACTTCCACCACATTCAAATTTCTCTCCTGCCCTTTTGCAGTCCATCTCCTGTCTCCACTCCCCACTCCAGGTGACCACTGATCTGATTTCTGTCCCTATTGTTTAATCTCTTTTAGAATGTCATGTAAATGGAATCATACTGTAAGCATGTACATTTTTGTGCCTGGCTTCTTTCACTTAGCAAAATGCTATATAGATTCACGCATCATGATGCTTGTAGAGATTTGTTTCTTTTTTCTTTTTTTTCTTTTTTTTTTGTTGCCCCAGCCTGGGCAACAGGGTGAGACTCCGTCTCAAAAAAAAAAAAAAAAAAAATCTGGGTTATCTATTATTGAATTATAAGTTCTTAATATATTCTGGATATAAATTCTTTATCACAGATGTGTTTTTGCAAATATTTTCTCCCAGTTTGTGACTTTTTACTTTTTTTCTTTTTTGAAAGCAGCTAAGACCTGAATTTTTATTCTCTGAACAGTGTCTTTTTTTTCTTTTTTTTTTGAGACAGAGTCTTGCTCTGTCACCCAAGCTGGAGTACAGTGGTGTGATCTCAGCTCACTGCAACCTCTGCCTCCCAGGTTCAAGTGATTCTCAGCCTCAGCCTCCAGAGTAGCTGGAATTACAAGCGTGTGCCACCACATCCAGCAAATTTTTGTATTTTTAGTAGAGACAGGATTTCACCATGTTAGCCAGGCTCGTCTCAAACTCCTGACCTCAAGTGATCCGCCCTCCTCGGCCTCCCAAAGTTCTGGGATTACAGGAGTGAGCCACCATGCCTGGCCCGTGAACAGTGTCTTTTGAACAGCAAAAGTTTTAAGTTTTGATAAAATTATTTTTTTTCTTGAGTGGTTTGTCCTTTTTTTGTTCTATTTAAGAAATCTTTGCCTAACTGAAGGTGACACAGATTTTTCTTATGTTTTCTTTTAGTACTTTACAGTCACAGCTCTTATATTTAGGTTTATGGTTCATTTAGAGTTAAATTTTTAAGTTTTATTGAAATATAATTCATATATCACACACTGAATCTATTCTAGTGTAGAATTCAATGGTTTTTAGTATATTTACAGGGTTGTGTAGTCACCATCATGATCTAATTTTGAACATTTGTGTCAACCCGAAAAGAAACCCTATGCCCATTAGTAGTGACTTTTCATTTCTTCTCCCATCTCCTCAGCTATAAGCAATCATTAATTTACTTTCTGTCTCTATAGATTTGCCTGTTGAGTTAATTTTTTATATGATACAAGGTCAGAGTCAAATTTCATTTCTTTGCACATTTATGTCCAATTGTTCCAGCATCACCATTTGTTGAAAAGGCTATCCTTTCTCCATTGGAACTATTTACCTTGGCATCTTTGTCTATACCAATTGACTTATATGTGTGGATCTATTTTTGAACTTTTTTTTTTTTTGAGACGGAGTTTTGCTCTTGTCACCCAGGCTGGAGTGCAGTGGCATGATCTTGGCTCACTGCAACCTCCGCCTCCCGGGTTCAAGCAATTCTCCTGCCTCAGCCTCCCGAGTAGCTGGGATTACAGGCACCTGCCACCATGCCTAGCTCATTTTTGTGTGTGTTTTTAGTAGAGACAGGGTTTCGCCAGGTTGGCTAGGCTGGTCTTGAACTCCTGACCTCAGGTGATCCACCTGCCTCAGCCTCCCAAAGTGCTGGGATTACAGGCGTGAGCCACCCTTCCTGGCCTATTTTTGAACTTTCTGTTCTATTCCATCAGTCTGTCTACCAGGTGCTAAAACGACACTGTTTTGATTATTATAAATTTGTAAGTGATATGAAATGTGGTAATGTGAGTCCTCCAGCTTTGTTCTTTTTCAAAATAGCTTTGACTAGCCCAAGTTCTTTTCATTTCCATACAAAGTTTGGGATCAGCTTGTCAATTTCTAACATAAAAATACTAGGCTGTGGGATTTTTATTGTGATTACTTTGAATCTTTAGGTTAATTTAGGGAAAGCTGACGTTTTAAGAATATTGAGTCTTCTGATTCATGAACATGGTATACCTCTCCATTTATTTAGGTTTTAATTTTTTCAGCAATATTTTTTAGTTTCCAGTATAAGATCTTGCATGTTTTGTCAGATTTATCCCCAAGAATTTTATGTTATTTATTCTAAAGTAAATGTAATTTAAAAATTTTTAATTTCTAAATGTTTATTACTAGTATCTTGAAATATAATTTTTGTATTCTGTGACTACTAAATTCACTTATTAGTTCATGGTTTTGTATATCCTTTAGGATTTTCTATATTGATGATAACATTTTTATTTCTTTATTTCCAAATAGTATGTATTTTATTTCTTTCTCTTGACTTATTGTACTGGCAAGGACACCAGTTCAGTGTCGTATAGAATGTGTGAGGACAGATATCTTGCTGTGTTCTCAATTTCAGGGAAAATATTTGCTTTTTCATTAAGTATGTTGTTCTTTTTGTTTTGTTTTGTTTTGTTTTTGAGATGGAGTCTCACTCTGTCACCCAAGCTGGAGTGCAGTGGTGCAATCTTGGCTCACTGCAACCTCCGCCTTCCAGGTTCAAGCAATTCTCTGCCTCAGCCTCCCAAGGAGCTGGGATTACAGGCACCTGCCATCATACCCGGCTAAGTTTTCTATTTTTAGTAGAGACAGGGTTTCACCATATTGGCCAGGCTGGTCTTGAACTCCTGACCTCATGATCTACCCACCTCGGCCTCCCAAAGTGCTGGGATTACAGGTGTGAGCCACTGCGCCCAGCCAGTATGTTGTTCTTTATCGTTTGAGAAAGTTCTCTTCCATTCCCAGTTACATGAGTGGTTTTTATCATGAAAAAATGCTAGATTTTGGCAAATGCTTTTATGGCCATACCTTTATTAGCTTGTTAATGTGCTAAATTACATTGATTGAGTTTTTTATATGTTGAACCAACATTCAAAACCAGGAAGCCAGCTTTGCATTCCTGGGATAAACCCTACTTGGTCATGATGTATTATGCTTTTTATGTATTACTAGATTTGATTTTCTTTTTTTCTTTTTTTTTTTTTTTTTTGAGACTTGCTCTGTCTTGCTCTGTTGCCCAGGCTGGAGTGCAATGGTGCGATCTCAGCTCACTGCAACCTCCACCTCCCTGGTTCAAGTGATTCTCCTGCCTCAGCCTCCTGAGTAACTAGGATTACAGGCACATGCCATCATGCCCTGCTAATTTTTGTATTTTTGTAGAGACAGGGTTTCACCATGTTTGCCAGGCTGGTCTCAAACTCCTGACCTCAGGTGATCCACCCACCTCAGCTTCCCAAAGTGCTGGGATTACAGGAGTGAGCCACCACACCCGGCCCTTACTTGCTAATATTTTGTTAAGAATTATCCTATTTAGATTCATAAGAATATTGGCCCATGGTTTTTGTATTTTTCCTTTTGTAACATCTTTTCTGATTTTGGTATCAGAATAACAACGGGAGAAATGTTCTCTCTCCTCTTCTGTTTTCTGGGAGAGTTTGTATAAAATCAGTACAATTTCTTATTTGTTCTTCATTTTTTAGTTTGAATATGTCTATCTTATTTGAATTTTTTCTAAATAAAGTGCAATACTTTAAAAATATTTTTTTACATGACACAGCCCTAAGGAGATCCTGGGAACATGTGCCCAAAATGCAATACTTAAAAAAAAAAATTCTACTTTGAAATAATGTTGTACTTACAGAAAGGTTACAGAAATCCTGTCAAGTCTTCCTATATACCTTTCACCTAGATTGCCTTAATAGTAACATCTTACATAATCATAGTAGAATGATCAACATCATAAAATTAACATTGACATAACATTATTAACTAATAATAACATTAGTAGTAGTAGTAGTAGTAGTATGCCTTATTCCAGTTTCATCATTGTCTCACTAATGTTCTTTTCAGGCCCAAGATTCCACATTGCATTTAGTTGTCCTGTCTCCTTAGTCTCCTTCTTCTTTTTTTGTTTTTTCATTAAAATTTGTATTTTTTCGGCCAGGTGCAGTGGCTCACGCCTGTAATCCCAGCACTTTGGGAGGCTGAGGCAGATGGATCACGAGGTCAGGAGATCAAGACCATCCTGGCTAACACAGTGAAACCCCGTCTCTACTAAAAATACAAAAAAATTAGCCAGGTGTGGTGGCAGGTGCCTGTAGTCCCAGCTACTCAAGAGGCTGAGGCAGGAGAATGACGTGAACCTGGGAGGTGGAGCTTGCAGTGAGCAGAGATGGCACCACTGCACTCCAGCCTGGGCGACAGAGTGAGACTCTGTCTCAAAAAAAAAAAAATTTTTTTTCAAGGTTTGGGTGCACTGTTCCTGGAAGTACTGCAATATCAGGTCAATGTGTGGAGTGGATGTAGCAAGCTCCTATTCCATCTCCTGTTTCCAAAAATCCATTTAATATATTGTCCTTGGATAGAGGACATATCAGATATGAAACTGATAAAAACAGATACTATACTTGATCTTAGCCAAAAGACCAAGAAGTGATCCTTAGTTTCCTTCTAAGAGAGTTTCTTAGTCTTTCTTTATTGTTCATGATATTTGCATTAATTTTTTAATTAAAAAATAATCAGGGAGGCTGGGTGCAGTGGCTCACACCTGTAATCCCAGCACTTTGGGAGGCCGAGGCAGGTGGATCACCTGAGGTCACGAGTTCAAGACCAGCTTGGCCAACATGGCAAAACCCCATCTCTACTAAAAATACAAAAAATTAGCTGGGCTGTAATCCTAGCTACTCAGGAGGCTGAGGCAGGATAATCGCCTGAACCTGGGAGGTGGAGGTTGCAGTGAGCCGAGATTGTACCATTGCACTCCAGCCTGGGCAACAAGAACAAAACTCCATCTCAAAAAAAAAAAAAAAAAAAAATCAGGGAAATGTTTCCCTCTCTTCTTTATTTGTTTCCTTTGAATATTTTAGTCTAAAGCCATTAGGTTGGGTTGAACAAAATCTGCATCAGTGGGGCATGTTGTAGTGGCATTTTGGGGGCCTGTCATGGGGTGCATTAGTCTGTTCTCACATTGCAATAAAAAATACCTGAGGTAGCAGGGCACAGTAGCTCATGCCTGTAATCCCAGCACTTTGGGAGGCTGAGGCAGGAGGATTGCTTGAGGTCAGGAGTTCAAGACCAGCCTTGCCAATATGGTGAAACTCCATCTCTACTAAAAATGCAAAAATTAGCTGGGCGTTTTGGGTGCCTGTAATCCCAGCTACTTGGGAGGCTGAGGCACGAGAATCACTTGAACCTCGGAGGCGGAGGTTGCAGTCAGCCAAGATTGAGATAGCGCCACTGCACTCCAGCCTGGGCAACAGAGCAAGACTGCCTCAAAAAACAAAAACAAACAAACAAAAAAAACCTGAGGCTTAATTGGCTCACGGTTCTGCAAGCTGTACAGGACACGTGATGCTGGCATCTGCTGGGCTTCTGGAGAGGCCTCAGGAAACACAATCATAGTGGAAGGCAAAGGAGGAGGAGGCACATCGCATAGCCAGAGCTGGAGCAAGGGAGAGAGGGGGAAGGTGCCACACACTTTTAAACAACCAGAACTCACTATCATGAGGGTAGCACCAAGGGAATGGTATTAAACATTCATGAGAAGTCCACCCTCATGATCCAATCACCTTCCACCAAGCTCTGCCTCCAATACTGAGGATTACAATTCAGCATGAGATTTGGGTGAAGACAAATATCTAAACTATATCATAGGGTATAAGAGCCCAAGTGGAGTGAGGCGGCCTCTGTGAATGGGGGGTGGTGATAGCCTGATAACATTGTCAGGGTCTGAGTGGAGGGAAGAGGACACCTGTGCCAGTGCAGGGGTGAGGATGGGCCATCTGCACAGATGAGGGAAGCTGTGCAGGGGCATGATGGCAGAAACAGAAGATTGTTAATGTACAGGGGCTCTGATCACATGAATAAACATACTGAGACTAATGAAAGACAGGTGTCTGCCTAGCAGAGAGAGAAGTTACACGTGGAGAGGAAAATAACTAGAATTAATGAATCTTGTGGTGTTGGATAAGAATGGAAGGTAACCATATAAACTTAAGGCTTTCCTATATAAAAATAAATAGGGAAAAATAAATAAGTAAATATAGGTCTATCCTCTGAGAGGGTCTGGGAGGAGCAACACCTCACAGCAATGAACACATTTTGTACTCAGGTCTTGGCTTCTAAATACTATTCTTGCCAGGTGCGGTGGCTCACGCCTGTAACCCCAGCACTTTGGGAGGCTGAGGTGGATGGATCACCTGAGGTCAGGAATTCGAGACCAGCCTAACCAATGTGGTGAAACTCTGTCTCTACTAAAAATACAAAAATTAGCTGGGCGTGGTGGCATGCACCTGTAGTCCCAGCTACTTGGGAGGCTGAGACAGAGGAATCGCTTGAACCCGGGAGGTGGAGGTTGCAGTGAGCCGAGATCACACCACTGCACTCCAGACTGGGTAACAGAGCGAGATTCCATCTCAAAAAAATATATAAATAAATATAAAAATAAATAAATACCATTCTTTGCTAAAAGAAATCAAGGCTCTTTGGAGAAATGTCTACTTTTAAGGCTGGGCCAGAGAGAGTACCAAATGAGCCTGCAATATCTTTTGTGTCAGAAATTAAGGAGGTGCTCCTATATCATTTAGTGGTTAGGAAAAAGAAAAAAATAAGAAAGTGCTAAAACAATAATGGATACTTGTCAAAAGAACATAGAAACTAGCTTGAAGGGGCTCCCACTTGCTAATTCTGGGATAATTTGAGCATCAATATAAATAATAACAATGATAGATTATAACTCATTTAATATAAGGGGAATGAGCTTATACTGAAATAAATAAATAATACGTGGGAAGAGGAGAAAGCTTTTCCTTACCACGGAATGTCAACTAATGAACTTAGAATAATAACGGAATTAGAACATCACTTTGGCAAGCAAAATAATGGTAAAAATTCAGCCTAGAATCATCAAGGGATGCTAAAAATATTGGCTGAAAGTTGGATGAGAAATGGATATTTATATCACTTCAAAGTACCTCCCAGTAAACAGTCAAAGACTACAAAAGAAAAAAAGAGTAATTTTACAGTGGAGAAATCTGGCAGATGTTATCTACTCAAGGTTAACATCACAAGTAATGGGACAAGTCAATATCAAGCACCCCTTGATAGTGTGGCCACAACATCACTTCTGTGACATCCTTGACAAAAATGTATAACCTAGATGTAATCATGAGGAAACATCAGACAAACACAAAATGAGGAACTTTCCATTTAGGAAAAAAAACTGGCCAGTAATCTTCAAAAGTTTCAAGGCCAGCCGGGAAGGGTGGCTCAGGTCTGCAATCCCAGCACTTTGGGAGGACAAGGTGGGAGGATCGATTGAGGCCAGGAGTTTGAGATCAGCCTGGGCAACATAACAGGACACTATTTCTACCAATTTTTTTTTTTAATTTCAAAGCCATGAAAGTCCATGAGCAAGTGGGGAGTTCTTCCAGATTAAAGCAAATTAAAAAAACATGACAACTAAATGCTATGCATGATCCTGGATTGAACACTTTTCTATAAAGGATGTTACTGGAACAATTAGTGAAACTCAAGTGGCTCATGAGGATTAGATAGCAGTAAGTTATTGATGTTAGTTTCTGATTTTGATGGTTGTATTATTGTAAAGAGAAAATAATCAGGGAAAATAAACTACTACTTATACACCCAAGACCTGCTATTTCTCTGGTATTCTGCTCCTTCCTTTTTCCCTCTCTCCCTCCTTCCTCGCTTCCTCGCTTCCTCTCTTTCTTTCTTAGACAGAGTCTAGCTCTGTCACCCAGGGTGGAGTGCAGTGGTGCGATCTCGGCTCACCGCAACCTCTACCTCCTGTGTTCAAGCAATTCTTCTGCCTCAGCCTCCTGAGTAGCTGGGACTACAGGCGCCTGCCACCAGGCTTGGCTAATTTTTGTATTTTTAGTAGAGACAGGGTTTCACCATATTGGCCAGGCTGGTCTCGAACTCCTGGCCTCAAGTGATCTGCCTGCCTCAGTCTCCCAAAGTGCTGGGATTACAGGTGTGAGCCACCACGCCAAGCATATTCCACATCTTAATTGGCATTACCACCATCTATCTATCGAGGAACCCAAGCTTGAAACACAGAAGTTATCCTTGACTGCTTTCTTACAACCTGAAAGTCCATCTGGAACAGCCTCTGTATCTATTAAATAGACCAATAATATTACGAAACGTCTGTGTCTTGGAATATCATATTGCGATTTAGAGGAATGAAGTCAGTCTGTGTAGCAACATCATGGTAAAAGGAGAAAGTTGTGAAAGAGAATATGGAGATCCCATTTTTGTCAATCTTTGTACATGCAGCAGACCAAGGTGTGGTGAAGATGTATTCCAAACTGTTAAGGGATGTTATCTCTTTGGGATGGGATTTTTGAATTTTCTTTTCTGTACTGTTTGGAGTTTTGTTGTTGTTGTTATTTTTACAGTGATACATTTTAAAAAAACAATAAAGAGATTTTACTTTTGAAAAACTGCTTAACATAAATGAAATGGCAGAGACTTACAAAGGAGATAGAAGCTATTCACCTTCAAAGAACTTCAACTCTAATCAGACAAGGTAAAAATTATTTATATATATTATAGAATACTTGTAAAAACAACATGGAGGAAATACAAAAATCAAGGCAAGCTGCAGCTATAAGGAAGACTTCGCATTTGAGGAAATGAGAAGAAAGATGGATACTGGAGGATGTGGGGAGACTGAGAGCAAAGGGGGCACAACTGGAGAGGTCTTGGCTGTGAGATGACTTTTGAAGAAGGGAGGGTCCCGGGAGGCAGGAAGAAGGCTGTCTTCACAGAATGGGGGAGTGGGCTCTTGGTTCTGAGTTTTGAGCTATGTGGGAGGCTACAGCAAGATGCTCTGCTGGCAGGACAGGCTGTTTCTCCCTGGGTTTTTGTCTGTCCCTTAACTTCTTCTTTTTCTTTTTTTTTTTTTTTTGAGACAGAGTCTCACTCTGTCATCCAGGCTGGAGTGCAGTTGCGCATCTCAGCTCACTGCAACCTCTGCCTCATGGGTTCAAGAGATTCTCCCTCCTTGGCCTCCCAGGTAGCTTGGATTACAGGCACCCGCCATCATGCCCGGCTAATTTTTGTATTTTTGTAGAGATGAGGTTTCACTATGTTGGCCTGGCTGGTCTTAAACTCCTAATCTCAGGTGATCCACCCGCCTCGGCCTCCCAGGGTGCTGGGATTTACAGGTGTGAGCCACTGCGCCCGGCCTGTCCTTTAGCTTCTCTCATTTTTCACTCCTCCTTTCTCTACTGCTCAGGGACCTAGGGATAAAATGTGGCCCTGTTCACTCCAAAGAAAGCATAGGCCGGCCGGGCCTAATAAAAATACAAAAATCAGCCAGGCATGGTGGTGGACTCCTGTAATCTCAAATACTTGGGAGGCTGAGACAGGAGAATTGCTTGAACCTGGGAGGCAGAGGTTGTGGTGAGCCCAGATCACACCATTGCACTCCAACCTGGGTGACGAGCAAAATTGTGTCTCAAAATATAAAAAAAGGCATAGGCTAAACTCCCTTAATAGAGCCAAAAAAGTTGATATAAACAAAAGACATTTTATAAAAAATGAAGGAAATATCTAAAGAAAATAACACCTCCGAATGTAGCAACATAAACACAATTAGGTTTCTTATCCTAAGAAATTCTGTGAAAATATCTGAGATCAGTACATGGCTCTCAGATTCCCTGCTCTTGAAATGCATTCATTTTGCCCGGCGCGGTGGCTCATGCCTGTAATCCCAGCACTTTGGAAGGCTGAGGCAGGTGGATCACGAGGTCAGGAGTTTGAGACCAGCCTGGCCAACAGAGTGAAACCCCGTCTCTACTAAAAATACAAAAATTAGCCCAGCGTGGTGGCACGTGCCTGTAGTCCCAGCTACTCGGGAGGTTGAGGCAGGAGAATTGCTTGAACCCGGGAGGCGGAGGTTGTGGTGAGGCGAGATTGCGCCACTGCACTCCAGCCTGGGCAACAGAGTGAGACTCTGTCTCAAAAAAAAGAAATGCATTCATGTCAACTCTTCAAAGCCCAGCTTTGCAGGCATCTGGGCTTCTTATGCTCCCGGCTCCTGTGCCTGCCTCTCAGCGATGTGGCCTCTGGGTGTAATATTGCTTCCTAGTCCAGGGAACCTGGTCCAACAGACACATCTCATTCCACGTAAGGCCAAACTCCAGCTCCACTAAAACTCAACCTTCTGGAACTTCTAGAAGCCTGTCTTTCTCATCTAGTACAGTTAGTATAAGAGTATACCTAGTCCACAGCTGAGCTGTGAGCTGTATGTGTCCATACAGATGGATATCTTTAAGCCAGTGGTCCCCAACCTTTTTGGCACTGGGGACCAGTTTTTTGGAAGACAATTTTTCCATGGACAGTGGGGGTAGGGGTGAGGGTGCAGGGGTGTATTAGTCCATTTTCACACTGCTATAAAGAACTACCTGAAACTGGGTAATTTATGAAGAAAAGATGTGTAATTGACTCAGAGTTTCATACACTTAACATGAAGCACGATTGGAAGGCCTTGAGAAACTTACAATAATGGCCAATGGTAAAGGGTAGGCAAAGCATGTCTTAGAGGGCAGCAGGAGGGAGCGAGACAGCAAGAGGGGAAGTGCCCCACACTTTAAAACCATCAGATTTCTGCCAGGCATGGTGGCTCACACCTGTAATCCCAGCACTTTGGGAGGCCGAGGAGGGCAGATCACAAGGTCAGGAGTTTGAGACCAGCCTGGCCAACATGGTGAAACCCCTTCTCTATTAAAAATACAAAAATTATTCGGGTGTGGTGGCACGCGCCTGTAGTCCCAGCTACTCGGGAGGCTGAGGCAGGGGAATCGCTTTCACCTGGGAGGCAGAGGTTGTGGTGAGCCGAGATCACACCACTGCACTCCAGCCTGGGCAACAGAGTGAGATTCCATCTCAAAAACAAACAAACAAAAATCAGATTTCATCAGAATTCACTCACTCACTGTCAAGAGAAGAGCATGGGGGAAACCACCCCCATTATCCAATCACCTCCCACTAGGTCCCTCCCTCGACATGTGGGGATTACAATTGGAGGTGATATTTGGGAGGGGACACAGAACCAAACCGTATGGGTGTGGGGTAGGGGATGGTTTTAGGATGTAACTGTTCCACCTCATATCATCAGGCAGGTCACAATAGGGTTCGCGCTCCTATGAGAATCTAATGCCGCAGCTGATCTGACAGGAGGCAGAGCTCAGGCAGTAATGCTCGCCTGCTGCTCTATGGCCCGGTTCCTAACAGGCCACAGACCCTCACCAGTCCACGGCTTGGGGATTGGAGACCCCTGCTTTAAGCCCTTGCCACTCAGGTCTTTGGCTCCACCCACTTCAGAATCATTCTGTGATGATTCACTCACATGAGGTCCCTACACACAAGGAAGGCAGGGTCTTGTAAAAATCTGCCTGTTATAGTTTCATGACACGATAATAACCACATCATAAACATACCATTCACAGAGTATGAGTTAATACATTTATGGTATGAGGAAGTTCATTCTTATTTACCACGCGAGGTGGTAAAATCTCGCCTGGAGGACACATGTTGGCTAGGCCTGGGAGTAACTTTGCAAGCAGGTGAAAGCTTGAGATACTTTCAGGCTATTCTATCAATTAGGTGGTTTAAGATTTAAAAAATAATTGTATGAATTTGACCTCAATAAATTATTTTTAGAAAACAATTGCCTCCATCTCCAACTCAGCATGAAACTGTTTTACTCATCCGTAAAGCCCACTTGATGAATAAGTAAACTCCTTTGGTTAAAATAATTAGTGTTTGCAATATTCCAGGGGGTAGTTCAAATTGGACTAGACTGATTTGAAGGTGGTTTGTGTGTAGTCTTTTCTAAGGTAAGAGTCTAGGTCAGGTGTGGTCTCAGTTTCGTGATTTTGTTCTAAAGGCTAACATTACAAGTCTTTGAGCTTCCGTTACAGAAGACCCTCAGAAATTTCCCACTGGGGCCTGAGACCTCCTAACACCCCCAAGAAATGACTTTTTCCTTCTTGTGGTAGGCATGTAAGATGAATAGACATGTAATTATATATTTATTTTACAAATGCTTCTATAGTTGCTTACTATGTGCTTAATATTATACAGATAGTAATTCATATAAGCTTTTCTTTATTTTCTTTTTTTTTTTTTTTTATTTGAGACGAGGTCTCACTTTGTTGCTCAAGCTGGAGTGCAGTGGTGCAAACACAGCTCACTGTAGTCTCGACCTCCCAGGCTCAAGCAATTCTCCTGCCTCAGCCTTTCAAGTAGTTGGAACTACAGGCATGTGCCACCATGCCTGGCTAAGTTTTGTATTTTTTGTAGAGATGGCGTTTCGTCATATTGCCTTGGCTGGTCTTGAACTCCTGGGCTCAAACAATCCTCCCACCTCAGCTTCCCAAAGTGCTGAGATTATAGGAGTGAGCCACCGCACCCAGCCCATGTAAGCCTTCTAATAGCCCTCTGGTGAGGGGACCATCCTCATTCCCATATAGCTGAGGCACAGATAGGAGAGTTGAAGCACAGAGGGGTTGAGTGTCATGCCTAAAGCCTCCCAGCTAGTAAGTGTCAGAGCCAGGATTTGAACCCAGACAGTTGGGCTTCAGAGTCAATGATTTTTTGTTTGTTTGTTTGTTTTGTTTTGTTTTGTTTTTTAGACAGAGTTTCACTCTTGTTGCCCAGGCTGGAGTGCAATGGTACGATCTCAGCTCACTGCAACCTCCACCTCCCAGGTTCAAGTGATTCTCCTGCCTCAGCCTCCCTAGTAGCTGGGATTACAGGCATGTGCCACCATGCCCGGCTAATTTCGTATTTTTAGTAGAGATGGGGTTTCTCCATACTGGTCAGGCTAGTCTCGAACTCCCGAACTCAGGTAATCTGCCCGCCTCGGCCTCCCAAACTGCTTGGATTACAGGCATGAGCCACCACGCCCAGCCCAGAGTCTGTGTTTTTTAAACATCATGCTATGCTGCTTATCTATTGTGATTAAGCCGGAAACTCCAAGGTCCAAATGCTCTCCCCAGAAGATGGGCTGATAGTTGCAATATAGGAAGAGAACACTGTCTACACATTCCTGTTAAAGTAGCTCTTTGTTTACAAATCATACATGCTTTCCATTTTAGAATAGAAATATACATGTACTCATGTCCCAGTGTGGTATGAAAGTTGCAATGGGATGTCACTGTGGGCCCACAATTTCTGCTCTGAGGAAAATAATAAATGGAAGCAAATCATCTCCCTTCCTTATTGACAGAGGCCCCACCACAGGTGTGAGGGGCCCCCTTTGTCCTTCACCCCCAATTCTGACTGAGCTGCCCAGTTTTGGGACCATGGACCATTCAGATAATGGAATAATCCCACTCAGACAGAGGATAGGAATGGTGTGGATATTGCTTGAGGCTGAATTTAATAGGAAATCAAGGGACAGTAAAATTCTTTTGGTCAGTCTTTGTCCTAAAGTTCTAAAATGTCTACCTTGTTGTCACAAATGGGAATGAAAGTAACATCTGGGCCACAGCGAGAAGTGCCCTGAATTTTGCCAATCATTAAGCCTCCCTCAGTTATAGTCAGCACATATTTTGAAACTTAGAAGGAAAATCTTTTATGGTGATGTACACCCATGTTGCAGGGTCTCTACGGAATACATACAAGACACTATTTTAAGCATATAGAAACCTCGCATAGTTTTTGTTCTCACATCACATCTTGCTATAGAAATAACATGCATGTGTTGAGTATGATTCTCGATAATGCCTTTGTTATTAAGTTTTTTCTGTGGCTACACAATTATCTTCGTTTGCTCTCCTTGCCATTGTTTGGAAGAGAGAGCTTAGGGCAGAGGAATTGGGTTATCCTAGAGAGTTTGAAGTAGGGTTTTAAATGGCATTTGATGAAAGTAGAAGGAATTGAGTTGAGAAAAGTTTTTGCTTGGCTACTACATTAAAACAGGATAAGGCTCATGGCAAGGGATGTCCTGTTCATTTTATTTCTACTATGTTGCCAACCACCCAAATCATCCCACAAGCAATAAGAAGACTTGTGCTCCCATGGCCTCAGCAAAGATGGTTTGAGAAGCACTCCTGGGTGCCTATGACCCACACTCCAAGTTTCTTGGTAGGAGGTATGCTCAGAAGGGGCTTCCTATTAGGGGAAGAGGGTAACGCTCGCCCCTTTTGAGGGCAGCCAGAAAAAAGGAAAGATTTTTCTGAATACACATGGCTGAGAAATGGAGCTGGGGGTGAAATTCTCCACGTTGTAGAATGACATTTGGCCTTCTTCTAAAGTCCTGAGTCTGTCTTTTAAGAAGATGTTGGCCGGGCGCGGTGGCTCACGCCTGTAATCCCAGCACTTTGGGAGGCCGAGGCGGGCAGATCATGAGGTCAGGAGATCAAGACCATCTTGGCTAACACGGTGAAACTCCATTTCTACTTAAAATACAAAAAATTAGCCAGGCGTGGTGGCGGGTGCCTGTAGTCCCAGCTACTCGGGAGGCTGAGGCAAGAGAATGGCATGAACCTGGGAGGCGGAGCTTGCACTGAGCCGAGATTGTGCCACTGCACTCCAGCCTGGGTGACGGGGCGAGACTCTGTCTCAAAAAAAAAAAAAAAAAAAAGATGTCAGTGCCTGGGTAGGTGAGAGCCTGGTATTGACTTTGGCAGAGAGCCCAATAACTGAGGTGCCTTCCTTGGGTTTTAGTTTAAACCACTCTTTTCTACTCACGCATTCTTTGATCATGCTGAGCCTCCATCAGCCACCAAAAGCCACCTGCACGTCTCAGTCGTGTCTGCCTGATGAGAATCCCACAGTCCCCAGCACACTGAAGTAGGAGAACCTCTGTGGGTTGGAAGGCACAGACATCTTCATGCCTGTGTTCATTACACTCAGATTACATTCTGCTTCTTGGAGGTAAGCACTGGTAGTTTCTGGGTCCAGGACCACATGGTCTGGGGAGAGAAGAGAGAGAGCATTCAAGGGCAGCTAAGGGCAGGGATGAGATCAGCTTAATAAAGTGGCTTTGAGTCAGTGGAAGGTTGTGGCTGGATGGATGCCCCTCTCCAAATCTCCCAGGGAGTCAGGCCTTCGTCCAGGTCGGGGCAGTCCACTCGTTGTCAGAGGACTGCTTCTCTGTGAAGGCTTGACTTTTTTTCTCTCAAGACAGGAAAAACCAACCCACGTGTGGCTCAGCTGCCTAGTAATCCTAGAACCACCCCCTGGACCTGGCAGCCTCAGGGTTGGGCCTGGGGTGGGGCAAGCCAGGTGTTTAGGTTATAACATTTAAGGCAGTGCTCTCTCTTGGGGTCGCACAATTGCCCCCTTCTCAGAGGTCTGGCCCTCTGCGGGAGCAGGGCCTCTTCCCCAGTGCTAGGCTGAGAGTAGTCAGGAGTCCACCTTCTTTAGACTCAAGCTTTACTGCCATCCTGAGGGTGCCAGCCAACCTCAGGACAGCTGAGCCAGTCTCATCACTGGCTTCTCCCCCTCCCTCTCCATCACAAATGTCAATAACCTCACCGAATGCTTTCCTGTGTTTTGTGAAACTTCAGGACTATGAGGAGTATGAGAAGGAGCCTCACCTGGCACCCTCTCTGCATATTCAGGGCAGTAGTTTGCTATCGAACCTGCCTCCAAATCTTCAGGGTGTGCCAGACATTTTATCCTAACTCCCTACCATAAGTTACCCGGGCTGGCGCTCATTTAGACAGCCTCGCTGGGCTTGTTACTCTGAACAGTTTACCTCCCATTTCCTCCAGGACACTCAGCAGGTTCTCTAGGGAGAGAAAAAGGAAAATGCTTTGAGCTCCCAACCAACAGGTGCTTTCCACAAGCATCTCCCACTAGAGCTAAAAGCAAAAGCCAGGGCTGCTTCCCAGCTATAGGTAGAAGCCTGGCCTCCCTCCCCCTGTTGCTAGATCAACTGCCACAACCCCAAAGGAAAACAGGAATTTTCATTACCTTTTATCTGGTGTATGATTTGACTCAGTGTTTTACTCCTTGGAGAAAGTATGGATTCTCTTGCCTTGTTCAGTTAACTTGGAGACTAATGGTTTAACTTTCATGGTTTCACCCCTAAGAATAAACAGCAGGTTTTTGCAAATCAGGGATGAGTGGTTTACTTCTTAGGCCTAAGAGGGAGAAAGACAAACAAACTGACCACCCTACTATCGGGAAGTGGCATCTGGAAGAAAGGGATGCAACCTAGAAATAAGGCCTTCCCACATCTGCAGGGCCTAGGACAAGAGAACGAAGGAAGGCCCACATACCATTTGGCCACATCTTTGAAAGTTATACACCAAACCAGCAAGCTGCTTAATGAAGTTATATCCTCCCACCTTGATGCATATATCTTCATAACAACCTAGAAAGTTAGTTACAAATTTAGAGTTATTGGACTCCTCAGGGTTCTGCACAGGGACACAGCAGACCAGGGAGTACCTTCCCAGCTCCCCAGCCCACTCCCTTCTCTTTACACCCTGGTCTCATCTGCATCATGAAGGACTTTGTGTGCATGTGGGTAGACACCTCAGCCCACATGACCATGCTTCATCCGTATGTTGCACCTCCTCCCCCACAGTTGCCACTTGGCTACCCCTTGGGTTTTAGGAGCATCTACTCATGCAGATGTCTGTCCTCCTAAGGACAGACCCAAAAGACAGACACAGAGAAGAGGACATCACAGGCCCTGGAAGTGGGCTCAGAGCTGCTTGTACAAGAAATTCTGGGAGTGTTATGTTAGAAGAGTGGCTTGGACGTGCAGTAGGCACATCACTCTGAGGGAGGATGGCTGCCAGTGGAGAGCCAGAGAGGGCACTTTTAATGCATAGGGCCTAGGAAAAGGGTACCTCTTGCCCAGGTAAAAGGGCAGTACTGCCAGGAATAAACATTTCCCTTTCCGAGACTTTCATCATCTGAGGAGACACGGTTTTCTCCAAGTCCTTACCCTCACATAGGCTCTGGACCACCAGAAAGAAGCCAATAGGGAGGCAGTGGGCTAGAGTTTAATGCCACATGGACACATGTCTACAAAATGTCCAGTGAACCGTCTTTTTTTCTTTTTTTTTGAGATGGAGTGTTGTTCTGTCACCCAGGCTGGAATGTAATGGCAGGATCTCGGCTCACTGCAACTTCTGCTTTCCAGGTTCAAGTGATTCTCCTGCCTCAGCCTCCCGAGTAGCTAGGATTACAGGCACGCGCCACCACACCTGGCTAATTTTTTGTATTTTACACTTTTTTTTGGTCTTTTTTTTTTTCTTTCTTTCTGTGGAGAACGAGGTCTTGCTATATTGCCCAGGCAGGTCTTGAACTCCTGGGCTCAAGCTATCCTCCTGCCTCTGCCTCCCTGAGAGCTGGGATTACAGGTGTGAGCCACTGCGCCCGGCCAATTTTTTTGTATTTTTAAGAGAGACAGGATTTCCCCATGTTGGTCAGGCTGGTCTCGAACTCCTGACCTCATGATCCGCCTGCCTCAGCCTCCCAAAGTGCTGGGATTACAGGCATGAGCCTGGCCTAGTGAACCATCTTCTTATCAGCCAGTCGGATTCATTATCAGCTCCCAGGCTTCTAGCAACTACGAATGATCAATGCATTGGACTGGAGCCACTACCCCAGGGGAAAAATGGCCACTTCCAGCTTATGTGGGATCCAGCCAAATGCCTTGTGGAATGGAGATGTAGGAGTATTGTTAGTCATGTCTGGGCCTGCCAGACTAATTTTCATCTTCATCCAGTTTTCACTCTCTGGAGAGGGGAGCCCAAGCAAAACATCTGCGATACCACCGCCCTTCCCCGTGGCCCATCCCCACTCACTGAGCTGTTTAAGATTCTCCTGCTGTTCTGTGAAGAAAACAAGAAGCTCAGGTGCTGTTCCACCAGGCAATCCCCATCCGCCCTGCACGGAGTTTCGGACTTTTCCTAGATTATTCCACAAGCCTCCTTAACAAAGTGGACCAGTGTTTATCCTGCACCTTTGTTTTACAGACTGTTTTATGACTGGAAATAACCTGCTTATCATGAATCTCTCCCAAGGGATTTATCGAGGCATCGTCTATTCCATTTTCCTGGCTCTTTCACACATTTATTTCACTTTCTTCATTATTTGGTGAGCACATTTTGTATTCCAAGTCTTAATTATACAAGAAAGAAATATTGTCCAACAAACACAGCCCTTACTGGATTGATTCAGTTTTTTTTTTTTTTATTTAAAAGGTAGGCTTGTCCCCCTTGGTAGTTCTCTGGCTTTTAAAATACGTTTTCTCTATGAAATCCTAGGAAAGGCCCATGATAGTGGTGTCTTTGTGCCTGTGGGCTTCCAAGGGTGCAAAATGCTTTCTTCAAGGAATAAGCTCAAGTTTATTATTGACCATGTTTTACAAACTATCTTTTTTGCAAGGAATGGACAAAAGTCCATTCTAGCTTTTGTTTTTCTCAATCACTAATGCCTAGTTTGGTCCTTGACTTCCAAAGCTCTCTTTAACCTCTTGGGATTGAGGGGAACTTTCAGCCTGTCTTCTGGCATTTTGTATGTGTGGAAGGGATAAAATATACTTAATATATAATTTACCATTTTAACCATTATTTTTATTCTTATTTTATTTTTTTGAGACAGAGTCTTACTCTGTTGCCCAGGCTGGAGTGCAGTGGCATGATCTTAGCTCACTGTAACCTCTGCCTTCTGGGTTCAAGCCATCCTTCTGCCTCAGCCTCCCAAAGTAGCTGGGATTACAGGTGCCCACCACCACACCTGGCTAATTTTTTTTTTTTTGAGACGGAGTCTTGCTTTGTCACCCAGGCTGGAGTGCAGTGGCGCGATCTTGGCTCACTGCAACCTCCCTCTTCCAGGTTCAAGTGATTCTCCTGCCTCAGCCTCCTGAGTAGCTGGGACTATAGGCACGTACTACCACGCCCGGCTAATTTTTCTATTTTAGTAGAGACAGGATTTTACCGTGTTGCCCAGGCTGGTCTCCAACTCCTGAGCTCCAGCAATCCACCCGCCTCAGCCTCCCGTAGTGCCAGGATTACAGGTGTGAGCTGCCACTCCTGGCCTAATTTTTTTTTTTTTTTTTTAATTTTTAGTAGAGACAAGGTTTTGCCATGTTGGCCAGGCTGGTCTCCAACTCCTGACATCAAGTGATCCGCCCACCTTGGCCTCCCAAAGTGCTGGGATTACAGGCATGTGCCACCATGCCTGGCCAATTTTTTATTTTTTTGAGACAGTCTTGCTCTGTTGCCCAGGCTGAAGTGCAGTGGTGCAATCACAGCTCACTACAGCCTTGAGCTCCTGGGCTCAAGTGATCCTCCCACCTCAGCCTCCCAAGTAGCTGGAACTATAGGTGTGCACCACCATGCCTGGTAATTCATTTTAACCATTTTAAAGTGGACAATTCAGTGGCATTAAGTACATTCACAATGTCGTGTAAGGAACACAACTACTTAAAGAATTTCTTTCTCTTTTTTTTGAGACTGAGTTTCGCTCTTGTTGCCCAAGCTGGAATGCAATGGTGCGCTCTTGGCTCACTGCAACCTCCGCCTCCTGGGTTCAAGCAATTCTCCTGCCTCAGCCTCCCAAGTAGCTGAGTTTACAGACATGCACCACCACACCTGGCTGATTTTGTATTTTTAGTAGAGACAGGGTTTCATCATGTTGACCAGGCTGGTCTCGAACTCCTGACCTCAGGTGATCTACCAGCCTTGGCCTCCCAAAGTGCTGGGATTACAGGTGTGAGCCACTTTCCAGGCCCAGAATTTCTTCATCACCGCAAAGGGAAACTCTGTACCCATTAAGCAATAACTCCCCATCTCCTGGTCTTTTGATACTTAGCTTGTGCAGTGTTTAAGTGAATGTACTTTAGAGCCAAGGAAACTGAGTTGAATTATTGGTTCTGCCCTTGCTAGCTCTGGGACCTTAAACAATTTACCTGACCTCTTTAAGCCTCGGTTTACTCATGTACAGAATGGAGCAAATAAGAATAACAACACTCATTGGGTTGTTCTGTGCATATAATATCACACCACAAAAGTAGTGGCTGTAGAAAGACAAATATTACATGTTGTCACTCATATGTGGGAGCAAAAAAAGTTGATCTCATGGAGGTAGTGAGTAGAATGGTGGTTACCAGACACTTTGAAGGGTAGTGGGGGTAGAGGAGCATAAAGAGGGGTTGATTAATGAGTACAAAAATACAATTGGATAGAAGAAATAAACTGTAGTATTCAATAGCACAATAGGATGACTATAGTTAAGAATTATTTATTGTATATTTAAAAATAGTTAGAAGAGAAGATTTGGAATGTTCCCAACACAAAGAAATAATGAACGTTTGAGGTGATAGATATTCCAGTTACCCTGATTTGATCATTACACACTGTATGCTTGCATCAAAATATCACATGTACCCCATAAATATGCACAACTATTCTGTATCAATTTTTTTAAAAAAAAGGAGTGTGTGGAACATCATAAACTCTCAATAAGCACTGACTTCTAATTATTGCCTGCTTTGCTTTGCCTCCTCCTTGTTGTCAGTGTTGCTTCAGATGAGGGTTCTCTGCTATGATCCTCAAGTCCCTAGACCTTCCATCCCACCTGGGCTAGGCCTAGCTCCCTTCCCACTCTTTGGGATGGGATTGGGGGATTTAGGCATTTCTTCTTTTTTTTTTTTCTTTTTTTTAAGAGATGAGGTCCTCGCTATGTTGCCCAGGCTGGTCTTGAACTCCTGGCATCAAGTGATCCTCCCACCTTGGCTTCCCAAAGTGTTGGGACTACAAGTGTGAGCCACCATGCACAGTTGGATTTAGGCATTAACCTTCACATTAATCATTAGCACTTTTTTTTTGTTTTGAGACAGAGTCCCAGTCTGTTACTCAGGCTAGAGTGCAGTGGTGTGATCATGGCTCACTGTAATCTCAAATTCCTGGGCTCAAAGCAATCTTCCCATCTCAGCCTCCCAAAGTGCTGGGTTACAGGTGTGAGCCCCTGCACCCAATAGTCACTAACGTTTGTCAAGTACTTATAGATGAGGTAAACCAACACAGATATTAATATGTACTAAGTAACATGAAGAAGATTTCCCAGCTTGTAGGTAAAAGAGATAAGATTTGAATGCAATCTGACTTTATAGCCCATGTTCTTTTTTTATTATTTATTTTTGAGATGGAGTCTCACTCTGTCACCCAGGCTGGAGTGCAGTGGCGCAATCTCGGCTCACTACAACCTCCACCTCCTAGGTTCAAGCGATTCTCCTGCCTCAGCCTCCCGAGTAGCTGGGACTACAGGCATGCGCCACCACGCCCAGCTAATTTTTGTATTTTCAGTAGAGACAGGGGTTTCACCATATTGGCCAGGCCGGCCTCGAACTCCTGACATTGTGATCTGCCTGCCCCGGCCTCCCAAAGTGCTGGGATTACAGGCATGAGCCACTATGCCCAGCCAGCCCATGTTCTTAATCACTGGACTACAAGGCCTTGGTGTGTTAATAAGCATCTGGTAAGGATGATGGCAGAAGATGAACTTAAAGGGGGAAATTCAAGCTCACCCAGTAGGTCAATGGCATGGCTAAGGCGACAGTCTATGTCTTCTGACTAGCCACCAGATGCTCTCCCTCACCCGCCAGCCACTGGCTCTAGCTGTGCTGCAGATGTTATTATTCTAAGAGTGTGATGTCAAACGTAATCAGGGAATCGGGTGATTAAGTATTTAGGGAGATTTTAGACATGGACAATACCAATGGCTTACCTCCTGGAGTATTGCTTTGATGTGTTCCCTCATATAGCTTTCCACAGATCAGCAAAAACACATGCTTGGAGTTGCCTAAAAACGACTGAGTGTCACCAGCCACCCACCCACCCACCCACTGCCACCTTCCTGGTTCTCAGTCCCCTAACAAGCCCACCTTTGAGACTTTATTAACTGAGTGTGGGTGGCCCGCCTTCGTTTCCTCCACAAGGTGGTTGAGGAGACATCTCTCATTTAAGATTTTGTTCATGTTTTTATGCTGGTTTCTTAAAATGGCTTTGTTGCTCTCTCAGTTGGGACAGAAGGCTTTTTTTTTCTTGTTCTCCTGGAATTGACGGCATTAGTCACACTCACAGGTGACTCTCTGCCACTTAATTTCTGCTTCTAGGATAAAGTGGTCACATGAACACTAAAGCAAGCAATGCATCTTTCCTTTTCACTATTGTCCAAAGTTGCTGCCCTGTAATTTCCTCTTCATTTGATTCTATTCCTGTCACATACCCACTGTATAAGAATTTAAAAAGAGACAAAACAGAAACATACTTCAGGGCCTTAAAGTGTATGTCATTCAATGTGATTATAAACTGAGTTTTTACAACTCCCAACGTTATCTCCAGCTATCTTAGGGGATTATCTTAACAATAAACCTTTCAGAAAATCAATTTTAATCAATTTTGGCTTAAAACCCCATGTATTTATAAGAGGAAAATGGGATGTGCCATGAAGTCAAGAACATGTGTATGTGGGTGTAATTATGAAAAGACTGGGAATTAGTTATTCTCTAAAGCACGTGGGTGTCTGCTTTGTGGTTTAGTTCTTTGGGTCTGGTGTTGGGCTCTAGGGGAGTGTATCTATCTCAAAACAAGCAACTGGGAAGAGCTTAAAGAACATGGCTAGTTCTGCATCCAGATTCTTCCCAACAAGTAATGCTTGCAGCGACTCACATACGGAGAGCTAACCTGCTTGGAACAGGAGGGTGTGTGCTGAAATAGTTGCAGACATGAGATAATTAAGTATTTACCACCAAGAGCTTAAGTATCAGCTAATCATAGGAGTTGAAACCATCTGAGCCTCAAGGGGCAACAATGCTTTTTTTTCTTTTAATAGCCCAGAGGTAGTAAGATATAATCAATTGAAAAAAATCATAATCAATAATATTTAAGGTAGAGAAATGGTATTCAACTTGTGCTTATGAGTAACTTTTTTTCCTCCGTCTTCCTCTAAGTCGGAGATTGTCAAAATATTGCCTCCCAGCCAAGTCTAGCCCACCACCTGTTTTCGTTTGTCTCTTGAGCTAAGAATGTTTTTTTACATTTTTAAATAGTTGGACAAAAAAAAAATTCAAAGAAGACTATTTCGTGACAAGTGAAAATGATATGAAATTCAAATTCCAGTGTTCATAAATAAAATTTTATAGGAACACAGCCGCACTCGTTCATTTATGTATCGTCTATGGTTGCTTTTGAGCTACAAGAACAGAGGGCAGCAGTGGCACAGAAAGCCTAAAATATTTACCATCTGGCCCTTATCAGAAAAAGTTTGCCGATCTTGGCTCTAAGGCAATGCTTTCAAAGTGGACAGTTAGTAGCTGTTACTTGACAAAAAGGGGTCCATTGACAAATAAATTGCAAAATGCTATTTAAAATAAAATCAAACCAATTTCCTTAATAAGCTAATGTGACATAGAAATCTACAAAAAAGAGTGGGAGGGGAGGGAAGCAGAGTATTTGATGTTTCCCAAACTTACTGGCTGTAAAACCCTTTTCTTTTCTGGGCTGTTTTATGGCACTAATCTTCCAGGGAACACAACTTGGTAAATGCTGTTGACAAGTAATTGGCGATTTATGTATACACAATGGAGAGAAAAAAAGCCTGCTACTGGAAACAACAACAAAAGCCACCAAAACTGCTGGTAGTAGAATTTCTCTCGGGGAATAACCTGTTTTTTGTTTCACAAAAACACTTTTAGTAGGTCATTTGGTCATGAAAAGTTAGGTTTTAGGAACTCGATCTGGAAGATGGAAAATGGAAACAGAGTGTTAGAGAATTCTGCACAGTAGCATGAGGTAATTTGGAGTTTGGGGCTAGGAAGAAGGATTGAAGGGGTGAACAGGACAGGAAAAGAGGGAGATGAGAAGGGTCTATGGCGACTTGAGAAGAATCAAAGAAACCTGGTGGGGGAAGCTGGCCAGTGAGAAATTCCCTACGGCAGAGAGAGCTACAGAATATCAGCAAAATGCCGACCATGACGACCAGTAATCCGTGGAGCCCAGTGAGGAACCAAAATGAACATGTTCCAAATGCAGGAAAAAGTGCCGTCAGTGGTGCTCAAATAGGAAGTGCTTCCCTTTCAACTGCAGCCTGTCATGCTGTTTTTAATTTGCTACTTACTGCTGTGCTCCCTCAGGCATAGGGAATCCCACCAGTGCAGATCCTCGAGGCACCCAGCCCGTGGGGGCACTGCTCGGGGACCCACCGGCTGCAGGTTCTCCTTTCCCCTCCCATCAGCCACCGCCTCAGGTGCTTTGCCCAAGTCAGGGCTGGGGAAGTGAGGTCAGGCATCTCACTTTCGCATGTGCCGGCCACCCCAACCCACAGTGGAGAGGCATCGGGTGGAGGGGAGGCCATTGGGTGAGGGTGGAGAGGGGGCCTGGGGCACCCAGCAGAGGTGGGCAGTGGGTGGGTGAGGGAGTCCATTGGGGACAGCTGAGAACCTGGCCCAGTAAGGCAGGGAGTTGGCCTGGGGCAGTACTGAGCATGAATCCAGGCTCCAAGTCCCTGGTGCACACACCATTGACCCAACAGACTTCACTTACAAAGTGCAAATTCAAAGATAAAATTATTAAGAATTTTAAGACAGTGACCAAAGAATATGAAAGCCCAAGTACAGGATTCTTCTGGGCACAGGGTCCCATAGGACTGCAATGCTTGCACACCCATGAAGCCAGCCCTCATGATAACTAGTCACTTTTACTTTTTTTTTGAGATAGAGTCTTGCTGTGTCACCCAGGCTGGAGTGCTGTGATGCAATTTCTCCGCTCACTGCAACCTCCACCTCCCAGGTTCAAGCGATTCTCCTGTCTCAGCCTCCCAACTAGCTGGGACTACAGGTGCCCGCCAACACGCCCAGCTAACTTTTTTGTATTTTTAGTAGAGATGGGGTTTCACCATCTTGGTCAGGCTGGTTTTGAGCTCCTGACCTCAGTTGATCCACCTGCCCCGGCCTCCCAAAGTACTGGGATTACAGGAGTGAGCCACCGCACCCACATCACTTGTACATTTTTTTTTTTTTAAGGAATAAATTACCCCCACACCTTTATTTCCCAGCTTTGTGTTGGGCCAGTCATTGCCTTGGGATATTCAAAGCAAAAGATACTGATTTCCTTGTTTGGGTCAAACCAGCTGATGGAACGAAACAGCAGTAAGAAGTCAATGCTAGAAGGAGATTCAGAGTTCAGTGTAAATGAGAAATTGGATGAGAGATGGAAAATCGGATGAGAACACAATCCTAGTGGGAACATGTGGACATTTTGGGTTTCCAACCCTGCTAGTGACACCAGCCAGCTGAAGGACGTGAAGACAGCCACGTGGCCAACGCTTGGGTTTCCTATAATATAACTTATGCTCTCTGGGGAACGCTTTACAAATATGTGAAAATCATCTGTGGATTTTGTCTGTTTTTACTGTGTACATTTCTCTGTGCCAGAAGTAAACCAAACTGTGGTCTTAACGCTCCTTAATTTGTCACTGTTAATCACTGGTGGCAAGAATCAGCAGAGAGGGATGGTAAGAGATCTTAGCTTGAGTTCAGGCTGCTATTCATGTCCCAGCTCCCATTATGATGGGGGGAGAAACTGGCCAGATACCAAGTGCACTCTCGCCAAATAGAGAGGAATGTATAATGCACCTTTTACAGAAAAAATTCCAAGACAAGTGGGAGTAGAACCACTTATGCCCAACCAACCTGGCTTGGATCAGAATAGAATGACGGAGGACATGAGGAAAGAGAGACAGAGGCCATGTTTAGTTTTCCTGCCCAGGTCGAAAACATTGAATAAATGAGAAATAAATGAGGGATATACGTCCCTGTTATTGAATGCTTTCCAAGTGCCAAGCATTCTGCCAAGTGATTCTCTTGCATTAATCTCACTTACTTGCCACATGGATTCTATGAGGTAAACTGTCACCTATTTTACGATGAGTAAACTGATGCTCAGAGATGTTATGCTTACAAAAGACTGTATAGCCAATAAGTGGCAGAGGCAGGATTCAAACCTGGGTTCATCTGATTGCAAAACCAACCGCTTCAGTCACACCTGGGTAAATGAGCTTATGCTGGCTTTTGCTGAAAGCAGAAACTCCTTACTCTCAAATATTCATATCCAGAACACCCTGAAGCTGCTTTGAAATTTTATTAATAGTAGTAACTGAGGATAAATTACTTTTCTGAACACCAGACGTAAAACAGAATCAATGGAGGGGATTGATGGCATTGGTATCTATCGGGAGAACCTGCCCCCGATAGTCACGTAGGTTCTTTTCTATTTTCCCTAAGTGTCGGCCAGTCTGAGAAATAAAGGGACAGAGTACAAAAGAGAGAAATTTTAAAGCTGGGTGTCCAGGGGAGACATCACATGTTGGCAGGTTCCGTGATGCCCCACAAGCTGCAAAACCAGCAAGTTTTTATTAGTGATTTTCAAAAGGGGAGGGAGTGTACGAATAGGGTGTGGGCCACAGAGATCACATGCTTCACAAGGTGATAAGATATCACAAGGCAAATGGAGGCAGGGCGAGACCACAGGACCACAGGACCAGGGTGAAATTAAAATTGCTAATGAAGTTTTGGGCACGCATTGTCATTGATAACATCTTATCAGGAGACAGGGTTTGAGAGCAGACAACTGGTCTGACCAAAATTTGTTAGGCGGGAATTTCCTCGTCCTAATAAGCCTGGGAGCGCTACAGGAGACTGGGGCTTATTTCATCCCTACAGCTGTGACCGTAAAAGACAGCCGCCCCCAAAGTGACCATTTCAGAGGCCTACCCTCAGGGACGCATTCTCTTTCTCAGGGATGTTCCTTGCTGAGAAAAAGAATTCAGCGATATTTCTCCCATTTGCTTTTGAAAGAAGAGAAACATGGCTCTGTTCCGCCCAGCTCACCGGCAGTCAGAGTTTAAGGTTATCTCTCTTGTTCCCTGAACATTGCTGTTATCCTCTTCTTTTTTCAAGGTGCCCAGATTTCATATTGTTCAAACACACATGCTCTACAAACAATTTGTGCAGTTAACACAATCATCACAGAGTCCTGAGGTGACATACATCCTCCTCAGCTTACGAAGATGATGGGATTAAGAGATTAAAGTAAAGACAGGCATAGGAAATCACAAGGGTATTGATTCGGGAAGTGATAAGGGTCCATGAAATCTTCACAATTTATGCTCAGAGATTGCAGTAAAGACAGGCATAAGAAATTATAAAAGTATTAACTTGGGGAGCTAATAAATGTCCATGAAATCTTCACAATTTATGTTCTTCTGCCATGGCTTCAGCCGGTCCCTCCGTTCCAGGGTCCTGACTTCCGGCAACAGGTATCTAAGTATTATTCTTTTTAAGATAGATTAGGGGCTGGGCACGGTGGCTTATGCCTGTAATCCCAGCACTTTGGGAGGCCGAGGTGGGCAGATCACCTGAAATCAGGAGTTTGAGACCAGCCTGGCCAACATGGTGAAACCCCGTCTCCACTAAAAATACAAAAATTAACCAGGCATGGTGGCAGGTGCCTGTAATCCCAGTACTCAGAAGGCCAAGGCAGGAGGAGAATCGCTTGAATCTGGGAGGTGGAGGTTGCAGTGAGCCAAAATTGCATCACTGCACTCCAACCTGGGCGACACAGTGACACTCCGTCTCAAAAACAAAACAAAACAAAACAACAACAACAAAAAAACCAGTAGATTAGAGGCTGGAAAGGGTGAGTGGAAGAGGGAGGATGAAGAGAAGTGGGTTAATGGGTACAAACATACAGTAAGGCAGAAGGAATAAATTAAATGTTTGAAAGAGTAGAGTGATTATAATTAATAAAGATGTATTGTTCTTGGGTAATGGACACCATAAATACCCTGAATTTTTTTTTTTTTGTCTCTGTGAAGATTCCAGAAGTACACCCTGAATATTTGATAGAGTAGGGTGAATATGCTTAACAAAATGTATTGTGCTTGAGTGATGACACCCTAAATTCCCTGACTTGATCACTACCCATTATATGCATATAACAAAATTTCTCATGTACTCCATACATTTGTACAATACAAAATTAAAAAATTAAAAATATATTATTCCTTTGATTTGAAGTCTTTTTTAAATCAAAGATTGATGGCTGAGATTGTGTCTCTCATGTCTCATTTTACCCTCAATGTCTTACAAATAGCAGTCACTCAATAAATGCTAAAGAATGTAATGCTTAGAGAACCAAAAGATTAAAGATTTTTATTCATCTTCTTGAAACTTTTGGTAGCTAACATGATAAAGAGCTGTTCTAGCCATATAATAAGTGAAGAATTTTGGCTACACTTTGTTACTAGGAGTTGATGTGTGTGGCCGGGCATGGTGGCTCATGCCTCTAATCCCAACACTTTGGGAGGCCAAGACAGGAGGATCTCTCGATCAGGAGTTTGGGGCCAGCCTGGGCAACATAGTGAGACCCCATCTCTAAAAAATAAACAAATACATACATATATACATACATAAATAAATAGAAAGTGATTTGAAATATTAATAGAAAAGTAAATATTTTTAAAAGGTTATTCCCTTCACTCTCTTCTCTTTGTTGTATAGCAAGGTTACAGCTCCAGAGAGGACAAATGGCCTAACCAAGTCTCCTACCCGAGTCTCAGCGGCTGACCATGCCTTCTTCTTCACTGAGAGTAGATGCCATTTCAGGGTCAGTCTAGAAACTGGGATTTGTCCTCTCTGTCAGGCTCCACACATACCTATCACTAGGTTCCATCATCTAAGTCGTTCTTGAATCTGTCCCTCTGTTCCCTTTCTCACAGACACTGCCTGTTTTTAGGGACTCCAGATTTCCCATTTGGACTATCGTAGTAGTCTCCTCGGCTCCAGTGCACCCTCCACCCTTTCATTTCATCTAAATGAAAACATGGTACTGCCTCTCCTCTGCTGAAAGATCCTCAGAGGCTCCTCAGAGTCACAACAGTGTGCCCAATGAAACTGTGATGATGGAAGTGTCCAATATGGCAGCCACTAGCCATATGGCCACTGGGCATTTGAACATGGCTACAGAAATGTGACTGTGGAACTCAGTTGTGGCTAATGGCTACTGGATTGGACGGTGCAGGTCTGGGATAGCATGCCAATTACTCAGTGTGGCCCACAAGACCCTTCCTTGTATTGCCGTGACTTCCCTTTCTACCCTCATTTTCCACAGCTCACTCTCCACACCCTGAGTGCCTTGTGAACTTCATGCTTTTCCCTTTACACATGCAGCGTTCTTTCACACTGTTGCTCCTCCTGGAATGCCCTATCCTGCTTTACTTGCCTGACAAAGTTCCTACTCACCTTGCAAGACTCAGCTTAACTCCCTTTTCCTCTGTGAGGCCTTCCGGTCCAGCCTCAGGATGCACCCAGAGTCCTCCACTGGGCTACCACCAGGGCCACCACACAACTCCAGGGGGTACCATTTACACTGAAGTGCATGCACATGGCAACTTCTGGATTTGTGCAGTACACAGTATATGCAGCCCTCATGGTGGTCAAAGTCCAAACTTGTTTGATATAGGTAGCTGTTTTGATATAATACTTTTATTTAGTTCATTCATTCATCCATTCGTGAGGCACGGGGCTTGGCTTATATTACCATAGTCATTTATTTCTATGTCTTATTCCTAAACCCCTCTGTGGATTCCTGCATGCAAGGACCTTGTATTCCTAAAACCTGGCTTACTGCCTGGCACATAGTAGAAACTCAATAAATATCTGTCAAAGCAGGGATTGGCAAACTGTGGCCCATGGGCAAAATCCCAGCCACCACCTGCTTTGTATGATCCATGAGCTAAGAAAGGTTTTTACATTTTTAAAGGGTTAGAGAAAAATCAAAAGAATAATATATTGTGATGTAAAAATTAAGTAAAATTCAAATCTCAGTGTTCATATGCAAAGTTTCACTGGAATACAGACATATCACTCAGTTAAGTGTTGCCTGTAGCTGCTTTTGCCCTATAGCTGCAGAGTTGAGATGCTGTAACAGAGACTATGTGGCCCACATAGACAAAAATCTTTACTCTCTGGCCCTTTCAAAAAAAAGTTTGCAGACCCCTGTGTTAAAGGAAGACATAAACAGACTTCCTCCCCTCAGAACACAGCTGCTCCTCTTCCCATCTTTCCCTCCTAGCTGCCTGCTTCAGTGGAAGACTTGGCCCTGGTCCTTGCCATACCCCACATTCTAGATCCTCACTTCCTGCCTCCTCTGGTACTTTGACCCATCAATTACACTGCTGTCTCATTTACCTCAATTATTCTTGCCTTGCATTCTTTTTTTTTTCTTTTTTTGAGTTGTAATCTCTTTCTGTCACCCAGGCTGGAATGCAGTGGCGCAATCTCAGCTCACTGCAACGTTTGCCTCCAGGGTTCAAGTGATTCTCCTGCCTCAGCCTCCCAAGTAGCTGGGATTACTGGCGCGTGCCACCACGCCTGGCTAATTTTTTGTATTTTTAGTAGAGACGGGGTTTCACCGTGCTAGCCAGGGTGGTCTCGATCTCCTGACTTCATCATCCACTTGCTTCGGCCTCCCAAACTGCTGGGATTACAGGTGTGAGCCACCGCGCCCGGCTACTTGCCTTGGATTCTATGCTCCAGAAATAACAATTGGCTTGAGATTCCCCCCAAACCATATATTTTCTGCCTATCCTTGAAAATCCCAATACAGAAGACTCCTTTTTCCTCTTCCCAGTTTGCGATGCTCCTCCTACCCCCTGGCCCTCAACATTTATACCTCTGCCTGGGATTCTTTTAGGACCCAGAGCAGATAAACCAAATCCTGGAAGTCTTTCTCAGCCTCTTCCTCTCTCAGATTTAATCATTTGCTCTTCTCTGCAAGAGAGTTCAGATTCTAGTAAATACTACATTATATCCTAGTGAATGGAGTGTGTCTAGGTCATTCCCCGCATTTCATTAATTAACTAACTCGTGCATTTTACAAATATTTGCCGAGTGCTAATATGTGCCAGGCATCATGCTAGGTGCTGGAATGTGTTGATGACTGAGTCAGATGTGGTCCTTGCTCTGTCTAGCGGGGGAGACAGTTACTAAACATGACAATGAATGCATCATTATAAATTGTGATAAGTGTTACGAAGAAAAGAACAGGCTGCTACGAGAAGACTTAGCATATAAGAGACTGTCAGAATTTTTTGCTTGATTGGTGCTGAATAGAAAAACATGCGCTTGAAGAGATGGCCTGGTCAGTTCTCTCTCCTTTCAAAAAAGAAAATGAGGCTTAGAGATCTTACATGATTCACCTAAAGTCACACAGCTTCTAGCCATCAACAGTAGCATAATTCAATTGAATTCAGTTAATGGAATTCAGTGGGGTGACTCCAAAGTCGGATTGCCCTTGTTACAACATTCACCTTTATTTTCCAATAAATAATCTCATCTACAGTCATCAAGTGTCTGTGTGTGACAACTTTATATGCATGTTTTAATGACTCACTCACCTAAATGTGATATCCATAAATCAGGCATATTGAGTAATGAAAAGGTGGCTCAAACAACAGTGACAGAAATAATTTTCAAAGACTTCAAATTATTTACCAAGCTATTATGTATTCCTGCAGCCTTTCTTCCATCTATAGCCCCTTAGCCCTTCTGGAGGCTGATGGGCGATATGCTTTGCTATAGTCTTTTCCAGATCAGTGCTGGAGCATTTGTCCTCCTCCTGAACCCCATGTGGCCGGAAGACGCCTGTCCCTGTCAGAAGGCTCTCTGCAGGAAGGCAGAAGGCTGACTCCAGCATGTGCCAAGAGTTTAATCGGAGTTTGGCGGAAATTGGCCACTCAATATCGACAGCTGATATTGAGAAGTGGATGGATCAACACAACTGAAAGTGGTTTAGGGGCAATACCAGGTGAGCAGTCGATGGAGTTTCAGGTCACAAAGAAGCAAGGACTTGCACTGCTTTAAAATATCTCTATCACTTTTTGTTCACTTATGTTTATAGTGAGCAAGGTGGTCATAAGTTCTGGGACCTGGGATTGAATTCTGGCTCTTCCACCTCCAAGGAGGGTGACTTAGGTGAGTCACTTAGCCTCTGCGGGTCTAAGGTTCCTCAAATGCCCAGGAGGAATACTGAGGGGACCTGTCTGGGGGTGGGGGGGCCTGTGGTGAAGGTTAAATGAGTTCGTTTGTGTAAATAGATTACCACCCCGCCCAGGGTGAGGGCCAATGACAAGAGCAAATCCGAATAAAGTGCTTCCTTTGCCCCGGGCTCAGCTCTAAATTCCTGTTGTAATATACTTAAGCTTCAAGGGCCGGGCGCGGTGGCTCACGCCTGTAATCCCAGCACTTTGGGAGGCCGAGGTGGGTGGATCACGAGGTCAGGAGATCGAGACCATCCTGGATAACACGGTGTAACCCCATCTCTACTAAAAATACAAAAAATTAGCCGGGCGTGGTGGCGGGCGCCTGTAGCCCCAGCTACTCGGGAGGCTGAGGCAGGAGAATGGCGTGAACCCGGGAGGCGGAGCTTGCAGTGAGCCGAGATCGTGCCACTGCACTCCAGCCCGGGCAACAGAGCGAGACTCTGTCTCAAAAAAAAAAAAAAAAAAAAAAAGCCTCACGAAACCCTCATAACCCTGTACCATTCTCCACATTTTAGTGGATGAGGAAACTGAGGCACAGAGAGGTTAACTGGCTTGTCCAGGTCACACAGCTAGTAAGTATCAAAGCTGGGATATGAACCCAGAGAGACTGGCTTCAGTATCCACAACCATAAGCACGGCACTAAATCTCTCAATAAGAACGAGCTATTATTTCATTTTTATTTGTTTATAGTTTTACATTTACTGCTCTTCCCTCTAACTTTAAATTGCCTTCCTTGAAATTCCTTCTGTTCAGTATTCTATGATGACTGTATTATCCCAGCCAAAAATCTGAGATGTGTGTTCAGAGAAAGGATTTTGTGCTGCAGAAGGTAAGAGGTTTACAGGCAATTCTGAAAATTCCATTTAGACACTACGAAGTTGGGATTTCTAAAACATTTGTGATAGCTTAAGGCGACAGGAGGATAAAATATTTGAAATCAGTATTGTCCTGGAAAAGCCCGAATAGTAGATGAAGATATTATTTTCTTTGCCCTTTAAATCCTTTTCCAAATAGACCGAGTACAAGATTGAGGGCCCTGAGAGCAGATGGCCCTCAATAAACACGAGCAACTGGCAGGCTCTGGTTAAGTCCAGGCTGCCCGCCTCTCCTCCCCACCCGGAGGCAGGGCCCTTCCTGAGCGCCTTTCGGGAAATAGCAGCGCACTCGTCCTGTCCCGCTGGGAGATGTTGACTTTTTATTGCTCTTCCCTCCACAAATTTCACAGCAAACTCTTTTTCTTCATGGTGTTTAAATCCTTCTCAAATTCCTGGAAACAAAACAAATAACCCAAAGATAACTTTTAAAAGATTTTGATTCTTCAGTAACTTTTTCTTAGTGACTTTTTCTTACATTTAAAATTGTTGGCCGGGCACAGTGGCTCAGGCCTGTAATCCCAGCACTTTGGGAGGCCAAGGCGGGCGGAGCACAAGGTCAGGAGTTTGAGACCATCCTGGCTAACACGGTGAAACCCCGTCTCTACTAAAAATACAAAAAATTAGCCGGGCGTGGTGGCGGGCACCTGTAGGTAGGGAGGCTGAGGCAGGAGAATGGCGTGAACCCGGGAGGAGGAGCTTGCAGTGAGCTGAGATGGCGCCACTGCACTCCAGCCTGGGCGACAGAGAGAGACTCCGTCTATAAATAAATAAATAAATTTGCTATAACCCAGGATTCTGGGCATAAGTTTTTCTTTTTCTTTTTCTTTTTCTATTTTTTTTTTTTAAGACAGTCTCACTCTGTCGCCCAGGCTGGAGTACAGTGGCGTGATCTCAGCTCACGGCAACCTCTGCCTCTCTGGTTCACGTGATTCTCCTGCCTCAGCCTCCTGAGTAGCTGGGATCACAGGCGCCCACCACCATGCCTGGCTAATTTTTGTATTTTTAGTAGAGACCGGGTTTCTACATGTTGGCCAGGCTGGTCTCAAACTCCTGATCTCAAGTGATCCTCCCACCTTGGGCTCCCAAAGTGCTGGGATTACAGGCGTGAGCCACCGCACCCCTGATCAAACTTTTAATAGATATCTGAGAGGGGTGGGTGACATGGGATGTTCCAGAGTGGAGGGAGAAGAAACTGGTATCACTGGGTGCCTCTGGGGAGGAAAATGAGGCTGGAAGGTGGGATATCCTGAGACAGAGATGGTGTAGTCTTTGTTCTTTTTGAATTTTGGCCCATGTATTACATATGCAAAAATGAACAGATAAAGGCCAGGCATGGTGGCTCATGCAGTGAGCTGGGTGATCCCAGAACTTTGGGAGGCTGAGGTGGGAGGATCACTTGAGCCCAGGAGTTTGAGGTCAGTCTGGGCAACATAGTGAGACTCTGCCTCTATTCTTACAAAAAAAAAAAAATTAAAAAAATTAACAAATAAAATTGGGAAACATAGGTGGTGTTTGAGGCTGCATCTTTCTTTTTCTGTGAGCTGGGGAAGTGCTGAAAGCCACTTTATGTTGAAATGATGATCCTCCCAGGTAGGCTGGGGTAGAGGCAGCTGTGATAGATAGCACCCACACACTACCACTTATGAGCCACATGATCCTGATACAGCATCCTCATCTCTATAATGGAAGTATGGCATGGTAATTAAAAACACAGGCCACTTGCCAGCCACATGCCTTTGGGCATGTTATCTCTTTGTGACTAAGTCTCCTCCTCTGTAATATGGGGATCAGTAATGCTACCTTCCTCAAAGGGTAGGAAGGATTATATGAGTAAAACACCTAGAGCAAGGCCTGGCATATGGCAAGCCATCCAACACCCATCATCATTACACACAGAGCTGGCCTTATACAGTTCCAATATGCACAAATTTTAGTTACTACGGTTTAGTTGAGAACACCAGTCCTTCAATAACATGGTACAATTACAGTTACCACAGTATATGAACTATGAGTAATTGAATAAAGTACAAACTTTGCTGCTAGCTCTTCAGTCCACAAATTACTAGGTAAATTACATGCCCACATCACAATCAGTGACCAACCATGTCACTTACTTAAAAAGTCTGTTGGTGACTGGTTATTGCACCTCTGTTGTTCAGTTCAGGCACCGACAGTAAAGTACTTGGTTGTGTTTCCTCCTTGTCCTCCAGTGATAAACTCACAAGACATTTTACAAAAATGGTACAGAGATGGTACCATTTTACAGAGATGAAAGTACAGCAGGGCCAGGCGCGGTGGCTCATACCTGTAATCCCAGCACTTTGGGAGGCCAAGGTGGGCAGATCACGAGGTCAAGAGATGGAGACCATCATGGCCAACATGGTGAAACCCCGTCTCTACTAAAAATACAAAAAAAATTAGCTGGGCATGGTGGTGCGTGCCTGTAGTCCCAGCTACTCGGGAGGCTGAGGCAGGAGAATTTCTCGAACCCAGGAGGCGAAGGTTGCAGTGAGCCAAGATCGTGCCACTGCACTCCAGCCTGGGTAATGGAGTGAGACTCCATCTCAAAAAAAAAAGAAGTACAGCAAAGGAATGAAATGTGGTGACACTGGAAGTGAGATGGGAATGGGATGTGATTAGAAGATTTGAAAATGGTGACAGCAAAGCAAAGAGAGGCTGAGATCTCAAACTGCATGAAGCTACTGTATAAATCATACTGAAAAATTCTGGTGAATATAAAAAACAAGCAAAAGTCACTTCAACATCTTTCCATTTGAGTTGTGCTAGGAACGGAAAGCTGCTTATAGTTGAAATGGAGCATTTACTTTTGCTTTGGATTACATGCAGTATGGCAGTAACTTTTACTTCGCTGTGCAAATAACTTTGCATGATTCAAATCTAACATAAATGGAGTTACAGAAGAAGTAGCTGACCATGGGAATGTTGACAATGCTGCCATTTGAGAGAGTACATATGCAATCAGAGGAACTTAGCATTTACTGTGTGCCAGGCACCGTGCTAAGAGCTTTAGAAACATTACCTTACTTAATCCTTACAACTACCCTAAGAGGTAGGAACTACTGTCATCTTTTTATAGATGAGGAAAGGGAGGTTTAGGGAAGTGAAGACATTTATTCAAGGTGACTCCGAGGGGAAGAGGCAGAGCACAAAATTGAGTCCAGGTGTGACTAACTGTATAATAGTTCCCTGACTCTTAACCACTAGGCCACTTGAGAAAAAGATTTTCTAGCTTCTCAGAGTTCAGAGTATGGTTGGTTAAAAAAGAAAAAAGAAAAAATGATTTTTTTCCCTTAAAGCATTTAATGATAACTCTGTTAGCATGGTGGTAACTGTCTGGTGGCCTATGCTAGGCACTGCCTGTTTCCCTTTCCTTCCCTCTGCTTATCTCCTGCTTAAATCCCATTCTTCATCCCCTCTCCCCCAAACCCGTGCAGGCCCACGTGAATCGGAATCCTTGCTCTGTTCAGCTGGCTAAGGCGAGTCCCGCAAAGCGCTGGCCTCCAGGTGCTTCTGCCAGGCCTTGTGGTGCAAGGGCCCTGCCTCCTCCCGCTCCAGCAGCAGCCCTGGCGATGCCCACTGCGTTTCTCAGCTCTGTTGGCAGTGGGGGCAGAAGAGGCTGCCTGAGGCCCCCTCCCAGCAAAAGCCGTGGCCACACCTGCAATGACTGGGTTGCAGCTCTGAGCTGCAAGCATTGGCTGTGGCCTGGAGACCAGCCACTGTAAGTAGGCAGAACTTTTTGGCTTTAGATTCGTTTCAGTTTTGTAATCAGAAAGTTGCTTCTCTCAGTTCCGCAACTTTCCCTTTCGGCAGGCCTGCATCAAGTGCCCTCTGTAACCCAGGAAGGAGACGGTTCAGGGTGGGAAACCAGTAGGGGCTGTGCCATGGTCCAAGGGGGCTCCTCACCTGACAGATCTTTGAAAAAGTGTTTGCAATAACTGCTGTGCTGGCCCTGGCAAGACGTGAACCCGTGAGGAATGTGACAGCTGCTTCCCACAGGGGCCCTACTGACCCCAGAGGGCTCTGGCACTCCCAGGGTTTGGGAGAGGAGCTGGAAGTCTGGTGCATTAAGAGTGAGGAAGGACTCTAAAAAGCTGGCAGGGAAACATTGTCTGAGTCACATCTCAAGGGAACTTGAGAGGAGAAACGCTTTTCTAAAACCTTTTTTTTTTTTTTTAGCTGGAGTTTCTGGTCACCCAGGCTAGAATGCAATTGCACAATCTCAGCTCACTGCAACCTCTGGTGCCCGGGTTCAAGCAATTCTCCTGTCTCAGCCTCCCGAACAGCTGGGATTACAGAAGCCCGCCACCATACCCGGCTAATTTTTGTATTTTTAGTAGAGACGGAGTTTCACCATGTTGGCCAGGCTGGTCTCGAACTCCTGACCTCAAGTGATCCGCCCACCTCGGCCTCCCAAAGTGCTGGGATTACAGGCGTGAGCCACCGCGCCCGGCCTCTAAAACTTTTCTTCATGGAAAGTTAAGCCTCTTTCTCCCTCTCTCTGTCACACTGTGTTCCAGGGTCTGGGAACACAGCAAGGAACAAAACAAAGATATCTGTTTTTGTGGAACTTATATTTTAGTGGGAGAGGCTGGAAAATAAGCAAAATAAATAAGAAAGCTATAAGCGAGAAACCTGCTATAGAGAAAAATAAAGCAGGGAACAGGATAGGAAATACAGATGGGTGTGCTTTTCTGGGGATGCCTCATTAATAGGTGACATCTAAGCCTTATGGAGAATGGAACCAGTGGCGAGGGATGAGCTGGGCATCCTAGGTTTCTGTTGGTGACAGATGAAGGACTTTTTTTTTTTTTTTTTTTTTGACACAGGATCTCACTCTGTCACCCAGCTGGAGTGCAGTGGCATGATCTCGGCTCACTGTAACCTCTTCCTCCTGGGTTCAAGTGATTCTCGTGCCTCAGCCTCCTGAGTACGTGGGACTACAGGCGTGTACCACCACACCTGGGTAATTTTTGTATTTTTAGTAGAGACAGGGTTTCATTGTGTTGGCCAGGCTGGCCTCAAACTCCTGACCTCAGGTGACCTGCTTGCCTCAGCCTCCCAAAGTGCTGGGATTACAGGTGTGAGCCATCGCGCCCGGCTGAAGGACATAATGAAATTATCCTGATGGTCTCAGGGCTTGGAGCTCCTGCCTCTACACTGACTTCTGCCCATGGAAGGAGAGGCTGTGTGTGTGTGTGTGTGTGTGTGAGATGGTAGGGCTGGGAGAGTGGAAGGGGTCTTGTGTTGCTTTGAAGTAGGTTCTGGAGTCCTGGTGTCGACTCCTTGGGTGCTGGGAGGTGAGCCCACAGAGAAAGAGGCCATGCTTTCGAAAGGGGTTGAGCTGGAAATGGTCCAACACCCTTACCTGGATGGAAGCCCTGATGAGGGGGTCCTGGTCAAGAGGTGGATGAAGGCCTCAGGGTCAGCTGTTCAGAAGCACGCATCAGCCTGAGAGAAAGAACACATCTGGGCTGTTAAGTGTGAAAGAACACATCTGGGCTGTGGCAAGAGTGAAAAGTGAAAAGAAGCACATGAGGCTGGGCATGGTGGCTAACACCTGTAATCCCAGTACTTTGGGAGTCTGAGGCAGGAGGACTGACTGAGCTCAGGGGGTTGAGGCCAGCCTGGGTATCAGAGTGAGACCCCATTTCTACAAAAATTTTAAAAATGAGCTAGTTATAGTGGCACATGCCTGTGATTCCAGCTACTCCAGAGGCTGCTGATGTGGGAGAATTGCTTGGACCTGGGAGGTTGAGGCTGCACTGAGCCAAGATCATGCCACTGCACTCCAGCCTGGGTGACAGAGTAAGACACTGTCAAAACAAACAAACTAGCAAACAAAAAACACAAGGGTTAATTTTATGTGTCAATTTGACTGGGCCTATAGATGCCCAGACAGCTGGTCAAACATTCTTTCTGGGTGTGTCTGCAAGGGTGTTTCCAGAAGAGATTAGCATTAGCACCAGTAGACTGAGTAAAGATCTGCCCTCACCAATGTTCCCTGGTACCATCTAATCTGTTGAGGGGCAAAACTGAACAAAAAGGCTGAAGAAGGGCAAATACTCTCTGTCCTTGAGCTGGGACGTCCATCTTCTCCTGCCCTCAGACATCTGAGCTCCTGGTTCTCAGGCCTTTGGCGTGGGGCTGAATGATACCACCAGCTTTCCTGATTCTCCAGCTTGCAGATGGCAGATTATGGGACTTCTCTGCCTCCATGATTGAATGAGTCAATTCCCATCATAAATCTCCTCTTATATATGTCTATATATCTTCTATTGGTGTTCTTTCTCTGGAGATCCCTGACTGATCCAAGGCAGTTGCCACAGGGATGGGAGAGCAGGTAGAACCACCCTTGCTGAGCCCAGCTGGGCCATCCTGCCACTGCAGCTTCGCTTGAGAACTAAGTGTTGAGTGCCACTCAAGTGACATCACTGTTAGGACACATTCTCCTAACAATGCACTCTAAGCCATGTGAGCATTGGGTGCCCCCTCCCAAGGGTCCAGAGCCCTGGAGTTTTACCCCTAATCTGGGTTAAGCTGGGTTATTGGAGAAATCAAGGTTGAGGCAGAATCTGGCAGGAGGGGCCAGATGTTATAGAGGAGAAGAGACCCAGACAATTTCTGACAGCCAGAAAACACCTGTTTCAGGGCAGAAGCAAAGGATAACTTGGTAACATTGATGAAAAGATGACATTTTGTCAGATACTGAAAGAACCCAGAGGAACATATTTGCATTTACGTTCTACATGGGTACCTTTGGTGATTCATGGACCTGCCACAGAAAAATGTGAGGTTTTCAAAAGTATTTCCTACAGCAAATTCAGTTTCACATTTAAAAGGGCCTACAAATATGCATTTTAACAATAATGGTTGTAGCAATATATGTTTTACTAAGTGGAAATCTTCTCAATTTTAATTTTAAAAAATCGTTTTACATAGACAAGGTGATCCGTAAGGGAAAATTGTCTTTCCAAAATGGCTTGCAGAGCAGAAAGTTTGAAGGCCTCTATCAGGTAGAACAGGTTCTATTTCCAAGGTCTCCTTATTTGGAAACCCAGGAGGCTACTCTTAGGCTTATTTTCAACTGTTTTTGAATGTGAGACTCTCTTTCCATTGCAGGGATGAGAGAAACGCTGTAGGATCTGCAGGTTGTCTGGAGGGACTCGGGGTCCCTTGGTGAAAAGAGAAACCACTGCCCTTGAGTCATAAGTATGATCATCCTTTCTTTTAACAAAGGTATGTTTATATACACAGAAAAATACCCCAGGCAAACACACCAAATGTGGATTGTTAACTCTGGGTGATGTTTATTTATTTATTTACTTAATTTTATTTTTTATTTTCATTTTTTCTTTCCAATTTTTATTTTAAGTCCAGTGGATACCTGTGCAGGTTTGTTACATGGGTAAATTGTTTGTTGTGGGGTTAGGTATACAGATTATTTTGTTACCCAGGTAATAAGCATAGTACCCATTAAGTAGCTTTTGGATCCTCACCCTCTCCCTCCTTCCACCTTTAAGCAGGCTCTGGTGTCAGTTGTTCCCTTCTTTGTGTCCATGTGTGCTCAGTGATTAGCTCCCACTAATAAGTGAGAACATACTATATTTGCTTTTCTGTTCCTGCATTAATTTGCTTATGGTAATGGCCTCCAGTTCTATCCATGTTGCTGCAGAGGACATGATTTTTTTTTTTTTACTTCAGGGGTACCTGTGCGAGTTTGTTATACAGGTAAACTTGTGTTATGGGGGTTTGTTGTACAGATTATGTCATCACCCAGGTATTAAGCCTAGTACCCATTAGTTATCTTTCTTTATCCTCCTCCATTGTCTACCCTCCTCCCTGTACCCTCCAATAGGCCCCAGTGTCTGCTGTTCCCCTCTATGTGTCCATGTGTTCTCATCATTTAGCTCCCACTTATAAGTGAGAACATGCAGCATTTGGTTTTCTGTTCCTGCGTTAGTTTTCTAAGGATAATAATTTTCAGTTCCATCCATGTCCCTGCAAAGGATATGATCTCATTCTTTTTTATGGCTGCATACTTACTTATTTATTTTTTGTAGAGACAGGGTCTTGCTATGTTGTCCAGGCTGGTCTCAAACTCCTGGGCTACAGATCCTCTTGCCTCAACCTCCCAAAATGCTGGAATTACAGGTGTGAGCCACTGTGCCTGGACTGATTTTAATTTTTTTTTTTTTTTGAGACGGACTCTTGCTCTGTCGCCCAGGCTGGAGTGCAGTGGCACGATCTTGGCTCACTGCAAGCTCCACCTCCCGGGTTCACGCCATTCTCCTGCCTCAGCCTCCCGAGTAGCTGAGACTACAGGTGCCCGCCACCATGCCCGGCTAATTTTTTGTATTTTTAGTAGAGACAGGGTTTCACCGTGTTAGCCAGGATGGTCTCGATCTTCTGACCTTGTGATCTGCCCGCCTCAGCCTCCCAAAGTGCTGGGATTACAGGGGATTTTAATTTTTTTTAATACTGAAATTTACTTTCCAAAATTTCTGTAAAGAACACATATTCCTTTTATAAGGAGGGGGAAACATTGTAAAGATGTCTCTTAGGTAGAAAAACAACAAACATTTATGTAACACTATGATTTATAAAGCTCTTTTCTCAGCATTCTAATTTAGTCCTCTCAACTGTGCTCTCTGATGATTATTTCCATTTAGACTTCAGAAGACAAACCCCAGAGGTTTAGAAATGTTCTTAAGGACATACAACTCCAACTAGCTGAACCAAAAGCAGAAGGAACTTAGTCTTCTTGCTATAGTTTTTTTGTTTTTGTTTGTTTGTTTGTTTTTCAGACACAGTTTCACTCTGTTGCCCAGGCTGGAGTGCAGTGGCATGAACACAGCTCCTCCCTCCTGGGCTCAGGCGATCCTCCCACCTCAGCCTCCCAAGTAGCTGGACTACAGGTGCATGCCACCATGTCCAGCTAATTAAAAAAAAAATTTTTTTTTTTTTTTGAGAGACAGGGGCTCACTATGTTGCCCAGGCTGTTCTTGAACTCCTGGGCTCAAGCAATCCACCCACCTCAGCCTCCCACAGTACTGGGATCACAAGGATGCACCCCCAAGCCTGCCCATCACTGTAGATTTCATCTTGTGTTAAAGTCACTGAAATCTTAGGATAAGTGGGAGCTGCAGAAGGAAGTCAGAGGTTAGTTTGTGGGAGAATAAGCAAGTGGAACTGCTGACCTCATGGGGGCAGAGGTTTGGCAGCTGCTGTTTAGATAGTGGGGTCATCGGGCCTCTAGTTTTTTTGTCTTGTTTTTTTGAGACAGAGTCTTGCTCTGTTGCCCAGGCTGAAGTGCAGTGGTGCGATCTCACTTCACTGTAACCTCTGTCTCCCAGGTTCAAGCAAATTTTGTGCCTCAGCCTCCTGAGTAGCTGGGACTACAGGCGTGCGCCACTATGCCCAGCTTATTTTTGTGTTTTTAGTGGAGATAGGGTTTCACCATGTTGGCCAGGTTGGTGTTGAACTCCTGGCCTCAAGAGATCCTCTCACCTCAGCCTCCGAAAGTGCTGGGATCGCAGGCATGAGCCACCATGCCCAGCTGTGCCTCTAGTTTTATCTGGAGGGCCTTGGAATGATTTCTGGGCTGAGTAGGAAGCACACCCTCAGGAGATTGGACCTCCTGGGCCCCTAGCAGCTGGGTTTTGCTCAGCCTGAGTCCTGTCTCTAGTTGGAGACAATTGGGAACTGCTCCCTTAGGCCCTGCATGGCCCTACACATTCCTCCTCCTTTTCTGGGGCTAAAGCAGGGCCTTCTTCCTTGTGAGTTACACAAAGTGAGAGACACATGGTCCAAGATGGCCAGCGTCTTCATATCAGAAGATCTTGGAGTTCCTCCAGGAGCCCGGAGGTGTCTCCTTCTTGCATGTGAGGGGGGGCTTCTAGATGAGGCAGGCTTGTGAACCAAATCCATTAAGGAAGGGAACTGGGACATGAAGACGAGGAGGTGGTGTCAGAACGAGATTCTCTTTCAGGGATGTGTCATGATGTCCTAGACAGTCCCTCTTTCTTCAGTTGGTTCGATAGGAGAAGGACTGGAAGAAGGGAGAGAAGGAAAGGTGAAGTAGACCTTTGACCAGAGCCACCTGACGATGTGTAGGGGAAGACCCAGCCAGCATTCCCCATTTCCTGTTTGGGGTTGATCTTTCTGGGGTGAAGCTGATCTGTCCCTGCCCGTAGATGTGCACCAACTTGGAGAATTCCAGAATCCAGTTGATTGGGAAGGAAGATGAGAAGGTATATTTTTTCTAGAGTTAAAAGAAGTGGTGTGAGGCCAGGTGTGGTGGCTCATGCCTGTAATCCCACCACTTTGGGAGGCCAAGGCGGGTGGATCACCTGAGGTCAGGAGTTCGAGACCAGCCTGGCAATATAGTGAAACCCCATCTCTATTAAAAATACAAAAATTAGCTGGGTGTGGTGGTGGGCACCTGTAATCTCAGCTACTTGGGAGGCTGAGGCAGGAGAATTGCTTGAACCCGGGAGGTGGAGGTTTCAGCAAGCCAAGACCGCGCCACTGCACTCCAGCCTGAGCAGCAAGAGCAAAACTCCATCTAAAAAAAAAAAAAAAAAAAAAAAAGGAAATGGTGTGTTAGAGCCAGCTCCTACAGCTTGTGAGAGGCCGATTGTTAAATTTTCAAAAATGTTGTGAATCATTATGTTGATAGCTTGAAATTGGTCATAATGGGAGTATTTACACCATGACAATTGGGAAACACTACCAATCAGGGCTTCTCCAGGCCAGAAAGCTGGTTGCTAGTCACTTACCTGCATATGCCTGGGCAAAGAGTACCATTTACCTCACTGTTTGGGGGTTCCTTGTGGCCTTTTGAGGGGGATAATGACAACTCTGTCTGGCTTTGGCCTTCTCTCCGTGATGTCCTGATGGTAATCATCTAGGAAGTACTGAATAAATATTTTTACTTTGGAATATATTATGAGATGAAATACAGGTCACCCTTGTCTGTAGGTTTCTCTACTTTCCTTCTCCTATATCTAAATCACACAGGACAGGCTTATCTAGGATAATATCTCCTGTATACTCCATTCCTAGTCTCTCTAGACCGTATAGCAGCTAGTACAATGCCCAGGACAAAGTAGGTGCTCCAGAAATTGTTCAAGGAGGCTTAGAGAATCAATATCACCTGTTAAAATTTTATAGTTTTCCTGACTGTTGTCAGCAGAGGGCGATACAGGACTACTGATGTGCCAGTTCCAGCTCTTTACTCTCTCTTTAAGAGAGAAAAATATGAATTAATTAAGGTGAATGAAGTAGGAAGGGGCCAAACTGAATTGATGACTTTTAGATAAAGCATCAGTTTTGAAAAAGAAAATTGCAGCATTCAAATGATAATAGTAAACATCATCCTGTAGCACTTTACATATTACAAAAAGCACTTGGCCTACACAGTCTTCTTCAGTGCCTCGGACCACCCTATGCAGGTGTAAGCATCACAGTCTTCTAGGTGCATGTGTGGAGTCTGCAGTCACAGAGGAGTCGCCACTGGACAGGACTGGCCTGGCTGTAGTACATCTGTTGTACCCAGGGACGGGGAAGCCTCAGTGTGAAGGTTGCAGGGAGCCCAAAGCATCTGAGCTCCAACTGACTCTCTGACTTTGGACAGGTCACAAAACCTTCCTGTGCTTTAGGGATAATACTGGTACATGGCGTCAGGACATGGTGTGGAATGAAAAGAGAGGATGCATACAAAACACTTAATAGACTGCTTTTCAGGTAGTAAAACACTTAGGCACTGTTAGCTCTTACAACACCAGGCACCTGACCTGAGGGTGAAGGCAATGCTCAAGGTTGTGTAACTAGTAAGGACAAAGCCAGGACAGAAGTCCCACCTCCTCCAACCCAGGGTCTCTGCCTCTGACGAGGGACACCTGTCCCCAGCTGTCAGTGCTGACAAACCTTCCAGCCGTGCTAATCATGGCTGTCATTCTTACTTAAGTGCTTGAAGACTAGTTTTTAAGAAATTCCAGCCAGGTGCGGTGGCTCATGCCTGTAATCCCAGCACTTTGGGAGGCCGAGGCGGGCGGATCATGAGGTCAGGAGATCGAGACCAGCCTGGCTAACATGGTGAAACCGGGTCTCTACTAAAAATACAGAAAAATTAGCTGGGCGTGGTGGCAGATGCCTGTAGTCCCAGCTACTCGGGAGGCTGAGGCAGGAGCCTCAGGCGTGAACCCAGGAGGCGGAGCTTGCAGTGAGCTGAGATTGCACCACTGTACTCCAGCCTGGGCGACAGAGCGAGACTCTGTCTCAAAAAAAAAAAAAAAGAAATTCCTTCTTGAAATCCTGTTTATGCTATTAATTTATTTAGTGGCCAGGTGCAGTGGCGGCGGCTCATGCCTGTAATCCCAGCACTTTGGGAGGCCGAGGTGGGTGGATCACCTGAGGTCAGGAGTTCAAGGCCAGCCTGGCCAACATGGTGAAACCCCATCTCTACAAAAATACAAAAATTAGCTGGGCATGATGGCAGGTGCCTGTAATCTCAGCTACTTGGGAGGCTGAGGCAGGAGAATCACTTGAAGCCGGGAGGTGGAGGTTGCAGTGAGCTGAGATCGCACCATTGCATTCCAGCCTAGGTGGCAGAGCAAGACTCCATCTCAAAAAAAAAAAAAAAATTGTTACTAACTCATTTTTCTTAAAGAGCTGACAGTTAACTTCAGCCAAGTGCTACCCAGGGCTCATGATCTGAATCTGAGTGCTCAAAATCAAGTAGGTTTATGGTCCTGAGCATGTTAAAGCCAGCATGTTTAATAGGAGTTTAATAGGAGAGGAGTAGTAGAGATTCTGGTTCTGTTTGAGGCAGGAAGTTCACATGTAGGGCTGATATTGTCAGATTTTCTGATTTTCCAAAAGAAGCATGAAGTCCAGATTTTTTATGTGAAATATCTCACTTGATAAATCTTAACTAATTTATATTGTGTAAAAAAAGACCACAGGGACCAGATAAAACATGTTTGTAGGACACATTGCTCTGTGGCTACTAGTTAGTAACCCCTGAAAAAGCCTTAAGGTAGGATGAGGCAGGGCAGGGCAGCGTAGTTGTGGCACATGGTTTGTGTTCCCAGGGGCAACAAGAGTAATTCCATTTCAGTTTGGAGATCCTTGTCTAAAGCCAGTACATTTTGCTCAATTGATCATTATTTTTCTTTGGCTGAGTTAAGTAGCATTCTTCGCTCTTTCGCTAAAGGATCAATTCCTTGTCTCAGGAGCATTTGAAGCTTCTGGATGAGGATTAGAATGATTGAAATCTATCTGTGACCCTGTGGAGTGACTCCAGGCAAGTCTCAGATGCCTCTAACCCTCTCCATCCAAAATGCCCAATGCAGCTAGGTTTCTTTTAAGATCAGCAATGATTATTGTTTTTCTCTCTATGCAGAAACTTGCTTCAAGAAGGAGTCTCTACCTTTTAAGTGCCAGGCTAGGAGCCTCTTTATTGGACCACATTAGATCTTCCCTACAGCCCAATTTTGAATTATTATTTTTATTGCTTTCTTATTCTTTAACACTCAAAAATCTTTGGAAACATAAAAGCCTGTGATGTAGTTCATGTTGTGAGTTAAGGGAGGTACAAGAAGTGTGTCATTTCAGGTCCTCTGAGAAACACATGCCAAGATGGAATTAGGCAGAGCATAAATGCACGGGGGAGAATGTATGTGAAGGATATAGGGTGTGGGAGCAGGAGTGGTGAGGACAGCCCTCAGGCAGCAGTGCAGGCCTGGCACTTGCTGAAGGAGAGTGGAAAGGAAAGAGAGTTGGGTAGGAAGAATCTAGACTACAGCATAGCTCCAAGAAAGCCACAGCCAGGCTTATGGGAAGCCCAAGAACAGAGGAGTTGCCACTGGACAGGACTGGCCTGGCTGTAGTACATCTGTTGTGCCCAGGGAGGGGGAGGCCTCAGTGTGAAGGCTGCAGGGAGCCCAAAGGATCCATAGTGTAAGGCTGTCATCCTGCTACTCCTGGTAGCAGGTTCTCTCAAAGGGAGATCAAAGTGAGGTAGGAGGTGAGACTTTACTTTGAAGGCAGGGTTCAGATACTGGACCAAATTGGGGACTAACTAAAACAAGTCCAGGGCAGAAGCACCACCCCATAAGACACGCCCATCACTGTGCCCTGTCAGTTTACCATTACCATGGCAACACCCAGAAGTTCCCACCCCTTTCTGTGGCAATGACTTGACAACCTAGAAGTTACCACCTCTTTTCTAGAAATTTCTGCATAAACCACCCCTTAATTTGCATACAATTCAGAGCAGGCATAAAAATGAGTGCAGAACTTCCTCTGAGCTGTTACTCTGGGCCCACTGCCTATAGGGTAGCCCTGTTCTGCAAGGAGCAGTACCTCTGCTGCTCCTGTGCACTGGGCGCTTTCATCAAAGGCTGTTCAACACCATTGGCTTGCCCTTGAATTTTCTCCTCGGCAAAGCCAAGAACCTTCCTGGGCTAAGCCCCAATTTGGAGGTTCATCTGTCCTGCATCAAAAGGTGCTTTCTTGTGACCACCACAATCAGCAGGAAGGTTTTCGTGATTTCATAAATATGTGGTTATTTTTACTTATTTTTATACAATAAGAGGGAGGAGATTGTGGGGGTTCAAAGTTAGTCCTGGCTTTGTGGCTCCATCACTGTGCTGGCTGTGACCTTAGGCAAGGAGCTAAATTTCCTTATCCCTTTTGTTTATTTACTCGTTTATTTTTGTTTGTTTATTCGTTTGTTTTTTTAAGAGTCTTGCTTTGTCACCCAGGCTGGAGTGCGGTGGTGTGATCTCGACTCACTGGAACTTCTGCCTCCCAGGTTCAAGTGATTCTTGTGCCTCAGCCTCCCGAGTAGCTGGGATTACAGGCACCCATCACCACTCTTGTCTGTTAATTGAAAACAGTGAAAGTATCTCTCCCATGGAATTACTTTGAGAGTTTTGATAGAAGGTATGCAAAGTGCTTAGCACAGTGCCAGGTACCTAGCAAGTATTTTTACTTTGGAATATATTATAAGATGAGATCTAGGCTAACTATCCACTGATGATTACTTTGATTTTAGAGGGTCTTGTTTTTTGAAATGATATTGTTAAGGTGAGTCTGGTCAGTAGGCAAACTGAAATGCATGTATGGACAATGACCCCCAGCTCAGCCTGAGTCCCCCAGCAGCACTCTCCCACCAACCCTGTGAGGTAGGTTTTATTATGTTTAGTTTACAGATGAGCAAACTGAGGCCCAGAAAGATCTTGGTGATTTTGTGGAGCAAGTCATTCAGGAATGACCAGAGTATTGCATTGCATCCCCTTAGTTAATGATGGGCAGGTGACCCAGTAAGAACCAAGGAGATGTGGTGAGACTGCCCAGGGTAGCTGCGAAGATGTTGAGCTCTTTTACTAATGGTCTTGGACCAGGGAGAATGTGAGGCTGGTGATGCTGAAGCTGTCTTACCTGCACAAAGGTAAGCCTCTCTGAGAATGTGGCAGAGGCAGAAATATTTGGCCTTGAATGAGTGAATCTAATAGCCATCCAAACCCTTTCTCCTATAACTGCTCTTTTTTATTTTTTAATTTATTTTTGTTTTATTTTATTTTTAAAAAATGTTTGTGGGTATATAGTAGGTGTATATATTTATGGGGTAGATAAGATGTTTTGATACAGGCATGCAATGTGAAGTGAGCACATCATGGAGCTCTAACTACACCTGAGGAGATTGCTAGTTGTTTCAAAATACCCCTCTTCTTCATCATGTGACTAACAGAACTCCTCAAGTTTTAGCTGGGCACATGGCTACCCAAGTACTACATTTCCCAGCCACCCTTACAGCTGGTTGTGATCATGTGGTTATGTTCTGACCAATAGCATATGGGCAGAAGAGAAGTGATGAATGCAACTTATGCATTGCATCCTTAAAAGAAAGCTTCTTGCCCTTCTCTTATACCTTCTCCCTTCTTGGCTAGGATATGACAACGGAGTGACTGGTCAGACTGCAAGGAAGAGGCAGAACCCTTTCACAATCTTGGGTACGGTTTGTTCTTTGACTGTTATATGAGGCAAAACCAAACCAAACAAAAAACACTGCTTCTACTGCAGGGACCAAAAAAGCTTAAAAACGTACTTTCCCAGCCTCCTCTGTGGCTAAAGTGGCCTCATGGCACTGATGTATTCAATCAACTGGAAGCAGAGGTCAGCTGGGAACTTTGGGGATTGATTTACTTTTCTGGATAAAAAAAAAAAAAATCGGAAGTTAGCTAGCCTCTTCTTTCTGCCTTGAATGTCTAGAGCTGGACCTGTCCTCCTGTGACCCTGAAGACAGTAGAGCTGAAATGAAGAAGGAGGCTGGGTTCTTGATGACATTACTGAGCTGCTGCATAGTAACGTCATCTATGCCTATTCTGGGCTGCTTGTTGAATGAGAAAAATAAACCTCTCTCTGGACTTCTTATGTGAGAAAAACAAACCACACTTTGTTGAAGCCTCTGTTAGCTGAGTTTCATGTTATTGCAGCCCAAATGCCCAAATATCAGTGAAACTTAGTGGTGTGTCAGACAGCCCAGATGTTGATGATGTCATCTGGCCTTCTGAATACAACTGTGCCTGAGACTAAACCCAAGCCCCTGGACTTTTCAGCTATTAGAGAAAGAGTAAGTTCTCTTTCTGCTTAAGCAGTTTAGGCTGGATTTTCTGTGGCCTGGATGGAAAGACCCCTGATACAACTATGAACCAATAGCAACTAGATACATTCTGTTTTCACCTCCTCTTAGTCTCTCCCCTGATTTTACGGTTAAAAAAAAAAAAAAAAAAAGTAAAATTAGAGCAAGGAAAGAAAGAAGAAAGGAATAAAGAAGGAAGGATAAGATAAGAAACAATAGAAGACTTGAACTAAATTAAAAGAGGTTAGAGGCCAGGCACGGTGGCTCATGTCTGTAATCCCAGCACTTTGGGAGGTCGAGGCAGGTGAATCACGAGGTCGGGAGATCGAGACCATCCTGGCTAACACGGTGAAACCCCGTCTCTACTAAAAAAAAAAAAACAACACACAAAGAAATTAGCCGGGCATGGTGGTGGGCGCCTGTAGTCCCAGCTGCTCGGGAGGCTGAGGCAGGAGAATGGCATGAACCTGGGAGGTGGAGCTTGCAATGGGCCGAGATCACACCACTGCACTCCAGCCTGGGCAACAGAGCGAGACTCTGTCTCAAAAAAAAAACAACAACAACAACAACAAAAAAAAAAACAAAAGGTTAGAAGCTTTTACAGTTCCTTTGTTTGGAAACCTGGGTCCTAGTGTCCCTTGCGCAGGATGCTCGTTTCTGACTTTTGTGGCCTGCCCTTGACACCATTCGAGCATATGGATTTCAGTGGGTAGTGTGACTCAGCTTCCCATTCCCAAAACTCCAGAGCCACATTGCTGGGTCCCTTCACTCTGCTTTACTCTCCTCCCAAGACAGACGTAGCATGGGCCACGTGAATTCATCCATGTCCTGAACTAATCTGGTTGTTCTACCAGGTTACTCTTAAGTTCATGGGCCATCACCCCCTTGTACTTACTGAGCTCCAGGGTTTTCATCTCTTCTGAGAATCGACCGTTTAGTCCAATCTTAGTACAGACCAGCATTAATAGGCAATTACCACAGGGAGATAATACAGAGGGAAAAATGGCTAAAAATATACAGTGAATCACAGAAAATTACATCTCTTAAAACCTACAGTGTATTCCTATTGCCATAGCAACCCTTGGCTAGTAAAGACAGAGATGATTTATCACAGGCTTTCCCCGGAGCTCGGTTCTGCCGGAAGCACCTCCAGCCTGTGGTGAGTTCCAGCGAGGAGGGCAATGCAGACATCATACAACCGGGTTTTCTCTCCTCCATCCCTTCCAGTGGCATTTCTGCGGCAAGAAGACTTGAGTTCCTTCTATATAACCCAGGTCATCTCCCGGCCCCTTTTCTGAGATGAAAGTGGCTGTCTCTAACCTCTGACAACGCGGCGTCCTGCCGACACGATGTGAATGCCAGCGGCAGCAGTGCGCTGACTTCCAGGAGGGGGCAGTGGGGCTGGGGGACATGAGGAGGCTGTAGGTGCCAGACCGTCTGAACAAATGAGGAGAGGAGAGGAGTTCTTTCTCCTCCTGTTCCTTTTCCTCCCTACTTCTCTCTCACCTTCCCACTTCCCTGACTCTCCTCTCTACCCTGCTACTTCCTCAGTAGGTCTACTGTGAAATGGACTGGACATACATCAGGACCGGGAGAAGAGAGAGGAAGTCATGTCCTCACTTAGGAAATGAGTCTGGTCTTTAGGAAGATTATAAAATGTATGTAAATAAACATCTTGTTATTTCGTTGGAACTCTAAAATTCACTGGCATAGATGCTGTGCTTTCTCATAATGTTAAAAATTAGATTCTTGAATGCTGTTTAAACATTCATAATTTGGAGAAATAGCCTGGACCAGAGTTTTGGAGAATCCACCTTCAAAAATAACCCTAGCTGGGGGGCAGTAACATGCACCTGTAGTCCCAGCTAGTCAGGAGGCTGAGGTGGGAGGATTGCTTGAACCCAAGAGTTTGAGGCTGCAGTGAGCCATGATCACCTCTGTAAATAGCCACTCTGCACTCCAGCCTGTGCTATGTAGTAAAAGATACCCTGTTTCAATAAAAAAAAAAAAAAAAAGAAGAAGAAGAAGAAGAAGCTGGAAGGAGCTCCCATTCAAATCTTGGACAATCTGAACTTTTAAAAAATAATAATAATAATCAACTGGGCACGGTGGCTCATGCCTGTAATCCCAGCATTTTGGGAGGCCAAGGCGGGTGGATCACCTGAGGTCAGGAGTTCGAGACCAGCCTGGCCAACACGGTGAAACTCCATCTCTACTAAAAATACAAAAATTAGCTGGGCATGGTGGTGAGCACCTGTTTTCCCAGCTACTCGGGAGGCTGAGGCGGGAGAATTGCTTGAACCCAGGAAGCGGAGGCTGCAGTGAGCCGAGATCACACCACTGCACTCCAGTCTGGATGACAAAAGGGAGACTTCATCTAAAATAATAATAATAATAAATTGGATAAAATGTGAAAATCTAAGTCCATATTAATATAAGCAAATAAATAAATGGAGAAAAAGAAAAAGGCTTTCCTTAGAGTAAAATTACAACTAATATAGGTATAAGAAATGATAAAATTAGAAAATGACCATTTGGTAAACCTTAGAGTCATTAATGATTCAGGCAAGAATTATCAAGGGATGTTAAAACTAGTGGGTAAAAATTTGATGAGAAACAGTGTATTTACACAATCTCAAAGTAGATCCTCATAAAACACCTATTGATTTCAAAGAGAAAAATAATAACTTTACAGTAGAGAGGACTGATAATCCCCACCTGAATCAAATGATCAAAGTTAACATCGCAAGGGACAAATGGGACAGATTGATAGCATATATCTCCTGATGTATGTGTGCTGAAGGACATGATATCACCTCTGTGGTTTTCCTGCCAAAAAGGTACAACCGGAATCTAATTGTGAGGAAACATCAGACTAATTCAAAAGGAGGGACAGTCGATTAAATAAATGGCTTACATTCTTCAAAAATGTCAGTGTCATGAAAGACAAAGCTGAAGAACTATTCTAATTGAAGAAACCTAAAAAGACATGATATTGCTGGCCGGGCGCGGTGGCTCACGCCTGTAATCCCAGCACTTTGGGAGGCCGAGGTGGGCAGATTAAGAGGTCAGGAGATCGAGACATCCTGGCTAACACAGTGAAACCCCGTCTCTACTAAAAATACAAAAAAAAAAAAAAAAATTAGCGGGGCGTGGTGGCGGGCGCCTGTAGTCCCAGATACTCGGGAGACTGAGGCAGGAGAATGGCATGAACCCGGGAGGCAGAGCTTGAAGTGAGCCGAGATCGCGCCACTGCACTCCAGCCTGGGCGACAGAGTGAGACTCCGTCTCAAAAAAATAAAAAAAGGCCGGGCGCGGTGGCTCACACCTGTAATCCCAGCACTTTGGGAGGCCGAGGCGGGTGGCTTACGAGGTCAGGAGATCGAGACCATCCTGGCTAACACGGTGAAACCCCGTCTCTACTAAAAAAATACAAAAAATTAGCCGGGCTTAGTGGCGGGCGCCTGTAGTCCTAGCTACTTGGGAGGCTGAGGAAGGAGAATGGCGTGAACCCGGGAGGCGGAACTTGCAGCGAGCCAAGATCGCACCACTGCACTCCAGCCTGGGCGACAGAGCGAGACTCCGTCTCAAAAAAAAAAAGTCGTGACATTGTTAAGAGGTTGGATTGGATGTTGGATCAAAACATTTTTTTCTCTTTATAAAGAACATTATTTTGCTCTTATAAAGAACATTATTAGAATAACTGGTGAAATTTTACATCAGAAAGATGTATAGTTTAGATAATAGTGTTGTGTCAATATTAATTTCCCGAGTTAGATAATGTATTTGAGTTATGAAAGAGAATATTCATGTTTTTTAGGAAACATACACTCAAGTATTTAGGGATAAAGGGGGATCTTATCTGCACCTTACTCTCAAATGGTTCAGAAAACAGTCTACATAGGGAAGGAAAATCAGAAGCAGACAGGGTGAAAAGGACACAGGAATTGTCTGTACTCTTGTATTTTTCTGTGAAAAGTACTTTGTGCTTTTCTGTAAGTCTGAAATGGTTTCAAAAGAAAAAGTTCCCCATCTGCAGACTCAGAAATCCTTTTCAGTGAATTTTCTTCCCAGTCTTTTCTTTCCCTCCCTCTGATGGTATGCCTTAGTATTTCCGTCCTCACAGCTCCCTTTACAAAGCAGAATTCTGTCGAATGGGGGAGTGTGAGGAAGGGGTGTGTGTGAGTGTGTGTGGGGGGTGAGTGTGTGTGAATGTGTGAGGGTGTGTGGGGGGTGTGTGGATGTGAGAGTGTGTGTGTTATGTAAGAGTGAATTGTGAGTGTGATATGTGAGTGTAGGTTGTGTGTGTGTAAATGTGTGAGTGTGTGTGCTGAGTGTGTGGGGGTGTGATGGTATGTGAATGTGTGTGGGGTGTGTGTGTGAATTTGTGTGTGATGTGAGTTGTGAGAGTGTGTGTGAATTTGTGTGATGTCCGTGAGTTGTGTGTGATGTGTGAGTTGTATGTGATGTGTGCGTGTTGTGTGTGTGAATTGTGTGTGATTGTGTGTGAATTGTGTGAGTGTGTGATATGTGTGTGTGAAAGTCGTGAGTGTGTGTGTATGTATAGTGCAACTACTCCCTCAGGATGTCACAGAGGCAAACCATAAAGCCGGGATAAAGTCAGTTGTTACGATGCCGAATAAGGCCAGTGAATGAAGTCAGAAGCCCCTTGGTGGTTCTTTTCAGGTTTCTGTGGACAGGAGGGCGTGGTCTCGGCGGGATGCACTGACCCAGCTCAGAGAGCTGAGAGCATGTGAGAAACAAGACCGAGTTCCTAGTCTGCATGCTCGCCCGCTCTCACTGTCTCCCCCTCCCCTGCTCTCTTTCTCACACACTCCTCTCTCTTTCCTCTTCTGTCCGAGAGTGCCTTTGAATACTCTGGAACCAGGTGAAGGGGCCATTTTCTCTCTGGGACAGACATCTCTCCACAGCAGGGGGACGTTCTTCCCTGGGGCCAGAGAGCAAGGTTCAGTATGCAGAGCCCGCTAACTTTGGGTTCAGACCTTGGCAGGGTGGGGTGAGGGCAGCCTTGTGAGGTCTAATGCCTCCTCCCCCTACATTTGGTCTGGCTTGTTTAGAACCTCGTATCCAGGTCCAAGAACCTGGATACAAGTCCCAAAGCACTTACCCTAATGCCTGCACAATGGTCATGGCATGAAAAGACTCCAAAGGCAGGTTTGCCAGATGCTGCATTAAAATTCATTCCCCTACTTTCTCTAACAGCCATTCGCTTTAATTCACTCATCTCACTATCATGAGCTGCAGCGAAGCAGAAAGTGGTTCTGCTATTTTTAAATGATCCCAATGGAATGAAATAATGTCTTGATTCCTTCCCAGTGGTCTAGGGACAATCAAAGTGAAGACTAGGGGATGGGCAAGGTAGAACTCACCCTCTCTTGGAAGTGGGCATCTATCTGTCTGACTCTTAGCTTTTTAGAGCACTGGCTTTTGCTTGGAGGGAAACATAGAGAAGAAAAAAGATAGAGTCATTTTCAGTTCTGAAAAGATATTTGTCTCAATCCACCAACATCAACCAGATATGAGTTATATAAATCAAATAGGCACAGAGCTTCAGGCTAGCCTGTGACAAAGAAAATTTAAATATTTAAGAGCCAGTCATGAAGGTACCAGGAAAGGGAGATAAAAAATAAATAATTAAAATTAAAGAAAGAGCTGGTCAACCCTTATCTGATCAGCTTGGAGTTCATTTTCACTCCAAGACACTAAGTCTAAGCCCTTTTATTTTTTACATTTTATTTATTTATTTAGCGACCAAGTCTTGCTCTGTTGTCCAGGCTGGAGTGCAGTGGCGTGATCACGGCTTATTGCAGCTTTGACCTCCTGGGCTCAAGTGATCCTCCCCGCTCAGCCTCCCAAGTAGTTAAGACTATAGGTGCACACCACCACACCTGGCTAATATTTATTTATTTATTTATTTTGTAGAGATGGAGTCTCACTATGTTGCCCAGGCCAGTCTCGAACTCCTGGCCTCAAGTGATCCTCCCATCTTGGCCTCCCAAAGTGCTGGGATTACAGATGAGCCACGGAGATTGGCTAAGCCCTTCTAAAAGCCATACGCTGTTCATTCCTGTGGAGAAGGTGGACCCCATGGCTGGGGCCAAGGTTGTGTATTGATTACAGAGGATCCAACTTTCTGCTCCTCATGTGGCCCATTTGCCCACATATTAACCTCCAAATGGCTTTCCTCCAGGGATGCTATGTACAAAATAGCAGCATCTTTTGGCAATCAAGTGGGAATCAGTCAACTAATAACTAGATATTAAATGTAGACCATACTCAGTGCTTGGATAACCCTGTAAAAAATAAAAGTAGCTCTGGCCAGGTGGGGTGGCTCACGCCTGTAATCCCAGCACTTTGGGAGGCTGAGGCAGGCGGATCATGAGGTCAGGAGATCGAGAGCATCCTGGCTAACATGGTGAAACACCGTCTCTACTAAAAATACAAAAAATTAGCTGGGCATGGTGGCGGGCGCCTGTAGTCTCAGCTACTCGGGAGGCTGAGGCAGGAGAATGGCGTGAACCTGGGGGCAGAGCTTGCAGTGAGCCGAGAGCATGCCACTGCACTCCAGCCTGGGCGAGAGAGCCAGACTCCGTCTCAAAAAAAAAAAAAGAAAAAAAAAAAGTAGCTCTAAGATGGAAGTGTGTATGATGAAGAAACTCCCTGCATCATCACAGTAACTGAAACGGGGATAGCCAAGAAGGGCTCCTTCATCTGGGCTGATTCACTCAGACTTCTAGGGCCTAATGCTGTTGGAGGGATTTTAGTGTTTTTTTTCAAGGTTTCCATGTGGCAAGATAGCATTAACTCTTAGATGGAAAATGCACCGTTTTCATAGGGCAACATATACCTTATTTTCTTTTGCCATCTGAGGAAGCACATTAACAGTTTCAGAGCCAATATTTATAATTTTAGCAGAAATGTTCTCACAAAGATCTCAAAACTCCTATAACAGACTTGTGAAAGAATTACTATATTTAAGGAGTGGGAAGTCTATAAGAAGCTCCATGGCAGAGGGAGGAGTTGAGCTGAGATGTCCAAGACCCAGAGCCTTTCTCCAGTATTGTGGGTGGTGGCTGTGAGTTGGGATGGGTATCACTGTTGTCTTGTAGGGGTGAGTTTTGCCAGGGATTCTATTTTCCACATACCATCTCGGCAATGGTTTATTTTGGTGTATGCTCAGAACTTGGGCAAAATTATTGACTATAAATGGGCTTAAATCTCTCTTCTAGTCGATTGAGTGCATACTTAGGACATAGTATTTTATGACACCATTATATTCTATGTATCTTGATTATAGGAGAACGCTATAATCCTATTGTATTCATCATATTCACTGTAGTGAGTTAAAGAAGGTTTAAAATTCTTTGCCTCTCTTACTATCAAGAAGTGTGGTCTATTTTCTATTTCTTTGAAACAGACCAACTCTGACACTGGTTTTGACAAATAGAATACACTGGAGGCCAAACACAGTGGCTCACATCTGTAATCCCAGCACTTTGGGAGGCCAAGGCAGGTGGATCACTTGAGCCTAGGAGTTTGAGACCAGCCTGGCCAAAGTGGCAAAACCTTGTCTCTACAAAGAAATTTAAAAAATTAACTGGGTATGGTGGCACATGCCTATAATCCCAGCTACTTGGGAAGCTGAGGCAGGAGGATTGCTTGAGCTCAGGAGGTTGAGGCTGCAGTAACACTGTATAACTTCTAAGGCTGGGCCCTAAGATATCCGTAGCTTCCAATTTTGTCCCATTTGGGAGCAGTTGCCATATAAGAAATCTGGTTACCTTGAAACTTCTATATCATGAGAAAGCTCAACCTTACCACGTGGAGAGAGGGACCAAGTGGAGAAGTGCTGAGGTGCCAGACACGTAAGTGAAATTTTCTTAGACCTTTCTGTCTAGCCACTAGGTAAATGAAGCCTAGTAAATGACCTCAGCCAGTGGCATGAGGAACAGAATAACCACCCAACAAAGCTCTGTCCAAATTGCTGACTCAGAGAAACATAAGCAAATATGATGATTGGTTTAAGCCAGTACGTTTTGGGGCAATTTGTTAACTAGTATAACAGAAACATATCGAATCAAAGTTGATGGAATTAGTGACCCACACACCCACCCCCATTACACAGCAACAACAGGATCCAGATGGATAAAGCTTCTTTATAGTCATTCAAATAGCAAAAACCTTACTGAGCTGAGAGCAGAGCCCAGAAAAATCCCCAAATTCCAGGTGTGGTCTACATGATATTAAATGGAGATATTTTTCTGAAAGCAACTATTTTCCCTCATACCGCTTTTCTGTAGTATGTTGCATTTTTCTTTTTTATTTATTTAATTTTTTGTTTTGTTTTGAGATAGGGTCCCACTCTGTGCCACAGGCTGGAATGCAGTGGCGTAATCTGGGCTCACTGCAGCCTCAACCTCCTGGGCTCGAGCCATCCTCTGTGTCAGCCTCCCTAGTAGCTGGAACCACAGATGTGTGCCACCATGCCTGGTGAATTTTTCTATTTTTTGTAGAGACAAGGTTTTGCCATGTTGCCCAGGATGGTCTCAAACTCCTGGGCTCGAGTGATCTACCCACCTCTGCCTCCCAAAGTGCTAGGATTACAGGCGTGAGCCACCTCACCTGGTAGCTGTGTCTTTCCCACACTGGCCATTATACCTCCCTACTGTAACCCCATTCATTTATTTTATTTTTAAAACAGTCCACAGAATATCATAATAGTAACATGTGTAAACAATGTAGCTACCCGATAGTAGAAAAAAGGATAAATAATTTATAGTACATCCACTAAAAAAATCACCAACTTGAATCTCTTAAATTTAATGCTACAGAAGGGTATCTATGGGCATTGAGAGATATTCTTCTCAGGGAACCTGCCCCGATAGTCACTTAGGTTCTTTTCTATTTTCCCTAAGCGTCGGCCGGCTTGAGAAATAAAGGGACAGAGTACAAAAGAGAGAAATTTTAAAGCTGGGCATCCGGGGGAGACATCACATGTCGGTAGTTTCCGTGATGCCCCACAAGCCACAAAAACCAGCAAGTTTTTATTAGGGATTTTCAAAAGGAGAGGGAGTGTGCGAATAGGTGTGGGTCACAGACATCAAGTACTTCACAAGGTAATAGAATATCACAAGGCAAATGGAGGCAGGGCAAGATCACAGGACCACAGGACGGGGCAAAATTAAAATTGCTAATGAAGCTTCGGGCACCACTGTCATTGATAACATCTTATCAGGGGACAGGGTTTTGAGAGCAACCGGTCTGACTAAAATTTATTAGGTGGGAATTTCTTCTTCCTAATAAGCCTGGGAGCGCTGTGGGAGACTGGGGTCTATTTCACCCCTACAGCCTTGACCATAGAAGACGGGCACACCTAGGGGGGCTGTCTATAGGCCTATACCCCCAGGTGCGTATTCTCTTTCCCAGGGATGTTCCTTGCTGAGAAAAAGAATTCAGTGATATTTCTCCCATTTGCTTTTGAAAGAAGAGAAATATGGCTCTGTTCCGCCCGGCTCACCAGCGGTCAGAGTTTAAGTTTATCTCTCTTATTCCCTGAACAGTTGCTGTTATCCTGCTCTTTTTTCAAGGTGCCCAGATTTCATATTGTTTAAACACACATGCTCTACAATTTGTGCAGTTAATGCGATTATCACATGGTCCTGAGGCAATATACATCTTCCTCAGCTGACAGGATTCAGAGATTAAAGTAAAGACAGGCATAGGAAATCACAAGGGTATTGATTGGGGAAGTGATAAGTGTCCATGAAATCTTCACAATTTATGTTTAGAGACTGCAGTAAAAACAGGCATAAGAAATTATAAAAGTATTAACTTGGGGAACTAATAAATGTCCATGAAATCTTCACAATCCATGTTCTTCTGCCATGGTGTCAGCCGGTCCCTCTGTTTGGGGTCCCTGACTTCCCACAACATATTTCCAATATATGTCATGGAACAGTGTTATCCCACTTTTAAAAGTCTTATATACAGTATTCGTATATGCCTAGAAGAGGATATGATTTGTAATAAGGTAGAGAAGAATATGGGGACTCTGCATGCTCTTATTTGAGTTTCCTGAAATAAGCATGTCATAACATGCTTTTGTAATATGAAATGGTGAGAAAAGTGCTATTTAGGAGGTAGAAGTAGTGATGGAATGGAGGAAGTCTTCTCCAGGGAAGGGGAATGAGGCTGAAGCGCTGTGACTCAGAGAGAAACACCTGTGGTGTCCGGAGTTCCCCATTTGCTATTTGCCCTCCTGTGCACGGAATCTGTGACAGGCAGCCTGCCAACGACATGACCTCTGTTAATGACAGCTGAAGTCTGGGCTCGTGTAGATTCTTAAGCAGAATAGGAATCAGAGTCAGAACTGTGGTTATTAGATGAGTGGCCTTGTCAGAACTTTATCACCAAGTAGTATTTATTAAGCACTCTCTTGCTTTAATGAGTCAGGAAATAGGGTTCTCGTTCCCTTTATCATTCACAGTTGTGTTTCTCAGCAAGTGCAGGGCTCCCTTCCTAAAATGGCCCAGGACCCTTTCTCCTGAAGCCATATTACTAGGCAGAATGTTCCAGGGATGCAAAGTGTTGAGTCAACTACAGAGTATTAACTGAATGTCTCATTGCTCTCTGGGACTTTTTATTCTGGCTCTCACTTCTTCTCCCTACCTCCTACCAGAAAATACAATAGTCAAATCTGTGTACAGTGAAAATCTGTTGTCCAGTATCTCCTTTTCCCTTCCGTTGGAAACATCACTTTGCTTTCCTTTTGGGGAACCACCTCTCCTCGTTCTGTTCATGTGGTTACAGCTGGAATGAGCTGGAATGATTCATCACCTGGCTCCAGACAGTGGGCATGTGACTCAGGCTTGGCCAACTGGCATATTCCAATCTCCTGGCCTTGGGAGAAAGGGCCACAGACAGGCACATGACCCAAGTCAGGCCATGGAGACTCATTTCTGGGACTCTTGCTGGAGCTGTCGAGAGAATGGTGGACTGTTTCTATCTGGATTGCTAAACTGGTAGTTTGCAAGCCCAGAGCTGCTTGTGGCCATCTTTGCCACTTCATAGGTTAAGCCTGCTTCATAGGTTAAAGTCTGAGCAGGCTTAACCTATGACATGGCAAAGATGGGGGCAGGGAAGCACAAAGAGATGCCTTCTAAGGATTTGGTGTCTTCAGAAGGACACAAAGGAAATACAAAGGAAAGCAGAGCTGAGAGAAAGAGAGAATCAGATTTTTAAATGTCTTTTTTTTTTTTTTGAGCCGGAGTCTCCCTCTGTCGCCCAGGCTGGAGTGCAGTGGTGTGATCTTGGCTCACTGCAAGCTCTGCCTCCTGGGTTCACGCCATTCTCCTGCCTCAGCCTCCCGAGTAGCTGGGACTACAGGCGCGTGCCACCATGCCTGGCTAATTTTATTATTTTTAGTAGAGACGGGGTTTCACCATGTTAGCCAGGATGGTCTCAACCTCCTGACCTCGTGATCCGCCTGCCTCAGCCTCCCAGAGTGCTGGGATTACAGGTGTGAGCCACCGTGCCTGGCCTAAATGTCATCTTTTGAGAACCTGGCTCCAGCCACTCCAGAATTTACTCCTGGATCGTTTAGTTGCATGAGCTAAGAAAATCCATTTTCCCCCCTCTTAAGACAGTTTGAGTTGGATTTCTCTCACAGAAAGGTAGGAGAAGGTGGGACTTGAGTGAAGCCTGTAAGGTTGGGTTTTACTTTTGCTTTATAATGACTTTACAGCTTTTGGAGAAAATTCACCCATAGTCACATTTGAGCCTCACCACAACCTTACAAAGTCAGCAGAGTCTCTATTATCATCTCCATCTTGCAGAAGAGGAAACTGAAGCTCAGAGAAGTTAGATGATGTGTGCAGAGCTGGGGATCAATGGAGCTGGGGCACAAATCCAAGCTCTTTCCACTACACAGAGAAGCTGCTGGAGCTAAATCAGATTTGAGTCAGCACAGAGAAGGCAGAGTGGGATTTTGGGAACATATGCCTCAGTGACAGAGACTATTTCTGCTCTTTTCGCAAGATCACCTAATATAGCGCACTAAATGCACAATAACACAACAATAACTAATATCTACTGTTTGTCTGTGCCCAGCATTGGGTTAAGTAAACACTTTAATGGATTACCCATCTCCTTTCGCTTTTCCCAATATTCATACAAGGAAGGCATTATTATTGTCGCTACCATTTAACGAAGTAAGATGAAATAACTAAAATGCAGAAAAATGAAGCCACTTGCCCTAAGTGACACAATGAGTAAGTGGCTCAGGGGGGATTGGAATCCAGATCTGACCCCAGAGAATTCCCCTCGGCTGTCTTTATCACCAGGCTGTAGCCATGGTAAATGGGATTGTTCTCTTCTTTTTCAGTTTATTGTTAGTGCAGGTCTAACAATAAAATGAATAATAAACAGAAACACTATTGACTTTTGTGTGTCGATTTTGTATCATGTGACTTTACTGTATTCGTGTATTGTAACAGTTTTGGGGTAGAATCGTTAGGGTTTTCTATATATAAGATCATGTCATCAGCAAACAGTAACAATTTAGCTTCTTCCTTTCTAAATGATTTAGTGTCTTTTATTTATTTTTTTCTTGCCTAATTGCTTTGGCAAGGACTTCTAATACTAAGCAGTGAAGGTGTTCAGGAAATGCCACCCCAAAATATGCCTCTGTGGTGCACTGGTGGCTTTGCACTGAGGGCACTTAGGAAACAGCAGATGCTTTCTCTGAGCCCCCTTATCTGCCTAAAGATGAATCCTCTAAAAGGAACTCAATTTGTTATGAATCCCCTCCCTAGAAATCTTATCAATCAGGGAAGATTAACTTGGTTCACAGGAGGTGAGACTGGAGGTTAACACCAACCCAGAGATTGTTACCTCTTCTTCTGAGGGCTGCTCCAGACAATTTTTATTAGCTGAGACTGTTTATCTGGATAAGGCAGCCTTTCTTCACCACAAATTTCCTCCCTTTGCTCTATCGTAATTTGTGTCCCCCGCCTCCCCTGAGAAGCTGGAGCTCCTATTCCTTTCTGTAGCTTAGGATGCTATATAGACTTCAATCGTCTGACCCTTCTTCAAGTCTCTTATTCTGTGGGACACCTTTGCATATGCCCATCATTAAATATGGTTTTTCTCCTGTCAATCTGTCTTATGTCCCTTTAATTTGTAGCCTAGCCAAGGAACTTAGAAGGGTGGAGGTTTTTCACTCCCCTACAGTTGAATAGAAGTGACAAGAGTGCACATCTTTGTCTTGTTCCAGATCTTACAGGAAAGGCTTTCAATTTTTCACTGTTGAGTATAATGATAGCTATGGGTTTAATGTATATTGTGTTGAGGTTCATTCCTTCTATACCTAATTTGTTGAGAGTTTTCATCATGAAAGGATGTTGAATTTTGTCAAATATGTTTTCCACACCTATTGAGATGATCAAATGGTTTTTATCCTTCATTCTGTTAATGCGATATATCACATTTATTGATTTGCATATGTTGAACTATCTTGCATCCCAGGGATAAATCCCACTGATCATGGTGAGTGATTCTTTTAATGTGTGGTTGAATTTGGTTTGCTAGTGTTTGTGTGTGTGTGTGTGTGTGTGTGTTTTGTTTTTGTTTTGTTTTTTGAGACGGAGTCTCGCTTTTTGGCCTAGGCTGGAGTGCAGTGGCATGATCTCAGCTCACTGCAACCTCTGCCTCCCGGGTTTGTGCGATTCTCCTGCCTCAGCATCTCGAGTAGCTGGGATTACAGGTGCCCGCCACCACACCCAGCTAATTTTTTTATTTTTGGTAGAGACGGGATTTTGCCATGTTGGCCTGGCTGGTCTCAAACTCCTGACCTCAAGTGATCCACCTGCCTCAACCTCCCAAAGTGCTGAGATTACAGGTATGAGGCACCATGCCTAGCTGCTAGTGTTCTGTTAAGGGTTTTTGCATCTATATTCATTAAGGATATTGGCCTGTAATTTTCTTGTTATGTCCTTGTCTGGCTTTGATATCAGGGTAATGCTGGCCTCATAAAAAGAGCTTGGAAGTATTTCCTCCTCTTCTAGTTTTTTTGGAAGAGTTTGTGAACTGCACCTTAGCAATAAATATATTGACACTGTCAACAACTCTTGGTTGGCCTTTTGGTCTTTCAGTTGGGGCTGGGAAGATGTGGTTCTAGATTTTTCTTTTTTAATGATACTTCTCCCCTCCTGATTAAGGGTCATGTGTCTCTAAAACTCCACAACGGACACAGTCCCTTCAGGTGCTCCGCCTTCTCAAGCTGGCTCTCCCTAACTGGCCTAGACAGCAGCAAAGTCCCCAGATATTTCCACGTGACTCATGCAACCCCCTTGCTTCCAATGTTTTGCCTCCTGCTGGTGCTCAGAAGCTCAGAGTGGTATTAAAGGGGCAACAGGAAAGTAAAGTCCCAGCAAGAGTGAGAGCCCAAATCCTCAGGAGGTGTCCCTCTGTGGTTCCCTGCCCCCACCCCACTTGCTCCATCTACCCACTGTAGGGAAGCAACTCCAGCTCCTAATGTATTTATTTTATGAAGTGCTGCCCTTGGTGTTAAAATCACCTCAGGGCACAGAGCACACAATTTTAAAACAATTAAAAGATACAAGGCAGAGGCTTGGCAATGACGGGCACTTTTTAAAAATCAGCAATAAAATGCCAGTTTGAGGCTCACCCCAGGGCTCTGAAGATTCTCCAAGAGGGCTCTGTCGATGGGAGGGGCAGGGAGTGAGTTTCCTACAGCCTCTGCCTGAGCTGTTTGCTCACGAAGCTGCCTCTCTACTCACTTTCCTTCACACTCTCCTGTCTGAGTTTTTATGACTCAGCTTGAGGCCAGAATCAACTCATTTATTTTCTTCCTGTACCTGGCTCTTGGGGCTGGTGGGGGTCCGTGGTGTCTGGCAAGGGCAGAGTGGCAGGCCTGCTTTAAGAGCCTGGCGTGGGGGACCAGCATGGCAGCTAGTGCGTCACTGCCTGGGCCTTGCCAGTAGTTAAAAACCAAATAATAATATTGATAATCACAATAATAATAATAATATGGTGAGAGCTAATCTTGACTGAGGCTTCTGTTCTGTGAGGTGGGTATCTTGGCTCATCATTAAGGGTTCTTCAGCTTTTAAAGATGTGTGGTTAGAATCAGAGGGGAAGATACAAGTCCAAAGCAACCATGTTAACCAGATTGGAAGAGAATTTGGGAAAAGAAAAGTACCATGTTGAAGTCATTTTAGCTTGAAGGAAGGTCAAGGCACAGCTGGGGCTCCAGCCACTGGTAACAGAGATACTGCTCATGGCAGATAGGTTTACCTAAAGCACGAGCAATGAACTAAAGCTGGAATGATCCCAGCTATAATTCCCAGCTTCAGTGCCTGCATGACACTTTACTTCCCTGGACTTTATTTATTTATTTTTGAGACAGGGTCTTACTCTGTCACCCAGGTTACAGGGCAGTGGCATGATAATAGCTCACTGCAGCCTCGACCTATCAGGTTCAGGCGGTCCTCTCACCTCAGCCTCCTGAGTAGCTGGCACTATAGGCAGGTGCCACCATGCCAGGCTAAGTTTTAAGTTATTTGTAGAGATGGGAGTCTCACTGTGTTGCCCAGGCTGTTCTCAAACTCCTGAGCTCTAGCAATGCTCCTGCCTCAACCTCCCAAAGCACTGGGATTGCAGGTGTGAACCACCATGCCAGCTAGTTCCCTGGAGTTTAGTTTTCCCTACTGGTAAACAAAGGGACTGGTCTAGATAATCCCTTTATAAATGAATTTCTAATTCTCAGAACTCAAACAGTCATTGCCAAATATTTATTGACCATCTTCTTTCTGCCAGGCACCTGGAGGGATCTCTCAGGAGAAGAAACATTCTCTAATCACTCAGTATCACACAGGTTTCTCTCCAGAGACCTCAGCCCAGCACCTCTGCAAGGGGAGAGAGGAGAGGCGTCCTTCAGCTCATTTATGCCTGTATTGATCGCTGCTGCCTCACCCTCGATGTCGGTGGTTACCATCCAGTACCTGTTCGATCTGATTCCCATGCAACCATGTTCTGGAATTCCCTGAGCACTACTCCACCTGAAGAGCAGCCCCTGTCTCTCTCTGGACAGTAATGAGGTTTCCTTTGCAGTCTCACACTGGCTTACTATCCTTCATCCCGCCAAGCATCCCCCTGACTACATTCATTTCTCTCTATGCCCGGGTTTATTCAGCTGTGTTCTCCTCTGCTCTGTGGGCGACAGGAGACTGTCACAGCCCAGTTGGAATTCACTTTATCTTTCCCTCTGCCCTATACGCTGAGCAAACATGTGCAGTTGGCATTTCAGCAGTGGAAATTCTCTGACCCCCTTTGCTGTTGCCTAAAACAGAAACCTCAGTGGCTTTGCAGGAAATATTCCACAGTCTCCTGCAACCTAAATTTGATAGCTATTTGTTGAATATACATGATATGCCTCTTGCTGTTGTGCCCTCAAGAGGCTTATGAAGCTGTTGGTGAAATAAAACAGACACATGTGAAACAATTTGAAAACAGCAAAGCACGGTATACCATCAGTATTATCATTAGGTGCCAAAATGCGTGATACTAAAATACCATCATTAACACTAGTCATAGAGCTGACACACACTGAGTACCCAGGCACATCTCATTTCAACCTCATGACAAGCCCATGAGGTGGGCATTATTGTCCCCATTTTATGCATCAACAAACTGAGTCACAGAGAATTTAATTAGCCTAAGGTCTCTTGGCTGGTAAGACAACCCAGCTCTGTTCAACTCCAAAGTGTGTGCATTCTCAGTTCTACTCTATGCTCAACCACTGCCCTGCTTAGCTCCATAAAGGTGGAGTCTAGGTGTTTTGCTTGTGGCTGTGTTCCAGAGCCATTTTCCCAGTGCTTAGCAAAGGAAGGGCTCAATTTATATATATGTGTGTATGTACATATATACATATTTGCATGCTGCACCTCTTATATACAGAAAGATCTATAGGAAAAGCCAGACCAGCTAGATCAAGTGGTCTGCTTTCTCGAGTCAGATGTGGGACAAATGTTGAGGGGTTTGGAGGATTATGAAGTCCAAGTTTGGCCATCCCAGTAGTTGGTGGTGATGGTGTAGGGTTTGCGTTTGATCATGAAGAGTGGAGAAAGAGAAAAGGAAACTAACACATACAGAAACACACATACACATACGCATGAAACAACAACAACAAAGCAAACCCCACATACCCCAACACTGCTCCTCTTTTTGAGGTTCTAAATCCAGTTCTTCCCCCTGGCCTCTTCCTGCCCTGCACATAGCTCACCTGCCTTGGTGGGACCTGCCTGCTTTTATGCTGCTTAAGTCTGAATCACAAAACTGTGAGCCCCTGGAGAGCGGGGCAGGCTTAATCCTATTTTTTTTAATCCCCTGAGATGGGTTAGTCCTTTGCAGGCTATATTTGTTAAAATGAATTGAAATCAGGAGTGTAAGACTTTTTTTTTGAAGGCTTTGTTTCTTTTTCTTGTCTGATGCTTTTTGGGAAGTAGCAATGCTGTAGAAAGGAAGAACAGTAGAGACACTCCTCGATAGTTACAAGGGGAGATGAAGCCTTGGGTCTGATCTGTCCCACATTAGATTCCCATTTGTAGAAGAAAAAAAGAGAAAGGAATGAAGCTACATCTCCCTCATCAAGTTAGCCTGGGGGGTCTGCCGCAAAGAGGATTGAAGGGGAAATGTTCAATTTTACCGCTTTGTTCTGCTGGGTTCTTCTCCCCAGGACACTGTTTAGTGCACTGAGTGAAGTAGAAAATGAAGAGCAGGTGAGCAATCAGCTGTGAAAAGCTTTAATGGGCCCGGCACCCCTTTGGGAATGAGGCTCGGCTCTTGCTAGTGCTGGGGAACAACATCTCTTTCAGTTCAGTAGGCTTTGTTTTTGTAATGGGAATTTAACTCCCTCAGGTGGTCCCGGGATGGAGGAATATTACTGTGCTCAGCAGCAGTGGCGCTGCAGCATCTTCTAAAGGGAACCAAGGCCACTGTCCCCAAAGGGGCCTCCTGGCTCACTGGGAGGCCTTTGGAAATCTCAGACTTCCTGGGTGGGGAGGAGAGGAGGAGATCATGTGACCCCGTGAACAGCATGATGCTGTGATTACCTGGGGCTTCCTAGCAAGGGCACTGGGACAGGTCCTGGAGCGAAGGGGACTGAGAGCTGCAATGGATTCAGACCCAAAGGGGTTGGAACCACCACAGTTCTTGTGGGAGTGAGGAAGTGGCCCAGCCTCTTTTAAGCTCCCTGGGGTGTCCTATAAAGCATAAGGCCTCGGCCAGGCGTGGTGGCTCACGCCTGTAATCCCAGCACTTTGGGAGGCCGAGGCGGGCGGATCACGAGGTCAGGAGATCGAGACCATCCTGGCTAACAAGGTGAAACCCTGTCTTTACTAAAAATACAGAAAGTTAGCTGGGTGTGGTAGCGGGCGCCTGTAGTCCCAGCTACTCGGGAGGCTGAGGCAGGAGAATGGCGTGAACCCGGGAGGCGGAGCTTACAGTGAGCCGAGATCATGCCACTGTACTCCAGCCTGGGCGACAGACCGAGATTCTGTCTTAAAAAAAAAAAAAAAAAAAAAGAATAAGGCCTCAGATTTGGCTGAGGGGGTGGGAAGGGATGTCTATCTGATAACACCGATGAGAAGAAGTAAGAAGCAGGTATCTGTGCTTATGCTATACCAGACCCTGTGCCGAATACTTTATTATGGTATGAGAGCTAACTTTCACTCCCTAACACAAAAATTTAGTCTCTGTCCAATTAGTTTCTTCCTCTCTCTTGCCCTCTAAGGGTTTTCCTGGCTACTGTGCTTTTTAAAAAGGCGTAGCATCAGGGGAATGGATAGCAGAAGGCGGGGGAAGCAGAAGCCTTCTTACTGGGGCAGCTCCGAAGGTCTCCTCTATTATGGAGAACGCTGATAGTGAGCAAAGTGTAGCTAAAAATTTAAAAATGAAGTGAGAGAAACTTAGTGAGCTAAGTTGATGTACATAACAAATATGGGATGGGGAGGAGTGAAAAGCAGAACAAAAATTTGTGGATCCGGCATTGGGTAGGGTTGCCAGATAAAATGTGGGACACCAGTGAAATTTGAAGTTCAGATAAACAACAAAGGATGGTTTAGTATAATCATGTAGTTTTTAGTGTAAGTATGTCCCAAATATTGCATGGGACATATTTATACTAAAAAATAATATTCATTATGTAACTGAAATTTAAATGTATTTATTTTTATTATTATTTTTTCTGAGCTGGAGTCTTGCTCTGTCACCCAGACTGGAGTGCAATGGCACGATCTCGGCTCACTGCAACCTCCACCTCCCGGGTTCAAACAATTCTCCTGCCTCAGCCTCCCAAGTAGCTGGGATTTCAGGTGCCTGCCACAGCGCCCAGCTAATTTTTGTATTTTTAGTAGAGACGGGGTTTCACCATGTTGGCCAGGCTGGCCTCGAACTCCTGACCTCGTAATCTGCCCGCCTCGGCTTCCCAAAGTGCTGGGATTACAGGTGTGAGCCACTGTGCCCAGCTGAAATTTAAATTTAATGGGGGCATACTTTTTTGTTGTTTGGTTTATTTTATTTTGGTTTTGCTAAATCTGTCAAGTCTAGTGGTGAGGAGAGTTTTCTAGAGTTGAGATTCTGGAGCAGATGGTAGGTAGAAGTAGGGGAATTGGGCAGAAGAAGAGAGATTTTAAGAAATGTTGCTGTGGATTGTACATTGGATCCCCTTTTTATGTTATTTGAGTGACACTAGTACTCTTAGAAAACTTTATAAATTATGTTTGGTTTTAGAACTGTCCTCTAATGTAACTCTGTGCAGAGAGTGGGTGATGTGAGATCCTGGCTTATGTCTGGTTTACGTTATCTCACATAATCCTTACAATTATACACGGTAGGTGGCATTATTCTTGCCTTACAAATGAGGAAATTGAGGTTCAGAGAGGTTACATAACTTGCTCAGGGTCACACAGTGGAGCTGGATTCCAAATGTAAGTTCATTTGACCTCGTGTTCTGCAGCCAAAAGAGCCCACTTCAAACCGAATTTCTACTTCCCAACTAAATGCCACTGGGATATACATTTTTAAAAGTACTTGAGGCCGGGCTTGGTGGCTCACGCCTGTAATCCCAGCACTTTGGGAGGCCAAGGCAAGCAGATCACCTAAGGTCAGGAGTTGGAGAACAGCCTGGCCAACATGGTGAAACCCCATCTCGGCTAAAAATACAAAAATTAGCCGGGTGTGGTGGTGGACGCCTGTAATTCCAGCTACTAGGGAGGCTGAGGTAGGAGAATGACTTGAATCTGAGAGGCAGAGGTTGCAGTAAGCCGAGATCACACCATTGCACACCAGCCTGGGCAACAGAGTGAGACTCCGTCTCAAAAAAAAAAAAAAAAGTACTTGAATATAACATGATTAATGCACCTAGAATAGACTCCTTGATTTTTAGTATTCCCTTTTCAGTTGAAGAAACAGATTTCTCGAGAAGATAAGGGTCACACAGGTAGGAAGGTAGTGGAGAGCCAAGACTAGAACCCAGACCCATGCGAGGAAAAATAGGGATGGAAAGCTCCAGGGGAAAGCTGCAAAAACTGGTCAAGCTGACTGCCCCTTTATTGTCAGTCTCTTCCTTCCTCAAATTCACCTCCCTACCCTCTTCCACGTCCCTCTCTTTCCAAGCATTGGGCCATGTTCCATTTCCACGTGTTCCTCCCCTGAGCCAGCTGTCATAATCCCTGCAAGGTGTTAGCTGATAACAGCCTGTGGAAGGATTGTAAAATGTTAGCCCAGCGGAGGATAGGATATGAAAGGCTGTAGAAGTCTAAAAGCAAATGTGTGCTAAGACACATATTGCAGGTGACAGAGGGCCTGGCCACCAGGCAGCCTTGCAAGATGGCATGCACCTTGGAGTATTCACTGTGGCCCAGCGTCTGGTCTGTCCCCAGCCTTGCTAGTGCAGACACTCCATCTTCTCTTGCCTCAAATTTGACTGGATGCAGGGATGGTGATTTGTAGTAATGAAGCTCAAAGAGAGAAATGCAAACAAAAAAACCCAATTTACTAAAGTATAATAAGACATGGGCCGGGTGTGGTGGCTCACGCCTGTAATCCGAAGTGGGTGGATCCTCTGAGGTCAGGAGTTCAAGACCAGCCTGGCCAACAAGGTGAAACCCTGTCTCCATTAAAAATACAAAAATTAGCCGGGCATAGTGCTGGGCGCCTGTAATCCCAGCTACTTGGGAGGCTGAGGCAGGAGAATCGCTTGAACACAGGAGGCAGAGGTTGCAGTGAGCCAAGATGGCGCCACTGCACTCCAGCCTGGGTGACAGAGCCAGACTCCATCTCAAAAAAAAAAAAAAAAAAAAAAAAGTCATAAAACAGCTAAGCTGACTTTAGCTTGACCAGATCTTTCCTCTCACAGGACAAGAAGATACCTGGGGAATCAAGGTATTGGCTGGTCTTTCAGGGCTCCTGGAATCAGTGCAGGTGGAGTTAGATAGGAAGACCAGAGTTTATTCTCATTGAGCTCTAAGATCTGGGGCTGTCACCTCCATGATGAAGGACTACCTGCCACAATCACTAGACACATGCCCCCATTAATCTAAGCATGCTGTCTTCTGGGTAGTGCTAGGATATGGCAGATATCAGACTAGGAAATAAAATGTCACACTCAAAAGGGGGTAGTCATTGCAGAATTTAAAGAAAGGATTCTTTTCCAACATATCTCAAAACCAATAAGGGATGGTTATGCACCCCTAATCTGGCAACCATGGGAGTCATCCCTACCTCAAGGGCAAAAGGAGGAAGGAGTTGCCAGGACCTGGAGGGAACTGTAGTTGCAGCTCCAAGGGAGGGCATTTCTCCAGGATCACGGCCCTTGGTAGAGGAATACAGCCACTGCAAAACATAGGCTAGCAGGGAGGGAACCTGGGGAAGATATCCCCTTGTTTCTCTCGCCTCCTGTCCCCTGATCCTTCTTGTGCCTCCCGTTGGCTGGACGCAGCTGGAACCCAGGGAGCCAGCTGACAGTCTGTAGAGGCCAGCCTCTTAGATCACAGAGCAGGGTAGAGAAGGTGAGAGCGGAAGCAGAGGGGCAGGCAGAGATATGTGGTACATGGGACTGCAGGCATCATGCCTCCTCATTCCTAGGCCTCCTTGCCAGACGACTTTGCTTCTGTTTAAGACATTCCAGAATAATTCCTTCAATCTGGCTAAATGGGGATCTTCCTGGCCTGGGGGCTATTCTCTTTCTTTAAGGTGACTCTAAGTATCTCTCTTCTGATCAGTTAAATGATGTATTCATTAATGTAATCTTATGATCTTATTTTCTTTTTTTTCTTTTTGTTGTTGTTGTTGAGACAGAGTCTCACTCTGTCACCAGGCTGGAGTGCAGTGGTGCGATCTCGGATCACTGCAACCTCTGCCTCCCGGGTTCAAGCGATTCTCTCGCCTCAGCCTCCCGAGTAGCTGGGATTACAGGCACGTGCCAACACACTCAGCTAATTTTTGTATTTTTAGTAGAGACAGGGTTTCACCATATTGGCCAGGATGGTCTCCATCTCCTGACCTTGTGATCCACCCACCTCGGCCTCCCAGAGTGCTGGGATTACAGGTGTGAGCCACCATGCCTGGCCATTTTCCTTCTTTTCTCATGGTTTGTAGGGCCAGGATGGGAACACCTCACAGAGGCCTCCTCAGGCCAGCCTAATTCAGCCTCATTGAATGGAAGAATTAAGGGAAGAGGGGAACTCCAGGGCATGCCAGGGCTCTCTGTCTAATACTGCCTTAGCACCAGCTTTACCAAGCACGTTTGTGTTTTAAAAAGGACTCTTAAAAATACAAAATTTAATACCAAAAGAAATGTCTCTCAAATGGCAAAATTTCAGTTTAGTAGTTGGGAGGTATGAGGTGCTAATGACCCCCCAACCCCAAGATGTCCACATCTTAATCCCCAGAACCTGTGAATGTGTTACCTTGTAGGAAAAAGGGACTTTGCAGATGTGCTTACATTAAGGCTCTTGAGCAGTGGAGATTAAGGATCTTGAGCCTATCCAGGTAGGCTCAATGTAATCATAAGGATCCTTATCAGAGAGAGGCAGGAGGTCAGAAGGACAGAGACAATGTGTGATGACAGAAGCAGATGCTGGGCTGGCGCAATTTGAAGATGTGAAGAGGCCATGAGTCAAGTAATTCAGGAGGCCTCTAAAAGCTGGAAAAGGCAAGGAAATGATTATCTCCTGGAGCCTCCAAGAGGAAGGCAGCTTTTGATTTTAGTTCAGTAAGACCCATCTTGGATGATATGGTTTGGCTCTGGGTCCCCACCCAAATCTCACCTTGAATTGTGATGAACCCCATGTGACAAGGGCGGGGCCAGGTGGACATAATTGAATCATGGGGGGCAGTTTCCTCCATACTGTTCTCCTGATAGTGAGTTCTCATGAGATCTGATGGTTTTATAAGGGGCTTTCCCCCTTCACTCGGCTCTCATTCTTCTCCTTCCGGCCGCCACGTGAAGAAGTGTTGTAGAACTTTCTCCTTAGGGTTCTTGTCACATGACCGGAAAAGATTAGGCTTGTACTAATCTTCACGCTTTGAAAGGTGAGAAAAATGGAATTTATTGGGCAAAAAGAAAAAAAAAAAGGAAAAACAACGTAGCAAAGAGACAGAGAGAGGGGTTCCTGTTAACAGGCCCTCATCTCACAGATTGAATTCCAGGTTACCACCCTGGAACAGGAGAGGCCAGGCTCCTCTCCCCTGCAAAGGGTGCAGACTTCCCACAGCTCCACCCCGTTCTCCCAGTGCACAGGCTGGTTGGAGGTTCTCCGGGGACCCCTCTATACTTGGCTGTCTCAGAAGGATGTGTTTGCTTCTAGTTGTGCCATGATTGTAAGTTTCCTGAGGCCTCCCCAGCCATGCTTAACCGTGAGTCAATTCAACCTCTTTCCTTTATAAATTACCCAGTCTTGGGTATGTCTTTATTAGCAGCATAACGGACTAATACTTTGGATTTCCAACCTCTAGAACTGTAAAGAGAATAAATTTGTGTTGTTGAAGACGCTAAATTTCAGGCAATTTGTAATGGCAGCTAAACAGAGGATATTCTTGGAGTAGAGCCTTCTTTCCAGCATCTTTTGGTCACAGAAGATAGAGGCTACATTAAGACCTCCTTAGGATGCCTTTTTTTGCCAGCCAATTTTGGGTATCTACACAGGTATCAGTGGACTGGAATTCTAAGCACAAAAGCTACCCTGGTAATCTGCCTAATGACATGCAGAATGTATGCCAAAGTGGGTTTCTGCATGGCTAAGCATGTTCCCAGACTTTGTCCTTCACTGCTTATCAGGCCAGGGATGGCTGACGCCCTCCCATCCCCAAGGATTCTGCATTCTCAGAAAGGCAAGTGAGAAAGTCCGGCAGAGCACTGAGGAGGCCACTCTAGGCAGGGACAGGTGGTGAAAAAATTGAGGAGACAAAGGACCCATTTCCTCCTGGTACTCCATTGCAAAAATAACCCAAGGAAAGGGCTTTGAAACTTCTTGAACTGGAACACTGGGGAAAAAAATCTACCACATGAACTTCATGTCATTTAGCAAGTCTCTTTAGTGCTGTTCTCCACCCCTGCAGTGACCCCAACACACTCGCAGGGAGAGGTCCTTCTCTGTAAAGCTGTCTTCTCCAATTAAGTCACACACACTAAATGGAAATGAAGAGGACATTGCTTAAAATGTGCCTTTAGAATGAAATGGATATGAAAAGGCTCAGATCCATTTTAGAGACAAGTTCCTCTGTCAGAAATCAATATAGCCCTCGCATTCTACAATGTGCCAGTTCATAAAGTGAAAACTGCTCGAACTCTCAATTTAACATTGTCAAAGCTGATATTAAATTCTAAGATTTTATATCTGCTGTTGCCTATTTAGGACCAAGTTATAAATCTGAAGTCTCTTCCCAGCTCATAAGTCTGACAGTGCTTGATAAAAACTTTTATAATCAAGTTCGATAAAGAATCACAAATCTCCATCTTGCGATTTTTAGCTCACAACACTCTTCGTAAATAACATCTTCCTGTCTTGGTGCTTGTCAATATTTGTCATTTTTTAAAAGGGATAAAATAGAAATACTATGTAAGCTCTTCCCTTTTGGACAGAAATTATTGTTAGTAAGGGATTCAATGAGTAAGATGTCTTCATAATGGCATTGATAAAGGATGACCACGAAGAACCTGAAGATGGAATCTCCAGTGACACCCATGGTCTGCCGCTGATGGCATTCACAGGAATACAAGACAGGCCGTCATCTGGAAGTCTTAGAAAAAGACTTCTCTGTGCTGGAAATGGGCAAACAGACACTATCTTGTCTAAACTCTCCATAGGCTAGAAATAAAGGGGCCAGTTTTACCTCCAAGCCTGTTTTGAGTAACCTTTCAGAATCAGAACCTTTGAAAAAACATCAAAAAGAGATATGCAAACAAGCTGGACTCTGAGTTTTCTGCGGTTTCCTATCTGTAAAAAGAAACTGGAAACAGTACTATGTATACATATACAGTGAATCCTCACTTAACATTGTCCATAGGCTTTTGGAAACTTTGATTTTTGACTATGAGCATAATGTTGTATGACAAAACCAACTTTTTTTGGCCGAACATGGTAGCTGACGCCTGTAATCCCAGCACTTTTAGAGGCCACGATGGGAGGACTGCCTGAGCTCCGGAGTTTGAGACTAACCTAAGCCACATAGCAAGACCTCGTCTCTACTAAAAATCAAAAAAATTAGCCAGGCATAGTTGCACATGCCTGTAGTCCCAGCTACTCAAGAGGCTGAGGTGGGAGGATGGCTTGATCCCAGGAGATTGAGGCTGCAGTGAGCTTGATCACGCCACTGCACTCCAGCCTGGGTGACAGAGCAAGACCCTGTCTCAAAACAACAAAAAAGCCATTTTTTTCCTCATCAATGTTATAACAAAATGACATTGAGTGAAAGGACGTTATTCAAGGACATTAAGTCATTTTGCTTAAAGTTGAAGTTTCTGAGAACCTATTGTGACCTTAAGTGAAGATTTACTGTATATACATGAATATATACATACATATATACATATGTACTAGGCAGTGTGTAATATATGTAATATGTACTAAAATTATACAGATATGCGTGGGAATGGTAAATATCAAAATCAGGACAGTGGTAACCTCTGAGGAAGAGGGAGAAGGATGTGAGTAGGAGGATACACAGGAAGCTTCAAGTGAATTTGCAATGTTTTATCTTGTCAAACTGGGTAGTTTTCAAATGCTCATTATATCATTGTCTATATCTTTTAAGATGGGCACAGCTATCACATTTCATAATGAAAACAATTTTAAAGATGGGTCCAGGGTTGGCTCATGAGAGAAATGGAGAAATGAGGGAACAGTCTGAACATGATTGCTTTTACTTTCCTTAAGATGCTCTGATGACTCTACAGTGAAGTGGGGACCGAGGCATGTCAGTGACGGGGAGGGCGAAAGGCAGAGTGGAGTGCTCACTAGTACTGGCTCGTGGAAGCTGAATGGCAAATTTTCAGGAATTTTGCAAGCTGGGAGTTATACACCCATTATTAAGAATGAACATATATAAACTTACAGTTAAATAAATTACAGTAAAAACAAAGGTAGTTTGCTATAGGTAAAACTCCTCCCGGCTGGATGTGCTGGCTCACGTCTGTAATCCCAGCACTTTGGGAGGCCGAGGCGGGCGGATCACCTGAGGTCAGGCGTTTGAGACCAGCCTGGCCAACATGGCAAAACCCCGTCTTTACTAAAAATACAAAAATTAGCCAGGCATGGTGGCTCGTACCTGTAGTCCCAGCTACTCAGGAGGCTGAGGCAGGAGAATCACTTAAACCCTGAGGCGGAGGTTGCAGTAAGTGGAGACAGCGCCACTGCACTCCAGCCTGGGCAAGAGAGTGAGACTCCATCACAAACACCCCAAAAACAAACAAACTCATCCTGATTATTTTACTATACTTTACCATTATCTGTGCTCTTGAAGTTATGTGTATCTATCATGTCTGCATGGTGGAAATACTAGATAATGGCCCACTACTGCACATCGCTTTACAACTTTGCATTCAGTGACATGATGTTAAGTTCCTTAAGAGCTCCTTGGCTGTAACTTCATTCTGAACATCCTGAATCCTCAATCACCAAGAAAAGCTCATCCCTCCATGAGGCTTGGATCACTTTCACAAAACCAACTAGAGAGGTACCTTTTTTAAAAAATGTATTTTTAATGTTAGTGAGTTACATAATAGGTATATATATTTATGGGGTACATGAGATGTTTGATACAGGCACGCAATGTGAAGTTATGACATCATGGAGAATGGGGTATCCATCCCTCAAGCATTTATCCTTTGTGTTACAAACAATCCAATTACATTCTTTTAGTTATTTTAAAATGTGCAATTAAGTTGTTATTGACTATAGTCACCCTGTGGTGCTATCAGATAGTAGGCCTTGTTCATTCTTTCTATTTAATACCCATTAACTTTCCCCATCTTCCCCTCAACGCCCATTACCCTTCCTAGCCTCTGGTAATCATCCTTCTACTCTCTATTTCCATGAGCAATCGTTTTTAATTTTACATCCCACAAATAAGTGAGAAAATGTGATGTTTGTCTTTCTGTACCTTGCTTATTTCATTTAACATTAATGACCTCCAGTTCCATCCATGTTGTTGCAAATGACAGGATCTCATTCTTTTTTACGACTGAATAGTACTCTGTTGTGTATATTTACCACATTTTCTTTATTCATCTGTTGATGGACACTTAGGTTGCTTCCAAATCTTGGCTATTGTGAACAGTGCTGCAACAAACATGGGAGTGCAGACATCTCTTTGATACACTGATTTCCTTTCTTTTGGGTACATACCCAGCAGTGGGATTGCTGGACCATATGGTAGCTCTATTTTCAGTTGTTTGAGGAACCTCCAAACTCTTCTCCAGAGTGCTTGTACTAATTTACATTCCCACCAACAGTGCATGAGGGTTCCACATCCTCATCAGCATTTATTGTTGCCTGTCTTTTTGATATAAGCCATTTGGACTGGGGTAAGATGGTATCTCATTGTAGTTTTCATTTGCATTTCTCTGATGATCAATCATGTGCCTGTCTGCCATTTGCATGTCTTCTTTTGAGAAATGGCTATTCAAATCTTTTGCCCATTATTTGATCAGATTATTAGATTTTTTTCCTATAGAGTTGTTTGAGCTCCTGATATATTTTGGTTATTAATCCCTTGTCAGATGGGTAGTTTGCAAATATTTTCTCCCACTCTGCGGGTTGTCTCTTCACTTTGTTGATGGTTTCTTTTGCTGTGCAGAAGCCTTTTAACTTGATGGGATCCCATTTGTCCATTTTTGCTTTGATTGCCTGTCTGGATAGATATTTGAGGTATTAAGCAATTGGGCAGAATTTTCAGGAGAGAGATGGTCTGTTTCGTTCTGTATTCCCCTCAGGCCTCAAAGTCTTCCTTTCCAGTGTCCCTCACAGTCCCTGGGCCAGACTGCATTTGTCTGTTGGGCTTTTCTAATCCTGGATGTCACAGTATTATCCTTGGCTATCCCTATTCTAGTTCACTTTCTTTTTTCAATTTTGATTTATCTTCAGTGGTGACTTCCTGGAGGCCTTAAACCTACCTTGACTTATATAATAACAGGACCAGGCAAAGGAGGGGGATGCTGGTCTGTCTGTGCATATGGCTGGTTGCCAAATTCCCTGCCCTTTGAAACTGTGTCCTTTGGGTTGTGTTTCTGCTGCTGGCTGCTCCCAGGGCATCTGGAACTTAGTGAGGGGCAAGCAAGGGCTGGTTTAAGAATAGCCCCCGATCCCCACAGCAGTTCCCCCAGGGCCTGGGCCCCCTGAGCAGCAGCATCAGTTTTGGGGCTAGAGGAAACTTGGTAACCATTCTAGGAGGTCAGAGAGATACTGCTAAGAACTGCCAAAGATAGCATTTATCTTCGAAGTGGATCTCAATTTTCTTTTTCTCTGTTAGTCCTTCTTCAAGTTATTTAAAAAATAAACCCCACAAAAAATGGAAGACAACCTAAATATCCAATAGCAGGGGGCAGATTATACTATCTTGAGAAGGAAAATTTTGGATCAATGAAAAATCATCTTCCCATTTGAATATTATGCCATATCTATGTAATACTTATTTAAAATACCATCTTTTTAAAAAACAAAACTGTAAATGGGTATGTTTTAGAGATCACATGGCACACACACAAAAATCTACCTGCTGTCGTTTACCACTGTATTTCAAAGAAGAACCAAATGGTTTTAGGTAATTAGGTTTTAGGTAGACCTAACTGTTCTACTTGTGTTTTAAGATAAAATTTCCAGTAGCAGCAAATATATTTTGTAAAAGTGCTGTAACTCTGGCCGGGCACAGTGGCTCATGCTTATAATCCCAGCACTTTGGGAGGCTGAGGAGGGCGGATCACCAAGTCAGGAGTTCAAGACCAGCCTGGCCAATATGGTGAAACCTGGTCTCAACTAAAAAAATACAAAAATTAGCCAGATGTGGTGGCGCACACCTGTAATCCCAGCTACTCGGAGGGCTGAGGCAGGAGAATCGCTTGAACCCAGGACGTGGAGGTTGCAGTGAGCCGAGATCGCACCACTGCGCTCCAGCCTGGGTGACAGAGTGAAACTCTGACAAAAAAAAAAAAAAAGTGCTGTAACTCCAAAAATTTAAGCAGAAGGGAAGGTAATGTACTCTAGAAAACTGTGTGAGACGACCCAAAAAGTAGCTGTGGGGTAGACAAAGACACTAATGTGATAAAGACGTGGGAAGAGTTTGAATAAATAATGTCATGAAATACGAGAGTGGCAAAAGTAGTGTTTCTACCTTAGTATGTTATTTTATATCATACTTGATTTTAGAGAGGTATGTGCAACTAAAATAATGTATAATTTAGGCTAAAAATCATGCTGTAGAAGACCAATGCCATGGAGAAAAGGTCATGACAGTGATACATCAGCATAAAAATTCTTGATATATAAAAGCTATTCAACTGTAAACACAAAAATATATGAAAGAAATTAAATGTGTATTGATCTGGAAGGAAAGTCATCAAAAATCATCAAAGTGGTTATATTTGGATGTAAGATTACGGGTGACTTTTATATTGTTCTTTATACATTTCTATAGTTGCCAAGCCTCTCACAATAGATAGTCATTCATTTTATGGCAAAAAAGAATCTGATTGAAAACAATATTATAAAACATCTGGGCCAGGCGCAGTGGCTCATGCCTGTAATCCCAGCACTTTGGGAGGCCGAGGCGGGTGGATCACAAGGTCAGGAGATCGAGACCATCCTGGCTAACACGGTGAAACCCTGTCTCTACTAAAAATACAAAAAATTAGCCAGGCGTGGTGGCAGGCACCTGTAGTCCCAGCTACTTGGGAGGCTAAGGCAGGAGAATGGCGTGAATCCAGGAGGTAGAGCTTGCAGTGAGCCAAGATCGCACCACTGCTCTCCAGCCTGGGCGACAGAGCAAGACTCCATCTCAAAAAAAATCTGCCTGTAGATACTGCCTGTCTGGTGCCCCTGTGGATCCTCCCAAGTATACCAGAGTGGAGTAGAAATACAATAACAGCTGACTTCGACTGAGAGCAAATCATGTACCTGGCACTGTACCAAGCATTTTGCATGGATTATTTTATATAATTACTGCCCCAGCCGTATGAAGTTGGCATGAATACCCCAATTTTATAGTGAGAAAACTGAAAAACAGAGAAGTTTAGTATTTTGCCCAAGTCAAGCTAGTGAGTCAGGGAACTGGCATTTAAACCCAAGCAGACTGACTTTAGTGACAATGCTCTTGGGCAGGGTGCTACCCTGTGCTGTGTTTCAGCACTCTGATACCTACCTGGGAGGATTTTAGAAGCTGTAACAGGCCACCTCATGGGGAGATTCCTAGCCAAATATCTTGAGCATTTTTCTCCACCTCACACTTTAAGAAACTGGAAATCTTAATTGAATTAAGCAAGTGCTATGGTCTGAATGTCTGTGTCCCCCCAAAATTCATATGTTGAAGGCTGATTACCAATGTGATGGTATTAGGAGGTAGTCCTGTTGGGAGGTGATTAGGTCATGAGGGTAGAACACTCATGAATGGGATTAGTGCCCTCATAAAAGAGGCCAACGAGCTACCCTGTCCTTTTCTACTATGTGAGAGTAGGGTGAGAAGGTGCCATCTATGAACCAGAGAGTGGGCTTTCATCAGACACTAATCATCAGTGCCTTAATTTTGGACTTCAAGTTTCCAGAACTGTGAGAAATAAATTTCTGTTGCTTATAAGCCACCCAGTCTATGGCATTTTGTTATGGTGGCCTGAGCTGAGCAAGACAGCAAGTTTCTTACCGGGGAATGTAATGTTGGCCAGCAAGCCCCAGACCTTGTGGGTTGAGTAGGTTTCTTGGACTGCGACCTAGCAGTCAGATAGGGCCCCATGCTTGGTTTCATGCTCTGCTGTTGCTATCTTGAAATTCTTAATACTTTTCAAACAAAGGGCCTCGCATTTTTATTTTGCATTGGGACCTGCAAATTGTGTAGCTGGTGCCACCTGTAGGACATCAGAATGGAGAAATTCCCCTGGAAATCTTTGGGTCAAAGGGCCAGGTGGGAAGGACGGGGGTCATCCAAGTTGCAGGTTCAGTGTCCTGGAGCCCAGAGAGAAGGGGGGCCCAGAGATGTGGGATCCCAGCCTCTCCATTAACCCATTTTATGAAAAAGCTCTGAAAGAAACCCCCCAAACTTGGGGTGGGAGAAGTAAGTGGGGTCACGAGTGTGGCTTCAGTGTCTACCTCTGAAATAACGAGTAAAAGAGAAAACAAAGGAGAAATTCTACTTTTCTTTGTTCTATAGTAGATCTCCTTTTAGTCCCAGCCTAGAACTATGCCCTTCATTCACTATTAGAGCTTGCATGTGTGTGTTTTCGGGTTTTTTTTTTGTTGGTTTTTTTTTTTTTTTCTTTGAGTAGCTGGGACTACAGGCGCCCGCTACCACGCCTGGCTAATTTTTTGTATTTTTAGTAGAGATGGCGTTTCACCGTGTTAGCCAGGATGGTCTTGATCTCCTGACCTCGTGATCCACCCACCTCAGCCTCCCAAAGTTCTGGGATTACAGGCATGAGCCACCACGCCCAGCCGTGTGTGTGTTTTTAATTTGCAAGACAAGATATACTTTATTGTGACAGCAAATACACATAATGCTGTAGGTAAGGCATGCTACTATAATATGTATCTGCATCGAATCAAAGGCTGGTGTGGAAATGAGTGGGAATGAATGCTGTTTCTTAATGCTTGAAGATTTAGTCCATGGTACCTGGAGGATAGAAAAGAGTTTGTGTTCACTTATTTGAAGTACAATATTATACCTAATTAGAGACCTTTGTCCTTGACCAAAAGCCCAAAGGCAAATAAGAGTAACCTAATCTTTTTTAAAACCTCTTTATTGAGTTATTATTGACGTACAAAAAGACATAGATATTTAATGCATGCAATTTGATGTGTTTGGGGAGTAGCATATGCCATGAAACCATCAAACCATCATCACTATCAATGTCATCAGCTTATCCATTAACCCCAAAAGTTTCCTGCTGCCCCTTTTGGTTTTTGTTTTTTTGAGACAGGGTCTGGTTCTGTCGCCCAGGCTAGAGGTAGTGGTGCAATCTTGGCTCACTGCAGCCTCAACCACCCAAGCTCAAGTCATCTTCCCACCTCAGCCTTCCAGGTAGCTGGAACTATAGGTGCTCACCACCAGTCCTGGCTAATTTTTGTATTTTTTGTAGAGACAGGGTTTTGCCATGTTGCCCAAGCTGGTCTCAAACCCCTGGGCCCAAGCAATCCTGCCGCCTCAGCCTCCCAAATTGCTGGGATTATAGACTTGAGCTACACACTGACTGTTTTTACTTTTCTTGTGCCTAATATTGAGAGGTGAAGCTAGCTGGACTTCCTGGGTCAAGTGGGAACTTGGAGAACTTTTCTGTATGGCTAAAGGATTGTAAATGCACCAATGAGCACTCTGTGTCTAGCTAAAGGATTGTAAATGCACCAATCAGCGCTCTGTAAAAATGGACCAATCAGCACTCTGTAAAATGGACCAATCAGCACTTGGTAAAACAATCAGCAGGATGTGGGCGGGGCCAAATAAGGGAATAAAAGCTGGCCACCCCAGCCAGCAGCGGCAACCAGCTCAGGTGTCCTTCCATGCTGTAGAAGCTTTGTTCTTTCGCTCTTCACAATAAATCTTTTTGCTTCTCATTCTTTGGGTCCGCACTACTTTTATGAGCTGTAACACTCACTGCGGAGGTCTGCGGCTTCACTCCTGAAGTCAACAAGACCATGAACCCACTGGGAGGGAGGAACAAACAACTCCTGACACGCTGCCTTTAAGAGCTGTAACACTCACTGCGAAGGTCTGCAGCTTCACTCCTGAAGTCAGCGAGACCATAAACCCACCGGAAGGAAGAAATTCTGGACACATCTGAACATCTGAAGGAAAAAACTCCGGACACACCATCTTTAAGAACTATAATAATCACCGCGAGGGTCTGTGGCTTCATTCTTGAAGTCAGTGAGACCAAGAACCCACCGGAAGTAATAAATTCTGGACACAATATTTCTACTTACTCTGTTTTGTCTTAGCGCCTTAATTATACGTATGGGGCTTGTCTTACATTCTTGGTCTGTCTGTTCAGTCCTGCTTTGGATACACTTATGGCTCATGGGGTTTGCTATTTGTCTTCTGAGGGAGTGACAATGCCCCACTTAGAGCATCTCATCCCTAAGCCACTGGCTGCTCACTCTGGTATCATGTGCATATATGAAAGTGTCCAAGGCCAGATCCTGGTCTGAGACATCTCCCCAGGGGGTTCACACGTTTTGTTGCTACTGCTGTGGTTGTTGGTTCCTGGAATCCCTGTTTCCCTCTATGGTCTCTCCAGCATGGATTTGGGAGAGGGAGCCGGCCACCCTGCTTACTGCCAACTTGGCAAGGACTGGGAGTGTTTTTCTGGCTCATTTCTGTTTCTTGTGTAACCTATCCGTGCTGCATTTTCTTTTTCTTTTCTGTTTTTTCAAGACGGAGTCTTGTTCTGTTGCCCAGGCTGGAGTGCAGTAACACGACCTCGGCTAACTGCAATCTCTGTCTCCCCGGTTCAGGTGATTCTCCTGCCTCAGCCTCCCAAGTAACTGGGACTACAGGCATGCGCCACCACGCCTGGCCAATTTTTTGTATTTTTAAGAGATAGGGTTTCACCATGTTAGCCAGGCTGGTCTCGAACTCCTGACCTCATGTGATCCACCTGCGTCGACCTCCCAAAGTGCTGGGATTACAGGTGTGAGCCACTGTGCCCAGCCATTTTCTCTTACTTGTAGATGGATGAAGCCTATGTTACTATAATTTGCTGAGTATGTGTATTTCTCCATTTTTATTGGTCCATTTCAATTCATTTGCAAAGGGCCAATCAACTGCTACTGTGTTTAATTCCAGAATCCTGCTAGTGGAGGTTTATAAACAAGGTATCTGTGAGGAGATGGGGATCTGAAGGGTGCCCTGCAGGGAAGCTTACTCGAGCCCTGGTTGGTACCTTGGTGACCCCAAGCCCCATGCAAATCATAATGTTGGCTTTTCTGGTGTGGCTACTCCCCACCCTAAGTCACACTGTTACTATCTGGCCAGCCTAAGACCCCCAGGCAAACAAAGATGACCTCCCGGGGGCCAAGGGTAAAGACTAGACCTCTTTGAGGGGCAAGGTTCAATTCTTTACTGCACAGGTAGGGAGACTTAGGCTGCAGCCCGGCTCTGAGAAAGGTTCAGCTGGGTGGAGGAGGAGTCTCTGGGCCAAAGCTGCCCTTTGGAGGAGTCCTGGATCTTGCAGAAATGGCCTGCTTAGTGCCCACCCCCTGCACCCCTGCTCAGCACTGGCTGGGAGTAAGCCTGGGGACTGTGGCTTCAGTGTGAATGTGGGGGTGGGGTGGATGCAGAGCAGTAGCATGTGGGGTATCCAGCCAGGCCTGCTCCACAGAGCAGGAGAGCAGAGCTGGGAAGGGACAGTGGGGATGTGATCTGTTAGCCTTCTGGCTGCAGCGCAGTGCAGACCTCCCTTGCCTGATATGACTGGGTCTCCACCTCTTCCACCCCAGTCTCCTGACTCCTGCAAAAAAAGAAAAGGGGGTGTGCAGGGCTGCCAAACACAGCCATGTCAGGGTGGGCCGGTCCCTGCATTGTGCGCCCACCTGCTGCTGCTGTGTTGTAGGGGAAACCGACCAAAGCACGTAGAGTTAGAACAAAACAAGAACATGGGCTGTGGAGACAGGCTGGCTTCCATGTGCCAGTCTCTCCTGCAGCTTCTGCTCTGGCTGCTGCTCTCTCAGGATCCCGTGCAGCTTTGCCTCGGCCTCACACAGGAGAGTTCTCACACGTAAGGTGGGCCTAGGGGCTGCGGCTCAGAGTCTCCTGTATTGGGATCATTACACATGTCCAGAGTGACAGCTGAGAGGAAAGGGTCCTTGCTTGTGTGCTCAGGAGATGGCTAGGGAGGAGCCACCCCAGGGGAGTTGCCACAGCCAGAATTGCTCTGCTAGGCCCTTCCCTGAAGAGACTTCAATTCTTTTATAGATTTCTCCTTCTTAAACCCAACAAGCTGTTTGGGCAAGAAACCAGGTGAAAGAAACTGAGATTATAGGGGAAGTGTGAAGTGTAGACCAATCATGTGGAACAAGGAAGGGGCGTGACTCAAAAACATAACGTGTGTGTGTGTGTGTGTGTGTGTGTGTGTGTGTGTGCGCGTGCTGACTGGCAGAGCTGGGCCTGCTCTTTATTTGGGAGCCTGCTTGCTACTTTCACCTGTGTTTTCAGCTTGTCTTAGTGCTTTTCTCTCTCATAGTCCAATCCCAGCCCAGCAGATGGTTCACTATGCTTTTAATTGAAGAATGAGGAGGAATCTTTGCACACTTAAAAAACATCCATGGCTGGGTACAGGGGCTAATGCCTGTAGTCCCAGAACTGGGAGGCCATGGCAGGAGGGCACTTGAGCCCAGGAATTCGAGGCTGTAGTGGGCTGCGATCACTGCACTCCAGCCCGGGCGAGAGAGTGAAACTCTATCTCAAAAAAACAAAACAAGATACCATCCAATCCTGGGCCAAGCCCCCACCAACACTGATCCTAAAGGAAAGAAAGCATGGCTGCAGCAGGCACAACAGGACACAGCCCCACCCTTGGAACATCGTGCTCCTGGGGACAAGACACTGGATGCGGAAGCTGGCATCCTAGAACTGACTTTTTCGTTGAGTATTATTACTGTGTTTCCTGGATTCTAAAACACTATTGATTGCAAGATGCACCATTATTCTTTTCTTTCAAATCTAGATCTGCAAACGCCATCATTTTAATAACTGCTTTTAGGCGGAGGAAAAGAAACACAACCACATCAAACGCATGCATCAACTGAAACACCCATCCTGATTTCGGGACCCTGAAAATAAGAAAAATACAGCGCATCTTAAAACTGAAATGGGAAAAAAAAAAAGGAGAACTTATAAAAACTAAATACAGAGGAGACTTTTTCTAATTCTGGAAATGAGATGCAAAACCAATACCCACATTTTGGAATCATAGTATGAGTAGGCTTTTTACCATGTATCACTGCTATTCCTTTTTTTTTTTTTTTGAGAGGAAGAAGGCGTGAGTTGACCTGGTATTACTCACCCAAAAGTGAGGCATTGGGGATATTTATATTCAGCAAGCAGTGCAGGGTTTAAACTGGTGAGTAGATATTTGCATCTTCTAACCACAAAAGTAAAATAAGAGAACTAACTGAAATTTCAGTTTTAGAATGATGATAGCTAATACTTGTGGAGCTCCTTTTTCTCCAGGCACTGCTCTAGGTCCTTTGAATGTATTAACTCATTTAACCCCATGAAAATCCTATGAGAAGGTGCAATGAACAGCTCTAGTCATAGGGATGGGAACAAGGAATCATAGAGATATTAAGCAGTGTGCTCAGGGTCCCATTGCTAGTGTATAGACTTGCACAAGGATAGTATGGCCCTATAGCCCCTCCTCTTAACTGCACTATACGGCCTCTACTAAAGCGTAAGTGAGGGAAATAGACCAAACAAAACTGAGAGTTTGTGGGTGGAGGAAATGCTGAGTTGGGCTAAAGGCAGGAGTATGCTGGTAAAGTGGCTCTTTTCTCCCACCCCAAATGCCCTAGTTCATAACATTTGCCAATTTCCTTGGTGTAAATACTTCCAACAGTGGCCGATTTCAAGACACCAACCTGCTGTTAAAATTCTGAGTGTTTAACAATTGCCTCTCTGGAGCCAGTATAAGCTGGCCCTAGCACGCCACTGGCTGAAAGTAATTGTCCAAATTAATATGCAGCGGTTTAGCCAGGAACGTTTTTTGTGTCATGTTAAATTAAGCCAACTGTGGGTGCGACTCTGCATGTGTGTTCAGGGCTTGGAAATTGTTTCTCCCCTTCTGCTTCTGTAACCACCCAAGGGGTTCACCTTGCCCGCTGCCTAGACAGAGCCGATTTATCAAGACAGGGGAATTGCAATGGAGAAAGAGTAATTCGCTCAGAGCTGGCTGTGTGGGAGACCTGAGTTTTATTACTCAAATCAGTCTCCCCAAGCATTCGGGGAGCAGAGTTGATGTTTGTTTTTTGTTTTGTTTTTTTTTTTAGACGGAGTCTTGCTCTGTCGCCAGGCTGGAATGCAGTGGAGCGTCCTCGGCTCACTGCAATCTCTGCCTCCCAGGTTTAAGCAATTCCCCTGCCTCAGCCTCCTGAGTAGCTAAGACTACAGGTGCGCACCACCACACCCAGCTATTTTTTTTTTTTTTTGTATTTTAGTAGAGACGGGGTTTCACCATGTTGGCCAGCATGGTCTCCATCTCCTGACCTCGTGATCCGCCCACCTCGGCCTCCCAAAGTGCTGGGATTACAGGCATGAGCCACCACACCCAAGAAGCAGAATTTTTAAGAACAACTTGGTGGGTTGGGGCTGGGCACAGTGGCTCATGGCTGTAATCCCAGCACTTTGGGAGGCTGAGGCAGGCAGATCATGAGCTCAGGAGTCGGAGACCAGCCTGACCAACATAGTGAAACTCCATCTCTACTAAAAATACAAAAATTAGCTGGGCATGGTGGCGTGCGCCTGTAATCCCAGCTACTCAGGAGGCTGAGGCAGGAGAATCACTTGAACCTGCGGGGGCAGAGTTTGCAGTTAGCCGAGATCGCCCCACTGCACTCCAGCCTGGGTGACAGAGGGAGACTCCGTCTCAAAAAAAAAAAAAAAAAAAAAAAAAGAACAACTTGGTGGGTTGGGGGTGGGGAGCCGGTGAGCTGGGAGTGCAGGTTGGTCAGGGATGAAATCATAGGGGGTTGAAGCTGTCTGCACCGAGTTAGTTCCTGGGTAGGAGCCACAAGATCACATGATTCAGTTTATCAGTCTGGGTGGTGCCAACTGATCCATCAAGTGCAGAGTCTACAAAATAGCTCAAACACTAATCTTAGGAGCAGTTTAGTGAGGGTCAGAATCTTGTAGCCTCCAGCAGCATGACTCCTACAACCATAATTTCTAGTCTTGTGGCTGTTAGTCCTACAAAGGCAATCTAGTCCCTAGGCAAAAAGGAGGTCTGCTTTGGGAAAGGGCTGTTACCGTCATCTTTGTTTTAAACTATAAACTACATTTCTCCCAGTTAGTTCAGCCTACGCCCAGGAATGAACAAGGACAGTTTGGAGGTTAGAAGCAAGATGGAGACAGATAAGTTAGATCTTTCTCACTGTCTCAGTCATAATTTTGGAAAGGCAGTTTCACTTCCCTACCACCAACCACGGGAGTGAGCCCCTTGCTGGACTCTGGGAAGGGTGGCTTCCTTGCTGGCCTCCCTGAGCGTCACAGAAGAAGCTGAGGACCAGAGTTCCCATTGGAAGGGGGGCAGTTGCCCAACTCAGGTTCAAGAAGGATCCGTTAGGCCGGGCGTGGTGGCTCACGCCTGTAATCCCAGCACTGTGGGGGGCCGAGGCAGGCAGATCACTTGAGGTCAGGGGTTTGAGACCAGCTTGGCCAACATGGTGAAACCGCGTCTCTACTAAAAATACAAAAATTATCTGGACGTGGTGATATGCACCTGTAATCCCAGCTACTCAGGAGGCTGAGGCACGAGAATCACTTGAACCCGGGAGGTGGAGGTTGCAGTGAGCCAAGATTGTGCCACTGCACTCCAGCCTGGGTGACAGAGGGAGACTCCATCTCAAAAACAAACAAACAAAACAAACAAACAAAAAAACAGAAGGATCGCTTAGTGGCTGCCTGAGTGCCTCCTTCCTGAAGCAGAGTGGCAGTAATGGAATTAGATATAAAGTAAGAGCAACTACCAGGTTAAACAAGGGGGAAAGGGTCTCTGAAGTGGTGAAGCTGAGGGGCCAGGAGGAGACTGGTGAGCTGCGGCCAATGAGGGGAAGAGGGCAAACCCTAAAAAGCTAAAGAACTGGAAAAAGGACAACTGTAGAAACAGTCACAAAGTAGGGTCACAAACCCAGATACCTACATAAGCCAGTCAGATAATTTAAGTGGGCAAATTGGACAAGGTATGATAAATAAGGAGTGATGGGGACTGTGAAAAACTGTAAATACACACCCTGCCAGAAGACCTCAAAGGTTTGTTTTAAGTTTTTAATTTAAAATTTTTTTAACATTGTAGACCAAACAAAACAGATCCGCAACCTGGATGCAGGCCTTGACTTTGTGAGTTGTCACAAAGGCCCTCTTCCAAAGGTTTTGGATGACAGTTGCCCCTGCTCCTCATTTGAGGCACTGGGGTACCAGGGATGGGGCAGCCAGCGGGATCCATCCATCCCAGGTGCAGGCTATAAGGGATGCATTGTCTGTAGCGAATTTTAAAACAAACTAAAATCCAGTCTGCTTTTTATTTTCACCACATGCTGGCAATTCTAAACAGTTACAGTAATAAAAATATTCCTCCTTGAAAAAAATCTTGTTCCCTAAGTTCTAAATAATTGTTATGGCTGCTGTTGAGTTTTAACAATGGAGGCTTTAAATTAATGCATTTAAATAACATCTATTAATGATCATTATATTCTATATAAGACATTAATTTGAAAAATTAATCCTTGACTCAAGTGGATTCACCCACAATTTGTTTCCAGAGTAAGTACCTAATAATTTGGAATCTCTGGGTTCTAAACCCTGTGGAACTGAAACTGCCCCAGTAGTCCCATTGATAGTTTTTTGGATACATGTAGAAATTGACCCTTCTGGATTGAAACTTACATTTGTTCTTCCTGGGTTCTTTCCTCAGGAAATGACCTTCAGGCCTCTCAAAAAAAAAAAAACCTCAAAAACCTCAAAGAACTGAAACTCCCCAGATCACCACATCCAGACAGTGAGATGCCAGGACCCCTCATTCATCATCACTGCTTCCCTTGCCCCTCCCTAGTTCCTGTTTTCTTACACATTGTTTCATTTCTTCCCTGCTATATAAACCCCTGGGTTTTGGTCAGTCAAGGAAATGGATCTGAGACTGAGCTCCCATCTCCCCAGCTGCAGCACCCAATTAAAGTCTTCCTTGGCAATGCTCACCTATCATCGTCTCAGTGATTGCCTATCTGTGCGTCAAGCAGCAAGACCTAGACCGAACCCCTGGTGTTTTGGTAACAGAACCATATATTCCTATGCTTAAACAATAGATTGAAAATAAACCATGCTAGGCATAATTGTAACATGAAGAAACAGGATCTTAGTTTCTATTCTGTTCTTCCGCATGACCATGGCCAGAGGAACTCAAAAGGCAAGTTTAAATGCTTTGATTGTTTTCAAGAACTGGATGCTTGTTCTAAAGCAACAGATCAAATAATACCAATATTTACTGCCACATAGCCATTTTCTGATTCTTCCAGAAGAAAAATTTCAGAAGTTTATCAATGACAATAGAAATGTGTGGTGAATTTTCTGGTGAAGATATTCTAGTAGAAGTTTTTTGACTGTGGAGATATTTGAAAGTAGTCATAATTGACCCCAAAGAAACATTTACATGGACAGTCTTACAACTTCTGAAATTAATTGCAAAATGGAATTTTTGAGTCTCTGACAGACCTACTCTTGTTTAAAACTTCCTATTTGTATATCTGCTGACTCATGTAAAAGAGATTTTTTTTCTGAATTAAAATTAACAATTAACTATGATGGAAGAGACATCAACAAACTGCCAATTGAACATGAGTATGTGAAGATCAATTTTGACAAAATCTTCAATAAATTTGTAGAGGTTAAGTCTCAGAAACTGCAATATTGTTCATTGCTGTCACAGACAAATATGTATGTATATTCCAGTTTTTAAAAGTACTGGTGTAATGAAAATGTATCAATCCATTACTTTTTTCTTTTTTTTACATTTTAACATTTATTTACTTATTTTTGCTATCATGGTTATATCTAAAGCTCAATAAAAGGAAAGTTTTTTTTGCCTGTGTTCCTTTTCTGGCCATTACTCCAGCAGTCTTCCCTTCTCTGTGGTTTTGCTTTCTGCAGTTTAGGTTACCTGTAGTCAACTGTGGTCTGAAAATATTAAGTGGAAAATTCCAGAAGTAAACAATTTATAGGTTTTAAATTGTGCACTGTTCTGAGAAGCATGATGAAATCTTGCACTGTTTCACTTTGTCCCTCCCAGCTGGGATATGAATCATCCCCTCTTCCAGCGTATCCAAACTATACAGTGTGTATGCAAAGGAAAAAACAGTGTATATAGGGTTCAGTACTATCTTCGGTTTCAGGTATCCACTGGGGGGGGGGGGTCTTAGAACATATCCCCTATGGATAAGGAGGGCCTATTGTATTATTTGTTTAATCGCATCATTACTGCTGAATGTTGTCACATAGAGGAGGGGATGTTAAAAATGATCTACCCACACTGTCCCTGGTATGTCACTGCTCTAGGGTCTGCCCCAGCCTTTTGTGGTGGACAGACAGCCTCTGGGCTGGACTAAGCCAAGCAGCAGGAACTCCTGAGTCTCTCTAGTGCAGGGATCATATGTGGAAAGGGTTATCCCACAACATTCTTTTTTTTTTTCCTTTCCTTTCCTTTTTTTTTTTTTTTAAATGGAGTCTTGCCTGTCGCCTGGGCTGGAGAGCAGTGGCATGATCTCAGCTCATACAACCTCTGCCTCCCAGGTTCAAGCGATTCTCCTGCCTCAGCCTCCCAAGTAGCTGGGATTACAGGCACCTGCCACCACACCCAGCTAATTTTTTGTATTTTTAGTAGAGACGGAGTTTCACCATGTTAGCCAGGCTGGTCTCAAACTCCTGACCTTGTGATTTGCCTGCCTCAGCCTCCCAAAGTGCTGGGATTACAGGCGTGAGCCACCACACCCGGCCCACAACATTCTATTTAAAACTTTATCCAACATAGAAATAGTTTTGAGACAATCTAATCCTGACCACTCAGTCGCTTGATTTGAGAGTCCATCTTGGCAGCACAGAATGGGCTCTGGAGCAACCATGGAACTTCTGGTATTTAAACGTTTGATTCCATGGCCAAAGAGTGGTGGGTCTTATTCCCATTCTAGAGAATAAAAATATTGTGGGGGCCTTTAGCCACCACCCCAGATGGGTGACTTGGGAGCTTATACTGGCACAGTGCTCTAACATTGGGCAGAGTGTTGGAGATGACTTTGTTCTCCTGATGGCTCCTGGCCCCTAGACAGACCATTTTACTGCTGGCTCCATCAAAGATAACCCTTGAAGAATGGGAGAGTGCAGGGCAGAGCTCAGGCAGTGAGGATGACCACTAAACTAGCCCTGGCAGACATGGTAAGGCTGGCCTCTCTTATGGCCAGCCCTAGGTGGGCAGGGATGGTGACTTTCTCTGAGAAATAACTTAAAAGTGGCCCAGGATAGACACACCCCACCCCAGCAAGGCCTGAAATTCTCATCATTGCAGTCACTCCATTGAGGTATTATCAATACTACTATTGCTGTGTAAACCAAAATGTGTCTGAGTCTCAATCAATTTAGAAGTTTATTTTGCCGAGAATAAGGACATGCCTCAGGAGGTCCTGACGACATGTGCCCAAGGTGGTCAGGCTACAGCTTGGTTTTATATATGTTAGGGAGAAATAAGACATCAATTAATATCTAAGATGTACATTGGTCAGGTCTGGAAAGGCAGGACAGCTCGAAGAGGTGTGGGGAGGAGAACTTTCAGGTCACAGGTGCATTCAAAGATTTTCCCAGGGCAATTGATTAAAAGAGTTTATCTAAAAGTATGGAATCCATAGAAGGGACTATCTGAGTTAAGATAAGGGGTTATGGAGACCAAGGTTCTTATTATGCAGATGAAGCCTCCAGGTAGCAGGCTTCAGAAAGAGTAGATAGTAAATGTTTCTTATCAGACTTAAAAGGTGCCAGACTCTTAGTTAATTCTCTCCTGGATCAGGGAAAAGATGTGGAAAGGGAAAGGGATTCTCTACTGAATGTAGATTTCCCCCACAAGAGACAGTTTTGCAGGGCCATTTCAAAATATGTGAGTAAAAGAATAGAGTATTTTGATTTCTTCAGGGCCTGTTGTCATGTGATGCTATATTAGAGTCAGGCTGGAATTTGGTGTCTTATTGCCACAGTCTTAAGATCTCTTTTTTGATGTTAATGCTGGTCAGTTGTGCCTGAATTCCACAGGGAGGAGGGTATAATGGGGCATGTACAACTCCTGTTCCCACTGTGGCCTGAACTAATTTTCCAGGTTAACTTTGGAATGCCCTTGGCTGAGAGGAGGGGTCCATTCAGATGGTTGGGGGCCTTAGAATTTTATTTTTAAGGAGGCTGATGTGGGCAGATCACCTGAGGTCAGGAGTTCAAGACCAGCCTGGCCAACATGGTGAAACCCTATCTCTACTAAAAACACAAAAATTAGCCGAGCATGGTGGTGGGCGCCTGTAATCCCAGCTACTCAGGAGGCTGAGGCAGGAGAATCACTCGAACCCAGGAGGTGGAGGTTGCAGTGAGCCAAGGTCACGCCATTGTACTCCAGCCTGGGAGACAAGAGCGAGATTCCATCTAAAAAAAAAAAGAATCTTATTTTTAGTTTACAGCTACTACCACAGGTTATTCTGCTTCCTAGATACTCATGTAAATGGACAAAAGTGCCACCTGGAGGAACTGCTACATTCACCCTCAAAATGACAAGGAAGACCAGCTCCTCGTTAGCCAGCCTGGTCATTCAGGGGCCATGGAGGCCAGGGGTGCACAGCAGGGGTGGGCTAGTGGGGAGTCTCAGATAAGGGGAGATTTGGGACATTTGGGCAAGATGAAGAGAATACTTGCAGGAGAGGAAAGGTCTGGACTGCCTAGGCTGGGGGCCATGCCTGGGGCCTAGGGACAGGATAGCACTGTCCTGACTGCCTTGACTGGTTCACTCCAGGCATCTAAAATTGTCATGTGCCAGGGAGATCGGGAAGTGGCATGAAGATATTCCAAAGGCAACTGATTTCTTCTTGGAAGTGGTTAAAGTTATTGATTTAAGTCATGACAGGCTCAAGGGCACTAAGAGAGTCTCTCAAAAGGAAATCAAACTGTTTCTCCAGGCGACTATTGGTTTTTATTTAGGCAGGGGTCTAATCTATTGTGAAAGCCACTGGGTCTCGCCTCTGGAGCAATCTGGGGAGACCTATAAAGTTTATTGATTTGACTTACTTAACTTACACTGGCTTATAATAAAACAACTAGACCCATCAATCAGTCCCCCAGACCCCCGCCAAGAGCATGATTACAGAGTGGATTGATTCTTCCTCTGAGATGGCAGCTTATGGGAAAGCACTGAGAGGGTTGGGGCAGTAGATGCTGCCCCATGCTGGGGCTTGGTCCATCCCGGGGCTCGGTCCATCCCTTTACATTGCACAGTGACATTCTAAGGCAGCACACCAGGGGAGGCCACTCCTCCACCCAGGCGAGGGACCTAGGACAGGGCCAGGAGTTCTCTGGGAATAGCCTCCAGTGACCTCTCTGGACAGCAAAGAGCTAGACAGCCCCATCAGGCAGGTGGTGGAGAGCTGCAAGATTTATCTTTGTCAGGTGAGAAAAAGCAGAATGAGGATATTGACAGAGAGCAAGGAGGAAGGGGTGTATGCAAAGGGCAGACAGCCAAGACAACTGAGCAGGGCCTTCCAGAGGACATACTGCAGGCCTGCCTCTGTGCCAAGTGGAAGGACCTGCAGGGGGAGAGGAGGAGGACTCATTCAAGCCAATTCACTGGTATTTCTCTTGCTTCCAGAAATAAGGCATGTCCTTCCCTGGGGTTATCTGCAGTCTTGTTGGAGAGGCAAGATGTTCCCATTTGAATGAGATTATGACGTGAGACCTGAACTAGGCTTCCCTAATTCAAGAAGAGTAGAGGGGAGTTGGATGAGTAAATCCATCTCCTAAAAGTGTAGCATCCAGTGTCTGATTGGGCACAGAAACACTTAAGTACTAAGAGGTAATATGTGTGTGGTTAAATTTCAGAGCTCTGGACTCAATGTGTGGGTTTAAGCCTGGGCTCCACCGATATTATCCACATGGGCAAGTAACTTAACATCCGTGAGTCCCTCTCTTGTTGTTGTTGTTGTTGTTTGTTTGTTTGTTTTTTTGAGATGGAGTCTTGTTCTGTTGCTTAGGCTGGAGTGCAGTGGTGTGATCTCAGCTCACTGCAGCCTCTGCCTCCTGGATTCAAGACATTCTCCTGCCTCAGCCTCCCGCGTAGCTGGGACTACAGGCATGTGCCACCACACCCGGCTAATTTTTTTGTATTTTTAGTAGAGATGGGGTTTCACCATGTTGGCCAGGCTGGTCTCAAACTCCTGACCTCAGGTGATCCGCCCACCTTGGCCTCCCAAAATGCTCGGATTACAGGTGTGAGCCACTGCGCCTGGCCTCTCGTTTTTTTTGTTTTTGTTTTTTTTTTAAAGACAGGGTCTCACTCTGTCGCCCAGGCTGGAGTGCAGTGGCAAGATCTCAGCTCACTGCTGCCGCCTCCAACTCCTGGGCTCAAGGGATCCTCCTGCCTCAGCCTCCTAAGTAGCTGGGACTACAGGTGCACACCACCATGCTCAGCTAATTTTTATTTTTTTTGTAGAGGTAGTGTCTCTCTATGTTGCCTAGGCTGGTTTCAAACTCCTGGGTTCAAGTGATCCTCCTGCCTGCCTCTGTGAGTCTTAATCTCCTCATGTATAAAGTAGGGATATCAGTAGTACCTAATAATGATAGTAATAATAATGGTATTTAATAATATCAGTGCTATAATAGTATTAGTTAATAATATAGTATTACTAATAGTAGTAGTACTTAATAATAGAACCTATTTGGAAAAGTAATTGTAAAGATTAAATAAAGTTAATGTTTGTAAAGCACTTAAGCACAGTGTCTCATGCATAGAAAACGTTCCATCAGTGACTGTCACTGCCATCATTATTATTATGAGTGCTGGTAGTAATGGCATTCAGATTACCACCAGGTTCTCGCGAGCTCTTATTCCTCAGACTATCTGGGGGGAAAAGGGGCAAAAAGAGATTCTCTCTCCATCCTAAGGGAGATCACATAGGGAACAATATTCAAGGTATGAGCTTGCTTTCCCCTAAAGGAAATAACTTCCATGAAGTTCTCTCTTTACCTTCTCAGCCCCAGCATGTTCTCCCTGTCCTCCTCCCTCTTGGAGCCCACGTGAGCCCCCTCCTCAGGAAGACTTCCCCTACAGCTCCGGTCACCACCCTCCTTCCCCCACTGAACCTATCGGCTCTCCTCGGGTGGGAAGTCAGAGGACCGACTCCTGTCCTGTTGAGTCTCTTTCAGGGCAGGGCTGTGTCTTCCCAATGTGTTTGTCTCTCAAAAGCAAGAACTGGGCAGAGCACATGCTCCATAGACCTTAGATGAATCGAACCTTATTGAGACTGCAAACTGGTTCTCTGCCAAGACTGAAGCGTTTGTGCTCTCTCTCCCAATCCACCCTCCAAGTGTTTTCCCATCAAGATCATTGTCTGCACTGCAGTCAGAGTCATTTTATAATGAACCTATGGAACTGATCCCACAACCTCCTGGAACCCAGGCACCCTGTGGGGTCCTGCCCCGACTCTGTGAACCTCCCAGGACGGTGCCAGTGGGTAGGCTGGGCATCAGTGGATGACAAAAGGGAAGCAGCTTCCACTGCTTCAGGTCCAGACTTTGATCAATTTCCAGCCTCTTCAGGCTGTTCCCAAAGAGGTGGCCACCCTAATGCCAATAAGTCTTAATAAGTTTCCACTTAAGTGATCAGAGTACCAGTGAAACATGACAGCTGAGACTAATTGGAGTCTGTGTGGGAGGAGGGAGGATGACACCCCTTCTTGATCTTCTTGTGGCTTTCCTTCAGGGGTGGGGGCCCCCCCAAATCCCTTTTTGTTTCCTTGGTTTTCAACAATTGCCTATCTGGGAAGCAGATTATTGGAATCATTTCTGTACCTCCCACTGCCCCTGTTTTGATCTGTAACCCACAGGGTTAGGCTTAGGAAGGGAAATTAGCAAGAGATATATCTCAGGATGATTAGAGAGAGGCTCGGCCCATCAGGAGAGATGACAACAGAATGAGGAATGCCTACATCCAGAATATACCATCTTAAACATCATGCACGGACAGGCATACACAGGCCAAGGACAGCCAGTCATATTAGGAATGATAAGAGTGAGGCACGGCCCTAAGTCCCCATTTAGGGGACTTCATGGAAAGGCATTTTGGCCCAGATGTCATGGAAATTGCTCTAAACACAGGGTGATTATCTCCTCAAGCCCATGAGATCCTCTTTGAATTACATGTGTAGCCCTTACCTAGAACCTGAAGGGCAGGAGTTGGAGGCCCAGGAGCCCAGTGAGGAGGTGAACAAGGGTGTTCCACTGCGCAGCCAGTTAGTTTAGAACCTGCAGGGCAGAGGTAAATTATTTCTGACCTTTATGGGGCCTCCACTTATAATGGGGCCTCCCCTAAAGTCACCATTGGAGAACCAGCAGGGATTTAATGAGGAGAGAAAACAGCTTTGAGCCTTGGACTTGAAGTACCCTACAGAATAAATAGGTTGGCTGGGCACAGTGCCTCAGGCCTGTAATCCCAGCACTTTGGGAGGCTGAGGCGGGTAGATCACCTGAAGTCAGGAGTTCAAGACCAACCTGGCCAGCATGGTGAAACCCCGTCTCTACTAAAAATACAAAAATTAGCCAGATGTGATGGCGGGCACCTGTAATCCCAGCTACTCAGGAGGCTGAGGCAGGAGAATCACTTGAACCCAGGAGGCAGAGGTTGCAGTGAGCTGAGATTGCACCACTGCACTCCAGCCTAGGTAACAGAGCAAGACTCTATCTCAAAAAAAAAAAAAAAAAAAAAAAGAGAGAGAGAATAAATAGGTTGAAGAAACTCAGACCAAAGACAATTCTTTGGGGATTCAACAAAGGCATATCTAATAGTGCTGGCTCCACACAGCAACAGTTTCACAAAGGGACACCTAACCTTTTGTGATACTGTGAGATGAAAAATAAGCCACTCTCCAGTGCAATACCGGGGCACCTTGAGTGATATTTACAAGCACCTTCAGAGCTGGGAAAAGGAGCAAACGTTCCTCACTTACCCTCCAGCTAGTTACCTTTTGCTTTTTCCTGAGCTGACAAAAGTTTCAGGGTTAATAAGCACTCAGAATGGAGGCAAATGGAACTTCCAGAAGCAGTATTTCTGCAGGTTGGTTGGGATTAGCCATGGTATCTCAGAGGTCAAGAAATACACGGATCATGTCCATTTCTCAAGGCTCCTTGTATTTTTTTTTTTTAAAGGAGAACTATCAAAAGAGAATTGTAAAAATTGTGATTTTTGGAAACTTTACATTTCATAAATTGATACATTTGAACAGCAAAGGCACTGAGTTATTTTGCAAGACAATTATAGAACTTTTGAAAATATTTATTTATAAGGGACCACACGCAGTTTGATCTGAGGATGAGGACACAAGTTTGAGCTGTTTGAAGAACATCTTTCAATGTTGTTGTTATTGTGGCTCTGAGACTTCTACGTATAACTTCATTTGGAGATGAGTCAAAATCTTAAATTTGAGGCCTTTACCTGGCCTGGGATAAATGGGATGAATTGCTTCCCTAACCCTTCATTTCTCTCCCACCACGATAGCCCCCAGTTTAGCAGAAGTAAACAGTTTATACAAATGCAGCATTTGATAAAGATTCAGAAGTCTTAGATAATATTTAAAAAAGATTCCTTTGTTGAATTAGATAAATTGTATTTATTTATTTTTATTTTTGTCTCCCAACCCCAGCTCCCACCACCCCTTCCTCCTTCTGGCTCTATTTTTTTTTTTTATTTTTCATTTTTGAGACAGGGTCTTGCTCTGTCGCCCAGGCTGGAGGGCAGTGGTGCGATCTCAGTTCACTGCAACCTCTGCCTCCCAGGCTCAAACAGTCCTCCCACCTCAGCCTCCCAAGTAGCTAGGACCACAGGCATGTGCCACCACACCTGGCTAGTTTTTGTATCTTTTGTGGAGACAGGGTTTCACCATGTTGCCCAGGCTGGTTTCAAATTCCTGAGCTCAAGTGATCCACCTCCCTTGGCCTCCCAAAGTGCTGGGATTACAGGCTGAGTGACTATGCCTGGCCTTATTTTTATTTATTTATTTATTTATTTATTTATTTATTTATTTATTTAGAGACAGGGTCTAGCTCTGTTGCCCAGGCTGAAGTGCAATGGAATGATCTTGGCTCACTGCAACCTTTACCTTTCGGGCTCAAGCAATCCGACCACCTCAGACTCCTGAGTAGCTGAAACTACCGGAGTGTGCCACCACGTTCAGCTAACTTCAATTTTTTGTAGAAATGAGGTCTCACTATCTTACCCAGGCTGCTCTCCAACTCCTGGGCTCAAGTGATCCTCCTGCCTCAGCCTCCCGAAGTGCTAGGATTATACTGTGAGCCACTGGGTGAACCACTGGGCGAGCCACTGGGCCTGGCCTGAGAAATTTTAAAGAAGGAATTATTATGGCTTCTGGGATAGTATTTTGGGGGTCCTTTTTACCTCTAAGGCCCAAATATCAAGCATTGAGAATGAGATTCAGTTACACACCCGTGTTTCCGCAGAAAGCCTAAAAAGACTTCGAGATGAAATGCCAAGCAGAGGGAAATTGTCATTCCTAAGCTTATATGTAGGCGACACCACCGTGAATCACTTCAGAGCTTGGGTCTCCGTGTCTCTTATTCCAGCTGCGCCCAGTTCTGTGGGGCACCTACCAGTTCCCACAAGTGCAGTTGACCACGAACCATCTCAGGCCCACTCTTCCCTTGCTTTCTACCTTTGAGTCTCTGAGTGACAATGCAAGTGGGACCATCACGGTAGCCTGCTTCGTACTCACACTTGGGGGAGAGAGACACCCATGGAGAGAGCCTTTGGTGTGCGGTGTGTGAAGCAAGGGAGAAATGCTAGTCCCTCTCTTTGCTCTCTGGTTGGCACTGAGGCACCTTTTGAGCTCCTCCACGGGCCCCTGAGATTGGACCAGCAGGAGCCTGCGGACGAGGCTGCCTCAACACCACAGCTCTGTATTGGTTCTTTTTTCTTCTCTTTGCCTCTCCACTCTCTCACTTCTGCTCCTTCAGTCACATTGCTCAGGAAAGAGTTTGCAATTTAGGCCTGTTTTAGGCTTTGCTTTCTGGAAAACCCAGAACACTTTTCATACCAACTGGTGGTGTATTTGATCTTCCTTTTACTGTTTTCTTGCAACTGAGTTTTTTGAGCCCAAATGCAAGATTTGACATTGAGATTTGTTACATGCCATCAATGCAATTTTTTTTTTAAATTCTGATTTTGCCATTTAACAGTGCGAGCTGTCCTTCCTAGCCTTGAGTTATCTACAAATTTGCTCATAAAATTTATTGACTGTTAAAATCTATTACTGGTCAACCTCTGTAACCCCATCTCATGCTTCACCCTCCTTGCTAACTACCCTCCAGCAGCCCCACCTCCAATCAGGTGCGCAAATGGGCCAAGCTCTTCCTGCCCAGGGTCTTGTACTTGTTATTCTTTCTGCTTGAAATCCTCTTTCCTCGGGCTCTGCACATGGACATCTCCTTGTTATACTTTAAAACTCAGTCTAAATGACACTTCTCGAAGAGGATTTCCATGTCTATTGTGTTTCTGTCATAGCACATACCCCAAGCCATGAGTACTATGCCTCATTTATTAGTTTGTTTTTTTGTTTGTTTGTTTGAGATGGAGTCTTGCTCTGTCACCCAGGCTGGAGGGCAGTGGCGCATTCTCAGCTCACTGCAACCTCCGCCTCCCAGGTTGAAGTGATTCTCAGGCCTCAGCCTCCCAAGTAGCTGGAATTACAGGCACACACCACCATGCCCAGCTAATTTTTGTATTTTTAGTAGGGATGGGGTTTCGCCATGTTGGCCAGGCTGGTCTTGAACTCCTGGCCTCAAGCGATCTGCCCACTTTGGCCTCCCAAAGTGCCGAGATTATAGGCATGAGTCACTGCACCCAGCCTAGTTTGCTTTTTATTGTCCATCTTCCTAATTAGGGTGAAATCTACAAGAAGGCAGGGCTACTGTCCATTTTCTTCACTGCTGGATCTCCGGCACATAGCCCTGGTTCTGACACCTGCCAGGGGCTTGATAAATATTTGCATCACCCACTCCACTTGTGCACTAGATGCCACCTCCCCTCACCTCCTCGAGGCATCTCTCCACCGGTCCCTCCTCTCTTGTGCATCATCATTTCTCCCACTTTCCTGGATCATTCCCCTCTGCAGACAAATGTGCTGTAATTTCTCCTATCTTAAAAAACAAAACAGATAGACAAAAAATCTTCTCTTGGCCCACATCCTCTTTCAGCCAACACGCTGCACATTTTATTTATTGCCTATCTCCTCCACTAGGGAAGAAGCTCCATGAGGGAATGGCTTGTGTCTGTTTTGCTTATTGCTGTATCCCTAGTACTTCAAAAGTGCCTGGTGCATAACAATTTTTGAGTTGATTGAATAAATCCTTTTGTGGAATAAATGAATAAAACAGTAAAGCCTTTTTCAATCAATAGAGAGAAAAATCAGTCTTATATCTTGAGCAATGTCTAAATAACTTAAAAGATCAAGATGGAGGCTGGGCACAGTGGCTCACGCCTGTAATCCCAGCACTTTGGGAGGCCGAGACGGGAAGATTGCTTGAGCTCAGGAGTTTGAGACCAGCCTGGACAACATAGTGACCCTGTATCTACAAAAAATAATTAATAAGAAAAGATCAACATGGAACCAAAAAACAAATATACATAGGACAGCTCTATAAAGATATGTAGCAGGTACTTACTGTGTATGTGTATTTTCCATTCTCTGCCTTCTAATATGAAAAGGTTGACAGGATAGTTTGAGGGAGAAAGGAAAATTTGCCATAGATTCCTCAGCATCAGGATAACCTCATTGCCTTAGGGCAAAAAATGAAGCCCAGAGGTAGTGACTTTTCCCAAACTCAGTGTCCTCCCTTCTAAGGGCTTAGGGCATAATCTTCCACAAAACACATCCGGATTGCTAACTCACAGTAAAGGAAAAGTTCTTACGTTTACATAGAACCCAGATGCCAGGAATTTTCTAGAAAATGGACGTGCAGTAATAGTGCCGGCCAGGAGATGGCGACGCGCCTTTCTGTCCAGGAGGACTACACTCTACGTGGCACTGAAGGACTGGGAGAGAAGGTTGGGGCCTCCTGGGGCCAGCCAGGGGCCTCTGGGGGAGGATGGCCTAGAAAACAGGGCTCTGCTTCAGAAGGCTCATTCTTGTTGGCGGGGCCCCCATGAGTAAAATAGTTGTTGTTGAATATGACACATTGTTAAGGCCTCAGATGCAAGAGCAATTACAAGTCCAGGGTGGTTGGCAGGTCTACAGTCAGGATATTTAACTCAAATTCAGGGAGTCTGAAAATCTAGGACAGCTCCTTGGCAACCCCGGACTGACAGATCTTTTGTTCGACTTTTCCTAGGTTTAGGCAACAGCCTCTGAGAGCCCACTAGATTTCCTCCAACATGGAGACTCAACCTAGCCAACATTCTACCACAAGAATCAGTACCTGGGCTTTGGGGTCCACCAACGCTTAAAATTGAGTAACTGAGTGCAAGGGTTGCAGGTAGGCAATGTGCCGATAGACATTTACATTTCCTAGAGAGAAAGTCCTTTGTTCCATCTCTTTCTCCAAGGGCTCTGTGATTCAAAAACCGGGACAGGCACAGTGGCTCACGCCTGTAATCCTAGCACTTTGGGTGGCTGAGGTAGGAGGGTCACTTAAGCTCAGGAGATTGAGACCAGCCTGGGCAACACGGCAAAAACTTGTCCCTGCAAAAAATACAAAAATTAGCTGAGCTTGGTGGCACATGCCTGTAGTCTCAGCTACTTGGGAGGCTGAGGTGAAAGGACTGCTTGAGTCTGCAGTGAGCAGGGTTGACAACACTGCACTACAGCCTGGGCAACAAAGTGAGACCCTATCCCGAAATAAATGAATACATAAGTAAATAAATAAATAAATAATTTAAAAAAAACGTTAAGCAACTACTCCAGTCTTTCCTCGCTAGAGGCCTCACTAATTCTTTACCCCAGCAAGTCCTCTGGGATACTGTAATTCTCCATTTTTTTTTTCATTGAGATGTGTCTCACTCAGGGGACAGAAAACACCATCTGTTATTTGAACAGAGAAGGTAATGTAAGAATTACTGGGGCCGAGCACAGTGGTTCACACCTCTAATTCCAGCACTTTGGGTGACCGATGAGAGAGGATCACTAGAGTCCTGGAGTTTGAGACCAGCCTGGAAAACATAGTGAGATTTCATCTCTACAAATAATAAAAAATTAGTAGGGTGTGGTGGTGTGTGTCTGTAGTCCCAGCTACTCCGGAAGCTGAGGCAGGAGAATTGCTTGAGCCCCGGAAGTTGATGCTGCAGTGAGCCATGATTGTTCCACAGCACTCAGTGTGAGTAACAGAGTGAGATCCTGTCTCAAAAAAAAAAAAAAAAAAAAAAGGTTGTTAACTAGATAACTAAAAGAGGACACTAAGGTGTCACAGTAAAAGCAACTGCAGGTTGGCCGGGCGCAGTGGTTCACACCTGTAATCCCAGCACTTTGGGAGGCCAATGCAGGCAGATCACCTGAGGTCAGGAGTTCAAGACCAGCCTGGTCAACATGGTGAAACCTCATCACTACTAAAAATACAAAAGGTAGCTAGGCATGGTGGCACACGCGTGTAGTCCCAGCTACCCGGGAGGCTGAGGCAGGAGAATCGCTTGAACCTGGGAGGTGGAGGTTGCAGTAAGCCAAGAATACGCCACTGCACTCCAGCCTGGGCAACAGAGCGAGACTCTGTCTCAAAAAAAAAAAGACCAGGTATGGTGGCTCACGCCTATAATCCCAGAATTTTGGGAGACCGAGGCAGGCAGATCATGAGGTCAGGAGTTTGAAACCAACCTGGCCAACATGGTGAAACCCCATCTCTACTAAAAGTACAAAAATTAGCCTAGCGCAGTGGGGGGCTCCTGTAATCACAGCTACTCAGGAGGCTGAGGCAGAATTGCTTGAACCCAGGAGGTGGAGGTTGCAGTGAGCCAAGATCGCGCCACTGCACTCCAGCCTGGGTGACAGAGCAAGACTCTGTCTTGGAAAAAAGAAAAAAATAAATAAATAAATAATTTTTATTTATTTATAAAATAAATACTAAACTGCAGGAAGCAGCCCCTGCCCCTGGGACTGAGAATAGGAAGGGGTGGGAATTATTAAAACTTGAAAACTTGGGACTCAGACTCCACGGAGGGGGCACCGCTTGGCTGGGCTGGCATTTCTGAGCTGGAGAGGGGCCCTGAGGACCCGACATCTCCTGGGAGAACAAGAGCATGATGAGGCTGGTTCTGTCAGTGCTGGAAAAACTGCAAACTACATTCAACTGCTGCTCCAAGAAGGAGCTGCTACTGCCAGGGTGAAGAGGTGAGACTAGAGTGACACTGACAGGTACAGAAAACCCACAGGAAGCAGACAGGAAGGAAGGAGGCCTTTCTTTCTCTCTCACCATGCTGTTCCCTCTGGGGCCTCCCGTGGGAAGGGCCTAATGTGGAGCCAGCTGGCAAAGCAAAACTGTGGTTGGCAGAGTCCTAGCCCAGCATCACAAAGCAAGCACAGAAGGGCAGGTTTGGAGCTGAGAGACAATAAGTGAAGAAGGTCTCCCAAAACATTTTGTTTACTGTAATATGTACAGCCATTATCCAAACCATTCATCCAGAGGGATTCAATCTCTTAATAGATTCATCATCAGGCAGTGTCTAGGGGCATAGCTAGTGGATTTGTTTGGGATTCCCAATGGGCAAACAATAGCAGCCATAGCCATCTGCTGCCACGGTCTTACAGCAATGAGCACAGAGGTGGCTGTCACCATTGTCAATCTCAGGTCAGGACGGGTTTCTAAATCGGGTGGGGAGCAATGGAGACCTCTTGGTTGTAGCCCCACTGTGGCTGTGGAAATTGGCCTATCTATATGGTTGGTTTCACTTCTCCAGTGAAGTCTGGGATTCTGACCCAGAGACCACTCAAAACCACAAACCAGTCTTCCCTGAGCACTTGTCAATCTCCCAGGATTGGAAACGTGGCTAGCCATTGTGCTGAACAAACAAGACTCACGGAGTGTATTCACAAGCAAATTTATTTGATTTCCCACTGTTCTTTTTCATCTGCCCGGGGAAGCCAGATCTTCCTCTGCCCCAGATGAAATTTAGAGCAAGTCTATGACTTTCTGGTCACACTTAGTAATATCAGCAATCTTCCGGTCACTTTAAACCACATAGTACGCATTTAGTAACTAAATTATTCAGTCCCATAACTTCTTGCTTTAAAGTTGAAACTTCTCCCCCATCCCAGCTCAGGATCCTTGAAAGGTGAAGACAAAGGAGACTGGGGAAAGGGTATGTGGTCAGCTGCTAACATTTCTCCTCCTCCTTCCCCAGATTACTAGCCATGAGTCCTGCCTCTTTCAGAGCTGGAGTCCTGCAAATGAGAAGAGGCCAGGGAAGCAGGAAAGTTCTTGCTTGACTGGCCCTGGCTTGGGAATTTAGCATCTGCTCGCTCTGGACTTGGCAAATAATTGACAGCTGACTCTCACCAGGTCTTTGCAGTGACCTTCCGGCCACTGAGGAGCTCTTCCCTGCAGTTTGCTTCACAGGACAAATGCTTTCCATGCTTGCTACTCACTCACTCCTTCCTCAACCCTCTGAACCTGGTGATACCTTGAGCTTCTCTCTGAGAGGCCAGTTTGCCCCTCCATGCAGCACTCTTGAACAATCTAAGATAACCCCTCACTGCCAGGCCTTTCCTGGATGTGGCCCACATTGGCCACACACATACACACACCCTCTATCATGACAAATTTGGAGAGCACAGGGTGTCCTAGCCTCCTCCTTTGGCCTCCACCTTACTCCACAGTCAAAGCTAGGGTCAGCCTATTGCTGTCCTTTGGCTTTTTCAGATGGGAACTGGACGCCTGTGCACTGAGTTCCCTAAGCTACAAGAAATGTGTATTAAGCCCTCTCAGTGGACAATTGAAACCCCATTCCCTGAGCTTGTGATGAGGTCCCTATACTTCCTCTCTTCTCCTATGGGACTCACAACCCACCAAAAACTATGTCCGGAAATCCTCCTTTCTCATCTGCCAGACTGGCCATTCTATCACCATGAATGCAGAGTGCAAGAGTCAAAACTAGTTAGTTTTTTCTTGCCTGCTTTCTCCCCACTCTGCACGTGGTCTTGTGCCTAGCTTAAAATGCCATTGCTATTGTCTTCAGGCCTTAGCAGAACTTCTTTGTTAATATCTTGTTACATGTTTACGTTGAGAAAAAAATGAATAAAGTAACCGGATTGCTTTATTATTCTACAAGCAACAATATGCTCAAAGCTTCATATTCTCAAAGCTTCCAAACACGAGTAAAATGGCTAGAACATGACTTTTTAGGTCCTGCAGGAACTGTTCAGATAGAGGAGAGGAGAAATGTTGCGAAACTTCCTCCAGGGCTTTGGAATCATCTCTCAGCTGAAATTACTAAACTCTTTCTAATCCTTTGGAGAAGGATCTAAAACTCTGGGACGGTTTCAAGGGTTACCATCTACCTCACTGGTTTACCATGAGGATTAAATCAGATAATGGTATATGCAAACATAATTTGTAATTGTGTAAACTAGAAGGTAAACACACAGACGTGTATGGGACAATCATAGCTATGGATACTTTAAAGGAATTTTAATTACCTAGAATTTCTAAAGAGCTCTCAGCAGGTATTTACAGTTCAAAGAGGAAATTTTGCTCTTTCAGACTAGATCTGGAGCAAACAATGGGGCTGTTTGGCAAGTGTTTCTGAGAAAACAGTCCACCTAGAGTGTACATTAGCAACAGTGAGAGATTACAGGGTAGGTGGCAGACAGGGCCCACCCCAGGTGTGGCCTACCCCAGGGTCACCTGCATGCTGTTCTCAGTGTACCTGCTCTGGCCTTCGGAGAGGGCTTGTCCCTCAGGCGGAGAGGCAGTGAATCCCCCAGGAGCGGTCTTACTGATGCAGGATGGGGCAAAGTTCCCCAGGGACCATTCTGAGGTGTGTTCCAATTTCTCAGGGCCTGCCCTTCCATGGTAACCTGTTCCCCAGCACCTTTATTGACTTGCCTCCCTTCCCTACCTCTTTCCTCATTCTCTCAGAGCTTTCTAGGATCACAAACCAACTGCTTGCACTCAAACCTTTGCCCCAGCTTCCTTCGCACCAAGCGTGATCTTAATCATTTTTCCCAATACTTCATTCATAGTAATTTTTTTTTATTTTTATTTTTTTGAGATGGAATCTTGCTCTGTTGCCCAGGCTGGAGTGCAGTGGCGCGATCTCGGCTCACTACAAGCTCCACCTCCCGGGTTCACACCTTTCTTCTGCCTCAGCCTCCCGAGTAGCTGGGACTACAGGCACCTGCCACCACGCCTAGCTAATTTTTTGTATTTTTAGTAGAGACAGGGTTTCACTGTATTAGCCAGGATGGTCTCCATCTCCTGACCTCGTGATCCGCCCGCCTTGGCCTCCCAAAGTGCTGGGATTACAGGCGTGAGCCACCGTGCCCAGCCCATTCATAGTAATCTTAAAAGTATGTGCTGTTGGCTGAGCATGGTGACTCACGCCTGTAATCCCAGCACTTTGGGAGGACAAGACAGGCAGATCACCTGAGGCTGGGAGTTCGAGACCAGCCTGACCAACATGGAGAAACCCCGTCTCTACTAAAAATACAAAATTAGTCGGGCGTGGTGGCACATGCCTGTAATCCCAGCTACTCGGACGGCTGAGGCAGGAGAATCGCTTGAACCTAGGAGGAGGAGGTTGTGGTGAGCTGAGATCACGCCATTGCACTCCAGCCTGGGCAACAAGAGTGAAACTCTGTCTCAAAAAAACAAAAAGTAGGTGCTGTTATGATTCCTTACTTTATAGATGAGGAAACTGAGGCACCGAGACTTGCTGAAGGTCACATAACTTGCAAATGATAGAGCAATTTGCTTCTAGAATCCACACTCTCAATTACTCACTGTACTTTTCCAACTATTGACTACCAAATAAGCCGACCCAGGGAGCCTGGTATCATTCATCGAATTGTTTTGAGAAGCCTAACTCAGGGATTGCTGAAAGGCAGAAGAGTGTAGTAAGATCAGTGAAGATTTGAGAACTGAAAGCCTGAGTGCAAAACCACATTCTACCTCCACTTATCAGCTGAATGACCTCAGGCAAATCACTTCTGTGACTCTCAGTTTAAACCTTACTTGTAACACCAAGTGATGGTGGGGTAGTGAAAAATCATGCCTGACTTATGGGGTTTTGGTGAGGTTGAAATGAGGTGAAGCTTTGGAGCATTTGGCAAACTGTGATGGAAGATTCTGGATGCCATGACACCTGGCTTCTGATTCCTTCCTCTGTAGAGCCAGCCCTTTAGCCCATCTTCCAGGACATAGGACTGTCACCTGCTCCTTCCTTAAAAGAGTCAGTGTGATGTAAGTTAGGATGATGTAGGTGTGTAGTGTGCTTGTTAGCATGGTGTAGGTTTGGTATGGTGTAAGTATTGTATAATGGTGGAAGTTTGGAATCTGATAGTAATCCGAATCCCAGCTCTGCTATTTCTACCTTTAAAAAAAACCCCCCACAAAACAGACCAAAAAACGGCCAGGTCATTGCATCTGTGCAAGGGCTCAGTTTTTTCATCTGTAAAATGGGAATAGTAAGACAGGCCTGTGGAAAGGGCTAAGGCATTGCACAGAAAATGCTTAGCACAGCCCAGCACGTGTTCGTGCTCAAAACATGGGAGTTAATTATTACTATTGAGTTTATGTGGGAAAAATAGAGCTATCCAAAGACGGGAAAAATAGAGCTATCCAAAGACAGGAAAAAAGAAGGTTGATTTGACTGATTTCACAGGATATTTATTATGAGAATTATTAGGTTTCTCCATCCACTCGAGAGAAAGTGAGAAAGCCTCAATCTGTCATTGTGTTCCTGTCTACATTCAAATTCCACACATCTTAGTGGGGGTTAAGGATAGGGAGGGTTGGAAGAGAAAATAGTTTTGGAAGCCATTATGGAAAGCAACAATGACACAACACAAAAGAGAGCTATAGCAGTGAACACCCATTGAATTCCTTAAATATAAACAAAAGCTTTATTTCTGAATCTTGCCTCCCTCCACCCCAATCAAACAAGAAGAATGTGGGGAGGCAGCGGAGGGGGGCTGTGAAGAGGGCTGGGTAGGAGTGCAGGGAGACAGCAGGGCTAAAAAGACCTCCCTCTGCAGCCGGGGGTGGAATATGCAAGGGGCTGGGCCGGGGCAGAAATGTGGGCGCGGAGGGAAAGAAGGTCGGAGCCACAGGGGAGGTGAAAGAGAAAGCCGGCTATGGCCTCCTGACTGAGCAGCGCGCCTGATCCGTGGCTCCCTTCCTCCGTGGGCCCGCCCAGCCCTAGGGGTTCACGGGAGAGGACCTGTTGGTCTCCCTGGCTCTGTGAGAACCACTTTACTTTGCTCAGGGGGCTTAAGTGCCTATTTGAAACTCAGCACTTGTTAACTTGTCACGGCATAAAAGAAGGGAGAGAGGCCTGACATTTTCCCAACCCCTGAAAGTGAAAGAAGAAAGGGCTCTTTACTTTCAGGGCCACATCCTGAATGACGGGGTCAGTGTCTGCAACTGATCCGTGTGGGCGCAGACTTCTAATTATTTCCTGGATAACCTGTTATCTATTATCCATCGGGCTGCTTGCCAGAGTATGCTAATGTCTCCATCGTTTCTGGTCTGGATTCTGAGGAGCGGGTTTTTGTTTTTTGTTTTAAAGGGGAAGTAGAGTTGGGGGGCAGGCAGCTGTAAGATTCCCGGTAGCAGGAAGGCTGTCCTCTCCTCTGCCGTTAGACTGCATGATGGGGAGCAATGCCCAGGAACCCACGCTGATGCCCCGCGGAAACCGGCAGTCACTCCTCTTTCTCTTGGCTACTTGACTTACGCTCTTCTGGGAGTCTTAGCTTTATCGGAAACTTCTGGAAAAGCTTCTGAGAGAGAAATGTTTTTCTGGACTGCTCTCATTTGCTTGGAGAACAAGGAAACTCTTCAAATAACGTTTTGTTTGGGGACAGGAGGGAAGGGAGGGAGTCAGAATTCAATAGGCCTGTTCTTCTGTTGAGTGGGGGCAGAACTTGGCTGTCATCCAGGTGAGCTCCGTATCAACCATCAGTTACACCCCTGGCCTCTATTATTTGTACTAAGGCACAATGAAATGTCATTGAGTGGGAGGAGTACACAACTATAGGGCATAATTCTTTTTCTTATTATAAAAATAGCATACTTCTGATTCAAGCAACAGAGTCAGAAAAATAAGTACATTTAAAACATTAAAAAATTTTTAAGGTATTGCATGTTTATTTTAAAAATTGAAACTCATACACTGTATACATGTATCAAAATATCACAGTTTCCCATAAATATGTACAATTATTATGTGTCAATTAGAAATAATGATAAAAGCCTGTAATCCTAGCACTTTGGAAGGTGGAGGTGGGCGGATCACTTGAGGTCAGGAGTTCAAGACCAGCCTGGCAAACATGTATAAACCCTGTCTCTACCAAAAATACAAAAATTAGCCGGGCGTGGTGGCAGGCGCCTGTAATTCCAGCTACTGGAGAGGCTGAGGCAGGAGAATTGCTTGAACCTGGGAGGTGGGGGTTGCAGTGAGCTGAGATTGCGCCACTGCACTCCAGCCTGGGTGACACAGCGAGACTCCTTCTCAAAAAATAAAAAATAAAAAAATTATAATAATGATAAAAGCCAAAAAAAAAATTGAAAACTCCAAGAAGAGCAAAAAGAAACCCAAAAGTTCATTCCACAGAGATAATCACTGTTAATATTTTGGTGTATCTTCTTCAACCTTTTAAAATAATGCTAATTTATATCTGCAAGAAACAGGGTGTTTGATTTAAAAGAATACAATGGTGCCCTGTGATTGTTTGGCTGCATCTAGGAGATAATGTGTCCTTTAGCATTGGGGATTAGGATTAACTTTCTCAAATCCTCAGAGGGTCAGTTTTATGAGGCTAAGATAAAGCAAGGCTCCTAGTCCAGCGGGCTCCAGTAGTGTCTAAAATCCAGGACCTTTGGTTTTAAGCACTTATTTCACTTATGTGCATGAAAAGAAGGAGGAAGTTCAGGTGAAGCTGCCCAGGAGTAGAGAAAGACTGCATGTGAATTCATGTGATCAGAAAGCAAACAGGCAGATACTGAACCAGCCGTCCCATGGTAAACATCTAGAAAACTAGACAAAGTACATGAAACGACTGTGTTCACACATCTCAGATATTTCCTGAGAGAAGTGAAACAAATGAGGCGATCCCTACATTGCCGCAGCTTTTTGCCTAGAAGCACATTCCAGACTACTACCTGGAGACGGGAAGCCAAGCAGAACACAGAAGTCTTGCTGAGTTGAGGAGACAGAGACCCAAGGTGGTTGGAATTTGCCAGGCAGATTACCAGGGAGGAGAGAACTGCACAAAGACCTCTAGACACTTGACAAAAGTACTTGTCTAAAGTATTTGGTTGAATACTAGGCTACACATGCCCATGGTAAGGCTCCATGAGTCTGGATAAATAGCAACAATGGGAAATAACAAATACTGGTGAGCTATAAACTGAGCGCTTCCAGAAGCCTATACGTAGTTGGAAGTTTTTTGAGCTCTAGCCAGCTAGCCAGCTAGAATAAATTATTTATTTATAATAATAAACTATTTATTATTAAATATAATAAACTATTGTAGCCAGCTAAAATAAATAGTTCAGTGGGGTCTCACTGAACACCTGGGACATTTAGTAGAGACCCCAGAAAACCTAGGCCTTAGGAGTAAGACTTAACTAGCTCTAGAGAGAAGGTTTCTCTAGGCCTGCTCTCACAAAGCTTGAAAACAAGCCCCAAAAGGATCATGATGATCATTAAGAAACTTAAACTACCTCACTAAAATAAAAAGGACAGTCTCTCAACACCATAACCCTTATAATGTTCAGCATCCACTAAAAAGTTTTTTTTTTTTAGGCGGAGTCTTGCTCTGTCACCCAGGCTGGAGTGCAGTGGCGTGATCTCTGCTCACTGCAAGCTCCGCCTCCCGGGTTCATGCCATTCTCCTGTCTCAGCCTCCCTAGCAGCTGGGACTACGGGCGCCCACCACCATGCCCGGCTAATTTTTTGTATTTTTAGTAGAGACGGGGTTTCACCGTGTTAGCCAGGATAGTCTCAATCTCCTGACCTCGTGATCCTCCTGCCTCAGCCTCCTAAAGTGCTGGAGTTACAGGCATGAGCCACCACACCGGGCCTAAAAAGTTTCTTTAAAATTTTTTTTTGGGCCGGGCATGGTGGCTCATGCCTGTAATCCCAGCACTTTGGGAGGCCGAGGCGGGTGGGTCACCTGAGGTCAGGAGTTCGAGACTAGCCTTGGCCAACATGGTGAAACCCCATCTCTACTAAAAATACAAAAATTAGTCCGGCATGGTGGCACATGCCTGTAATCTCAGCTACTCAGGAGGCTGAGGCAGGAGAATCGCTTGAACCTAGGAGGTGGAGGTTGCCGTGAGCCAAGATGGTGCCATTGCACTCCAGCCTGGGTGACAAGAGTGAAACTTCGTTTTAAAAAAATTTTTAATTTTTCATTTTTGGGGTTACATAGTTGTGTATATATTTATGCGGTACATGAGATACTTTGATACAAGCATGGAATGCATAATAATCCCATCATGGAAAATGGCATATCCTTCTCCTCAAGCATTTATCCTTTGTGTTACAAGCAATCTAATTACATTCTTTTAGTTATTTTAGAATGTATAATTAAATTATTTTTTATTATAGTCTCCCTATTCTATCAAATACTAGGTCTTATTCATTCTTTCCAACTTTTTTTTGGTACCCATTACCCTACTCTACCTCTCCCCCATCTCCTCCCTGCCCCCCGCCACAAGCCTTCCCAGCCTCTGGTAACCGTCCTTCTAACTGACTTATCTCCATGAGTTCAATTGTTTTGATTTTTACATCCCACAAATAAGTCAGAACATGTAATGTTTGTCTTTCTGTGCCTGGCTTATTTCATTTAACATAATGACCTCCAGTTCCAGCCATGTTGCAAATGATAGGATCTCATTCTTTCTCAAAGCTGAATAGTACTCCATTGTGTATATCTACCACGTTTTCCTTATGCATTCATCTGTGGATGGATATTTAGGTTGGTTTCAAATCTTGGCTATTGTGACAGTGCTGCAACAAACATGGGAGTGCAGACATCTCTTCAATACACTGATTTCCTTTCTTTTAGGTTCATACCCAGCAGTGGGATTGCTGGACCATATGGTAGCTATATTTTTAGTTTTTTGAAGAACCTCCAAACTGTCCTTCAGAGTGCTTGTACTAATTTACATTCCCACCAACACTGTACATGGATTCTCTTTTCTCCACATCCTCACCAGCATTTATTATTGCCTGTCTTTTGTATATAACCCATTTTGACTGGGGTGAGATGATATCTCACTGTGGTTTTGATCTGCATTTCTTTGATTATCTGTGATGTTGAGCACCTTTTCATATACCTGTTTGCCATTTATGACTTCTTTTGAGAAATGCCCATTCAAGTCTTTTGGGCATTTTTTATTGGAGTATTAGATTTATTTTCCTGTAGAGTTGTTTGAGCTCCTTCTATATTCTGATTGTTAATCCTTTGTCAGATGGGTAATTTGCAAATATTTTCTCCCGTTCCGTAGGTTGTCTCTTCACTTTGTTGGTTGTTTCCTTTGCTGTGCAGAAGCTTGTTAACTTGACGTGATCCCATTTGTCCATTTTTGCTTTGGTTGTCTGTGCTTGTGGGGTATTACTCAAGAAATATCTTCCCCAACCAATGTCCTGGAGAGTTTCCCCAATGTTTTCTTTTAGTAGTTTTATAGTTTGAGGTCTTAGATTTAAGTCATTAATCCATTTTGATTTGATTTTTGTAGAGACAGAAGGGAGGGTTAAAGGGGAGGAAAAGCAGTCTTTCAGTCCACCTTTCCCCTCCTGGGTACCTTCTGGACTAATCCCTGCTCAGTAGTGGAAGCAGAGGGGGCTCCTTCCCTGCATCCTGTCTCCAATGCCTCCAAGGCGCCTGGGGAGGACAAGCGTGAGGAGGAGAGGGAGTGGATGTTGGGTCCTCTGCCAACCAAGCCAGGACAGGGAAGGGGGTTGGCTTTTCCCTTGGGCCAGCAGAGGTCCCTCAGCAGAGAGAGAAGGAGGACCACTTCACTGGCAAGGTCAGGAGCAGTATCAGCACCAAGGGTAAGACTAAACTTAGCAAGGCATACTGAGAGATGCACACTGAGGTCAACGAGACATTAGAACTCACTGGTGAGTTGGACTCCTAGGAGCAAGGGGTGCTCAGCTTTCCAAGTGTTAGAGGGCAGTACCCCTTGGGTTCGGACTGACCTCTCTGCAGCACCACGGGGTCCTGTCCCAGCTCTCAGCAGGCATTGGGGCCCTGGCTCTGCTACAGCAGGGGCTACATAGCTCTCTGCTGTTGGGGTTGCACTGCCCAGGAGAACACTCTTGGAATGAGTGTATTAAGAGATTGCAGTGGTCATTGAAACTGCAGTTTTCCACAACCTCATAGTATAGTGGGAGAGCTGGGCTCCAGTGTCTAAAAAGTTTCCTGACATCCGAAAAAGCAGGAAAAATGTACTGAGAGAGATGATGCAATTAGTAGGCAAGAAACTTAAAGCAGCTATTGTACGTATGCTCAAAGATTTAAAGGAAAACATAAATATAATGAAGAGAGAAATAGAAACTATAAAAAGGAAACAAATGGAACTTTTAGAACTGAAAAAATACATCTGAGATGAAAAATTAGGTACTGCAAAGGAACTTGAAGACATAGCCATAGAAACTATCCAAAAGGCAGCACACAAAGAAAAAGAAGGAGCAAAGTCTCAGTGATCTGTGGGACATCTCAAGGTCTGATATACATGTAATGGGAGTACATGTATATGGCAAGAGGCAAGAGGCAGAAAAAAATATTTGACGAAGTAATAGTTGAAAAACCTTCCAATTTCAACCCATAGAGTCAAGAAATTTAACCATTCCCCTAGCAGAATAAATACAAAGAAAACTACATGAAGGCAGTCAAATTGCTGAAAACCAATGATACAAAGAAAGTCTTTAAAACAACCAGAGAGGCCGGGCACAGTGGCTCATGCCTGTCATCCCAGCACTATGGGAGGCCAAAGTGGGTGGATCATGAGGTCAGGAGTTTGAGACCAGCTTGGCCAACACGGTGAAACCCCATCTGTACTAAAAATACAAAAAATTAGCTGGGTGTGGTGGCGGGTAACTGTAATCCCAGCTACTCGGGAGGCTGAGGCAGGAGAATGGCGTGAACCTGGGAGGCAGAGCTTGCAGTGAGCCAATATGGTGCCACTGCACTCCAGCCCAGGCGACAGTGCAAGACTCCGTCTCCAAAAAAAAACCAAAAACAAAACAAAACAACAACCAGAGAAAAAAGACACAGAAAGCAAATCAGAGGTTGCCCGGGGTGGAGAGATTATGACGCAGGTGTTCCATGTCTTCACAGCAGTGGTAATGGTGGTGGTTGTGGTGTATGTGTGTTTGGATTTTAGAAATCATTAGTTCATACTAACACATCCAGTTCCAATCTAACCCACCCATAATTATATCTTCCCTCTTCCATAGTTAAGAACTCTGGCTCCGGCCGGGCATGGTGGCTCACGCCTGTAATTCCAGCACTTTGGGAGGCTGAGGCAGGCAGATCACGAGGTCTGGAGGTCGAGACCATCCTGGCTAACACGGTGAAGCCCCGTCTCTACTAAAAATACAAAAAATTAGCCGGGCATGGTGGCGGGCGCCTGTAGTCCCAGCTACATCAGCTCCCAGGAATGCTAAGGAAGCAGGGTGATGTGGGGGAACGGAAAACACGCCCAGGCCCAGCACAGCCACCAGCTGTGGGCATGTGACCTGTGCTCAAACCCTTCTCCTTTCTAGGCCTGTTTCCGTCTCCAGTCGAGGAATCTCTGTGGACTTACTCCATTCAGAACATTTATGACTCCGAGAGGAAGCCGATGTACTACTTCTCTTGGAGGGTGACGTGGGAAGGTCCATCTCCAGATGTGGCCTTATTTGGCTAGCCAATGCAATGACCAGGTGTGTTCCAGAAAAGTTCAGCAGTGAGAAGCCAGACTGTGAATGACCCAAGAGCAGGGATGAGGACTTCTCTAGCTTTCAGTTCTTGCCTCAGGCATAAAACCTGGCACCTAAAACTTTGTTTAGCTGAACAAAGGGATTCTGGGAATGACTTTTTTTTTTTTTTTGCTTTGATCTCCCAGATTCCACCACCTTTGCTCATGGAAAGGAACTGATTGTGAATATTTTAGCCAGCAGGCCTATAAATGCTACCTTCTGAGGAGCTGAAAAAGAATTTGAATTGTTTCTCATCAGAGATAGCTGGGCCATAGAATAGTGCTGAAACTGGGTGACAGGAAACTTTGGTGCAAGTTCCTTGGGTCTGTCTGAGACCTCAGGCCTCTGCAGGGTGTCATAGCCCCTCATCTTCTTTTAGAATCACTGCCATCTCCTGCCTGGGGTTGGGAGGTCACACAGGAACACAGGAGGGGAGGGAGGGAACTTCTGGGGTGATTGTGAAAGAGATGCAGGAATTGGAAGAGAGAAAGAAGTGGGAGGGGAGAGAGAGAGATAGGAGAGAAAGAAGTGGGGAGAGACAGAGAGAGACAGGAGCAAAGGAGAAAGATTGATTTTAACAGTAGATTATTTCCCTCCAGGGAATTTTCAAAGGCAAAACAAAAACAAAACCCACAAATACCATTTTTTCCCTCTTTATCTCTGCTGTGGTCTGAAGGTTTGTGTCTCCTCAACATTCTTGTGTTGAAACTTAATCCCCAGTGGGATCCTATTGAGAGGTGTGGTGTTTGGAAGCATATAGGGAAGGACGGCTTCATCCTCACAAATGGGATGAGTGTCCTTAAGAGGCCTGAGGGAGCTTGTTCTCCCCTTCAGCCATATGGGGACACATAAAAGGAACCATCTATGTTCATCTTGAACAGCAGGCTCTCACCAGACATTTAATCTGCTGATGCTTTGAACGTGGACTTCTCAGCCTCCAGAAGTGTGAGCAATACATTTCTAGTGTTTATACATTACCCAGTCTAAGGTATTTCGTTATAGCATCCCAAACTGACTAAGACAATCTCTTTCCTTCCTGCCCACCTCTCCCAACTCCACTGTCCCCCTCCCGCCCACGAACAGAAATTTTTGAACTAGTGCAGAGATTGCTGAACAGGGGCTCCCAACAATCCACTCTTGGATCAATAAGAAGTTTAAGAGATAAACCATCCATGCAGAGGGCCCCCAGCTAGGAGACAGGAGGCACTCTCAGCCCCATCACTCCCTAGCTGTGTGAGCCTAAACAAGGTGCTTTTGCAAGTGTGGATCATTGGGAAGGACTGCTTCTTTCCCCTTCCTGATATGTCCTTCCCTGGGCAGGGAACTCTCCTAAGGGAGCCCTCCTGGCTTCTGTCTGCCCTATAGTCACGCCTTCCCAGGGAGGAGGACACAACAGTTAACTTCCCTTTGCCTTTGTTCAGCCAGCTCTATGCCCACACGGTGACCTATATGGATTACATGAGCGGGATCTCTTATCTTCTGGCCTCCCTTGTAGGGAGGAGGATATGAACCCCACACTCCCTTCCCGCAGGTGGCAGCAGGCTGGCCACAGAACACCCCTTGACTGAAGGCGGTCCCTCCTATCAGATGCTTCTCTTTCTTCGGATTCTGGTAACTGCTCCCTCTGCCTCCATTTCAGCTCTGGGATATTGCACTGTCCTTTGTGGATTCTCCATGCTCTGCCCACACTTTTGTGAAGAATCCTCTTATTAGATTTTTATTCAAATTACACAGTTAGAATATGTCAGCTATCCCTGAATGACAGGAGGGGTGACTGAATTCCACTGGTGAGTTTAGGAGAAATTTGGCCTATTTCAATGCCTTCCTCTTTCTTTCTTCTTAGGGGCCGGTCTTTCTACATTGTTGTGCGATGAAGTGGCGCTACCTCCCCCTGTAGAGAGGCCTGCCCTCCCCAGCACTACCTGAGCGCCTATTCTTTCTTTTTCTTTTTCTTTCTTTTCTTTTCTTTTTTTTTTTTTTTTTTTTGACACAGGGTCTTGCTCCATCACCCAGACTGGAATGCAGTGGTAAACATGACTCACTGCAGCCTTGACCTCCCAGGCTGAGGTGATCTTCCCACTTCAGCCTCCTTAGTAGCTGGGACTACGGGCATGCACCATCACACCCGGCTAATTTATTTTTTGTAGAGATGTGGTCTCACCATGTTGCCCAGGCTGATCTCTAACTCCTGAGCTGAAGTGATCCACCCACCTAGGCCTCCCAAAGTGCTGGGATTACAGGAGTGAGCCACTGTGCCCAGCCTGGGTGCCAGTTCTAACTCATTCTGGGCTTTGGTATTAGGCAGCCCTAAGACAGAAATATATTATTACTCAATATCAGCATTTATATCAGTAATAAATAGGGTCTCCATTTGTTAACTAATTTGTCCTATTTCTCAGCTGGTGGAGGACTTGGGTTGGTAGGGGGTGTTACTGGGCCCCCTCAAATACCTCACATGGGTAGATAGCCTCCCTGGCCGCTCAGGACCACTGGGTGGAAGAGGCTGTCACATGAGCCCTTATGTAATGGCTATTAGGAAACTCTCTTTAAGATAGCTGTGGCTTCTCTTTTCCCAGTGGTATCCTGCCCTTTCCAGAGGAGGCTGCCGTGAGGTGATTGGAAGGAATGTGTCCTGGTCTCCATCAGAGCTGTTGAGTCAGTCACTTGGCCGCTCAGCAGAATTGCTCAAGTAGACTGGGAAGGAGACCCCAGGATAGTTCATGAGTGGCTATGTTACTGTCCCATGGCAGTGCCGAGAGGAGACGCTCATGCACAAAGGGGATCAGAAGCAGGCTTAGGAAGCCCAGCCCTGCAAGCCAAGGGCAAAGGCCAGCCTGCTGTCACCTGCAGGAAGGGAGTGCGGGTTCATATCCTCCTCCTCAGGAGGGAGGCCAGAAGATAAGAGATCATGCTCATGTAATCCACACAGGTCACCCCGTGGGTATAGAGCTGGCTGAACAAGGGCAAAGGGGAGATAGCTGCTGCGTCCTCCTCCCTGGGAAGGCATGACTACAGGGCAGACAGAGGCCAGGAGGGCTCCCTTAGGAGAGTGCCCTGCCCAGGGATTACTAAGGAGGGGCCGTATTCTAGTCTCTCAGTGAAGAGGAGTGGGCAGTTGTACAGGGGAAGAGCCCCGACAACCCTCTGAGCTTCCAGGTCCTGTTGTCCAGCCAGTGGGTTACCCAGGGGAACTCTTTGCTCTTTTGCCTTCTTCTAGGTCCTGCCTCTGCTACTAGTGTTTGGAAATGCTCATTAATTTTAATACTAACATGGGGAAAGCTAATTAGGAAGGTGAATCCACTGCAAAATAAATTATCTGATGCATTTACAAAGGAATGAATTATCTATTGTTCAGGATTGCTCTGCTCCACTCCCCTTCCATTAGCACAGCTCAGAGCCAGCCGGGTGTGAGCTGCACTTGTTCTTCCACTGTGGGGGCCAGAGGATGCTGTAGACAATAAGCATGAATAAGCTTCAAGGAGGAAGAGGTCCTGTTAGGCCAGGGCAGACAGAAAGCCTTCATAGAGCTGGGAATTGAACTAATTTTTAGCTGGGGGAGATATTCTACAACATAATTTGTCATGACTATTCATGATTCCATTGTATAGTTTTTACAATTTGGTCAATCACCTATTGTTGAGTCAATCCCCTATTGTTGAACATCGAAGTTATTTCTATTTTTTGTTGCTATAAATAATACTGTAATGAACATCCTTATATACATATTTTTACATATTTATCCAATATTTAAAGGATATTTTTCTTGAAAGGGAGTTGATGAGTCAAAGGGTAGGCACATATTTTATTTTATTTTATTTTATTTTATTTTTATTTTTATTTTTTTTGAGATGGAGTCTCACTGTGTTGCCCAGGCTGGAGTGCAGTGGTGCAATCTTGGCTCACTGCAAGCTCCGCCTCCCAGGTTCACGCCATTCTCCTGCCTCAGCCTCCCGAGTAGCTGGGACTACAGGCGCCCGCCACCACGCCCAGCTAATTTTTTGTATTTTTAGTAGAGACGGGGTTTCACCGTGTTAGCCAGAATGGTCTCGATCTCCTGACCTCGTGATCGGCCTGCCTTGGCCTCCCAAAGTGCTGGGATTACAGGCGTGAGCCACCGCGCCCGGCCATTATTTTTATTATTGTTTTTGAGGCAGGGTCTTGCTCTGTTGCCCAGGCTGGGGTGCAGTGGTGTGATCATGGCTCACTGCAGCCTGGACTATCCTGGGCTCAAGCTATCCTCCTCCCTTAGCTTCCTGAGTAGCTAGGACTACAGGTGTGTGCCACCACACCCAGCTAATTTTTGTATTTTTAGTAGAGACAGGGTTTTGCCATGTTGCCCAGACTGGTCTCGAACTCCTGGGCTCAAGTGATCTGCCCACCTCAGCCTCCCAAAGTGCTGGGATTACAAGCATGAGCCACTGTGTCCAGCCCACACATTTAAAAAATCATTTTTTTTTCTGATTGCCAAAGTAATACTCACCGTAAAACATTCAAACACAAGATTGTGCTTGAATGTGTTTGAATGTTTTACGGTGAGTATTACTTTGGCAAAAAAAAAAAAAAAAAATAATCAGAGCATCATTGGTTTTGAAAATGAAAGTCTCCTATAGTTTCACATCTCAGAATTATTTTATGCTGACTTTTAAAAATGAGACACTAACATGTAACAGAAACACCTCTGAAGACTTACTTTTCATCACACTTAGAATGGACACCAGAGCCCAGAGCCCACACCACGGCCACATCTCCCTCCACTCTTTCCTCCCCCTACTTTGCTCCAGCTGCTGTGGCTGCCTTGCAGTTTTAGAACCAGTTAAACACGGCAATACTGTAGGCCTCTGTGATGGCTGGTTCTTCCGGTCAGAATATCCTTGCCCCAAATATTCAGGTAATTCCCGCCCTCACTTTTATTCAGGTCTCTGCTCAACTGTCACTATTTTGGAAAGCCCCTCTCTAAGCATCCTAAGCAGAATAGCACACCTCATAATTCAGTTTCTTCATACCACGTATCATTACGTGACATTTAATTCTGTCTATTTATTTGCTTACTGTCTATTTAGAAAACTGTGAGAGCAGCCGGGTGCAGTGGCTCACGCCTGTAATCCCAGCACTTTGGGAGCCTGAGGCGGGTGGACCACTTGGGGCCAGGAGTTCGTGACCAGCTTGGCCAACATGGTGAAACCCCGTCTCTACTAAAAATACAAAAAATTAGCTGGGCATGGTGGTGCACGCCTGTAGTCCCAGCTACTCGGGAGGCTGAGGCAGGAGAATTGCTTAAAACCGGGAGGCAGAAGTTGCAGTGAGCCGAGATCGTGTCACTGCACTCCAGCCTGGGCGACAAGAGCGAAACTCTGTCTCAAAAAAAAAAAAAAAGAAAACTGTGAGAGCAAGGACTTTGCCTTGCTCTCTGCATATCCCCAGTACCTGGAACAGAAACTGGCACATAATAGGTGCTTAATAAATGCATGTTGAATGATTGAATAAAATTAAACTCTATAGTTCTGAAACCTGTTTTTGTGTGTGTGGTTAACAGGAGTCTCTTAATAGATAATACCTAGTACTTTTTTCAATTCCCTTATACATTCATTTGAAGTGTGCATTATAAAATTCATTGTTCAACATACAAATGAGTATCATTGACTTTGGGATCAAAGGAAGGGAAAATTATTCAAAAGAGCACTGTATGTATTTACACAGATGAAGCTGCTTTTTTACTGAACGGTATATCATGGACATCTTTTCACATCAATATATAAATCTTTCTAGTCTGCACAGTGGTACACAGTTTATTTACCCAATTCTCTTTTGATGGGCATTTGGATTGTTTCCAATTTTTCTATATTATAGACAATGTTGCATTGCACATCCTTACACATATATCCTTTGCATGCTTTTAATGTTTTATATCTTTTATCTGAGATGATGGAAAAACCTACAAGCATGAATGTCTAGCATGAGATTGGAAATGCAGTCTGGGAGCTGAGAGCTATCTAGCTTGGGGGTAGATTGGAGATTTCTTCACACATATCCAATCACTGAAGTAATAGGAATCCATGAAATATAAAGAAGGAAATCGAGCAAAGCTGGAAAACATGAATCTTAAGCAATGTCTGCACTTAGAGGGCAGGAGGAGGGAGGCAAGAAACTATTCATTTTTGACAGTTATTTCTTGATTGGTATTTTCTGAAGACTGGAAACACAATGACACAGTATGAGTGATGTGGACTTTGTTCCTGCCTTCCTGTGGCATACAGTCTCATGGAAGAGGAACGCAGAAAATAAACAGTGAAATCAGATGATCATAATAGAGTGGATAATACAAGATGACATGGAAGTACATAGGAGGGCAATTGCCACAGACGACAGCCTTAATGGAAAGTGCTCTAGAGGTTACCTCTGAGCTGAGCCTGATGTAAATAGGAGTTAGCCAGGTGAGGTGGTGCGGGTCAGGAGTGAGGAAGACTTCCAAGCTGAAGGAACAGCACTTTCAAGGTTCGGAGTTGTGAGGGAATGTGGCACATCCAGGGCACTGAAAAAAAAAGTTTACTGTGTGTGTCAGGAGACACACACAGTAAAGTGTGTGAGAGTGAGGTGGGTGGTGGGGGAGAGGACTGAGAAGTAGGCAGGGGCCATGATAAGAGGTTTGGCTTTAATTTTAAAGGCAATGAAGAATTTTAAGCAGGGAGGTCGTGAGATCAGTTCTGTAGGTACATTAGACAATGACTCCGACTGCAGTGCGGACAATGTATTGAAGGGTGTGGCATGGGAGAGAATAAGACCAGAGGGTCACCTGGTGGGAACCAGGGAAGAGGGGATATGGCTCTAAGTCAGAGTAATAGTGTTGGGCGTAAAGAGCAGTGGATGGATTCTAGAGGCATTTAGGAGGATTGGGAGGTAGAATTGACAGGACTTCGTTACAGGCTGGATTGAAGGGGAGAATGAAAGTGAAGAATCAAAGATGACAAATGAATGCAAAGAGCAGCTCCTGGTTTGGGTAATCGAGATAGGAAGATAAGCTGGTCCGGAAGGCAGTAAGGATGAAAACTTTACCTCTGGACAAGTCCCGTTTTTTGTGGGATGTCCAAGTAGAGGTGTTAAGCAGACAGGAGAGAAAGATCTGGGCTGGAGACAGCTCGGTGTCACGGGCATCCAGACAGAATTGACACCTTGGTAAATGTGAACTCTATAACATCCGGGACTTTGTCTTCTTCATTGTGATACCTCAGGGCTTAGAACCTTGCCTGATTCGTGGTGTGTGCTCAGTAAATATTTGTGGAGTGAAGGAGTGGATGAGATCACTCGGGGAAAGTGAGGGAAGAAGAAGGCCCAAGCCAGAAAGCCAAGGAGCACAGGGAGTGTCACTGCTGCACAGGAGAAAGAGAGACAGAAGGAGGGAGAGAGAGAGACAGGGAGGAGAGAGAGGGAGAGAAAAGAGAGAGGGAGAGAGAGGGGCATGTCAGGGACACAGAGAGGAAGCAGTCAGGGCAGGAGGAGGAGCTGGGCGAGGAGAGGCAGGAAGTGGTGAATAATGTCAAAGCTGTTGAGAGTAACTCAAAGGGGCAACAAAAGTCCAAGAGATTTGGACAACACGGAGGTCATTAGTAATCTTGAGGAGACTGTTTTCAGAGGACAGAGGAGTGACAAGGAAGGGTGTAAGGGGAGATAAGAAGTATACATGACCCTTTCAGGAAGTTTGACTGTGAATTAGGTATAAAAGGCAGTGAAAACAAGAGTATTTTTTTTAAGAGATGGAGACTTATGGATTTTTTCATGATTTTGAGAAAGAACAGCAGAGAGGAGATTAAAGACTCAACAAGATGACAGGATAATTGTTAGAGAGAGGTGAGGAGATGGGAGGAGATGAGATTTCCTTCAAGATGGAGGAATGGGCTCAAGTCAGTAAAGAGACAAGTTCCATTTTAACCAGAAAAATGAAATGCCGGTTACGATGAATTTCCAGGTTTGCAGGTGAGAAGTTGGGGTGTTTCTATCTGGTGTCCTCCAGACTTTCCTTGAGGCCACCAAGCAATGATGGGGAATGGCTATGGAGTAAGGAAAAGCAGTAGCAGAGCAGTGAAACGGGAGTCAATGGGAAAGAGGGGTCCATCCAGAGACAGGGAAGGCAACACAGGCCCAGTATCATGGAGCGAAGAACATGAGGACTGATGAGGCATAGGGCTGGTCAGTTGGGGATTATTCATAATATCTGAAGTTTCTGGAAAGTGATAGAGGTTGGACCCTCTACTGTCAGGATCTGAGAAATGAGCAGATATGTGAGGAGTGAAGTCAGCAGTTATATATAACTGGAGAGAATTCTGGAAGGGGAAAGCAGGAGTAGAGGGAGTGCTAAGGGTCATCTGAGCTTAATTCAGGATTTTTAAAAGAAGTGCAGCTAGGCTTGGACATGGGGCAGGAGAGGGAGGGTTTGAAATGTTGGAGGAAGAGGCCGGGCACAGTGGCTCACGCCTGTAATCCCACCACTTTGGGAGGCTGAGGCGGGTGGATCACCCGAGGTCAGGAGTTCCAGACCAGCCTGGCCAACATGGTGAAGCCCTATCTCTACTAAAAATACAAAAATTAGCTGGGCGTGGTGGCCGGTGCCTGTAATCCCTGCTACTTGGGAGGCTGAAGCAGGAGAATCACTTGAATTCGGGAGGTGGAGGTTTCAATGAGCCGAGATCACATCATTGCACTCCAGCCTGGGCAACAAGAGTGAAACTCCATCTCGAAAAAAAAAGAAAAAATGGTTGGAGGAAGAAGAAACAGAGAAGCCAGAGGGAGATGAGATCAAATGTGTGGTGGATGAGTTAGCCCTAAAATGTGGAGGGACCCTTCTCTTTTGTGACAGGAAAGAAGCTGGACAGGCTTGGCACACCAGCAGAGAGGTGGAGGTATGGACTCGAAATTCCGGGGAAATTGTTATTTCTCTATGGGTTATGCATGGGAGAGCAGGAGGTACTTGTTCTCTACTTTCCCCAAACCTCTACTTCACAGGCAATAAGACATTTGATGCCCACCCCATCCCTAGCAATCTGACCCACTGGTTAGGTCAAAACCGAGGACTAAGCATTTGGCAGTCTCTGCCCTGGCCCTAACAGTTTGAAAGACTATTGTAGCTCCTGCCTCAGTGCCCCCTTTTGGGAAGGAAGAATCACAGAAAATCAGGGCAGGAAGTGAGCTCAAAAACATGCGGTTCACATCTCAAAGTACACAGATGGGAGAAGTTAAGTCACCATCACCGAGTCTCCCAAGCATTCACCTTTTCTCCCCAGCTGTTAATTTATGACTCTCTTGTGAAACTCTTCATCATCTCTCCATTGTCCATGGAAAGAAGTCCTCAGTCTTCAGCTTGGGATTCAAGGCCCTCCACCATTTGGCCTCACTTGACTGCAAGCCTCAGGTTCTACTTCCCTCTTACACATATAAAACCTTTTCATCTGGGCTAATGTTCTTTCAAATTGGAGCACCTTACCTTCATCTCAAATTAATGTTTGTGTATAGTGTGAAATGACAAAGTTAGTTATTAAGTGATAAAGCTTCTAGAAGAAAACAGGAGAATATCTTCACAACCTTGGAGTAGGCAAATTTTTTCTTAGGTTACAGACAACAATAACTACAAAAGACAAAAAAATCAGACATTTTCAAAATTAGAAATGTCTGTACCCTTAAGAAAATGAATAATAGGCAATTCTCAGACTGGGAGGGAGTATCTACAAAACAAATAATGTTATTAATAAAATAGCATTCCTACAACTTAATAATAAGAAAAGCAACCCATTTTTAAAAAGTGGGCAGACACTTTACAAAGGAAGATATAACAATAACTGATAAGCACATGAACAAATGCTCAACATCACTAGCTAGCAGGAAAATACAAATTGAACAAATGCTCAACATCACTAGCTAGCAGGAAAATACACATCCATAGAACAGCTAAAAATTAAGCTACCTGTGACACCAAATGTTGATGAGGATGTAGAGCAACTGGAATGGTCATAGACCACTTTGAAAAGCAGTTTGGGGCGGGGCACGGTGGCTCACACCTGTAATCCCAGCACTTTGGGAGGCTGAGGGGGGCGGATCACGAGGTCAAGAGATTGAGACCATCCTGGCCAACATGGTGAAAACCCATCTCTACTAAAAATACAAAAAAAGTAGCCGGGCATGGTGGCGCTTACCTGTGGTCCCAGCTACTTGGGAGGCTGAGGCAGGAGAATTGCTTGAACCTGGCAGGCAGAGGTTGCAGTGAGCCAAGATTGTGCCACTGCACTCCAGCCTGGCAATAGAGCGAGACTTCGTTTAAAAAAAAAAAAAAAGCAGTTTAGTAATTTCTTACAGTTAGACAAACACATACTCTGCAACCCAGCAATTAAATGTCTAGGTATTAACCCAGATAAAGAAAAACAGGCCAGGTGTGGTGGCTCTTGCTTGCAATCCCAGCACTTTGGGAGGCCAAGGCAGATGGATCGCTTGATCTCAGGAGTTTGAGACCAGCCTGGGCAATATGGCGAAATCCTGTTTCTACCAAAAAAAAAAAAAAAAAAACAGCAAAAAGTAGCTGGGTGTGGTGGCATGTACCTGTAGTCCCAGCTACTCAGGAGGCTGAGGTGGGAGGATTGCCAGAGCCCAGGAAGTCGAGGCTGCAGTAAGCCGTGATCATGCCACTGAGCTCCAGCCTGGGTGACAAAGCGAGACCCTGTCTCAAAAAATAATAATGAAAAAGGAAAAACATGTGTCCACAAAAAGACTTTTACAAGAATGTTCCTAGCTATGCCACTTAACTAGCTAAGTGTCATATTAGTCAGGGCTCTGCAGAGAAACGGTACCAATAAGATATATAGCCTATCTATCTATCTATCTATCTATCTATCTATCTATCTATCATTTATCTATCATCTTCCCACCTTTCTATATGTGTAGATAGGTAGATAGATAGATATGAAGTTTATTATAAGGAATTGACTTACATGATTATGGAGGTAGAGAAGTCCCAAGATCTGAGGTTGGCAAACTCGAGGCCCAGGACAGCTAATGGTATATTTCCAATCTGAGCCTGAGTTCAAAAACAGAAGACTGATGTGATTTCCTCACTTGAAGATAGTCAGCTTAAGAGAGCAAATTCTCTCTTACTCAGCCTTCTGTTCTCTTCCGGCCTTTAATAGATGGAATGAGGCCCACCCATATTGGGGAGGGCAATCTGCTTTGCTTATCTATCAATTCTCATGTTAATTTCATCCCAAATCTCTCCCTTGCACACACACGCACACGCGCACACACACACACACACACACACACACAATAATGTTTAACCAAATATCTGGGCACCTTGTAGCCCAGTGAAGTTGACATAAAATACTAGCCATCACAAGTCCATCAACTAATCTCATCAACTTGGCACCTATATGTATCTCCTTAAGCCATACTTAATCTCCAAATAAAGACACTAACAAGGCTGTAATTCCACCTAACCTGATACAGCTATTCTGTGTATAACCAAAACACACTAACCCCCTCCCCAGAAGAGGAGCTAAAGTCCTTCAGTGATGTATACTTTCTCTATGAAATCCTGTAACTTAAATACTATGGTATAAAAGTAACTATATGTAAATACTATGACATAAAGTCAATACTTTGTTTTTTTGTTTTTTTGTTTTTAGACGGAGTCTCGCTCTGTTGCCCAGGCTGGAGTGCAGTGGCGTGATCTCAGCTCACTGCAACCTCTGCCTCCTGGGTTCAAGTGATTCTCCTACCTCAGCCTCCTGAGTAGTTGGGATTACAGGTGCACACCACCCACACCCAGATAATTTTTTTGTATTTTAGTAGAGACAGGTTTCAAAGAGAAGAAAACAAAGATATTTCTCTACAAAGAGTAGAGAAGAAAACAAAGATATTTGCTTAGCGTATATGTGGATAGATTTATACACACAAATATACACTCACAAACATATTAATAACAAAATAAAGAGGAAATGCTCATGACAATTACAGCCCTCTGGCCAGGCACGGTGGCTCACACCTGTAATCCCAGCACTTTGAGAGGCCGAGGCAGGTGGATCACCTGAGGTCAGGAGTTTGAGACCAGCCTGGCCAACATGGTGAAACTCCATCTCTACTAAAAATACAAAAATTACCCAGGTGTGGTGGTTCACACCTGTAATCCCAATACTTTGGGACACTGAGGCGGGTGGTCAGATTAGGAGTTCGAGACCAGCCTGACCAACATGGTGAAACCCCATGTCTACTAAAAATACACAAATTAACCAGGTGTGGTGGTTCATGCCAGTAATTCCAGCACTTTGGAAGGCTGAGGTGGGTGGGTCATCTGAGGTCAGGAGTTCAAGACCAGCCTTGCCAACATGGTGAAACCCCATCTCTACTAAAAATACAAAAATTAGCGGGGCGTGGTGGTACACGCCTCTAGTCCTAGCTATTTGGAGGGCTGAGGCAGAAGAATCACTTGAACCTGGGAGATGAAGGTTGTAGTGAGCCGAAATGGTGCCACTGTACTCCAACCTGGGCAACAGAGCAAGACTCCATCTCACATAAATAAATAAATAAATAAATAAATAAATAAATAAATAAATAAATAAAATATATAAATAAATTTTTAAAAATTACAGTCCTTATTTCTGTAACCAGTCACATAGTTGTAGCTTCTTTCACTATCCATTAGGTATTCCCTTTGCCTTCAGCAAGCACCTCAGATGGCATGGTTCTTTACCTTTGAAGTGACCCAAACCTTCATTCCTGAAGGGTCTGAGCCAGTCATAGTCCTGCCCGGATTGGATTGTTGTAGTTTTCCATTGACCTTAATCACAGGACATGCTTTAAGGGATCACTTGTGTTCCAGACAAACTCTTCCTTTTCTCCACTGTGGAGTAGCAGTCCAATTTCCCCTAGGTAGTCAGGATTAATTATGCCAGTCGGCACAGTAACTCCCTTCTTTGCCTGTTGATTTGGAGGCATAAGGAGTCCAAAGTGGCCAGGTGGCAGTCTCAACTTCCAGTTCAATAGAATCATTGTTGTGTCTCCTGGTGGAAACATTCCTCCCTTCAGAACTAAGACCACTAAGCCAGCAGAGCATAAGGTCATGAGAATAGGAAGCAAAAATTTTGCTAGTGGGGCACTAGTGATAATAGTGGGTGTTTCTACTCTATGATTCCTGGAGCTGTGAATCTTGGCTATGGGAAGAAGAACACCATACATTGGACTCTGGTTCAGAGCATATATACAGCCTTCTGGATAACCTTGCTGCAGACCTACAAAGTATTGCCGCTGAGCTGGCACTGTAACTGAGTCTTCAAAAGGCCATTCCATTGTACTTTCAAACCAGCTGCTTCAGGATGGTGTGGAACACGGTAAGATCAGTGAATTTCATGAGCATGGGCCCACTGCTGCACTTCTTTTGCTGTGAAGTGAGCTCCCTGATTGAAAGCAATGCTGTGTGTAATACTATGACGGAGGATAAGACATTCCATAAGTCTGCGGATAGTAGTTTTGGCAGAAGCATTGCATGCAGGGAAGGCAAATCCATATTCAAAGTGTCTATTCCAATAAGAACAAAATGCTGCCCTTTCCATAATGGAAGCCATCCAATGTAATCAGCCTGCCTCCGGGTAGCTGTTTGTTTAGCTGGAGGAACAGTGGCATATCAGGGACTCAGTGTCGGTCTCTGATGCTGGCAAATTGAACACTCAGTGGTGGCTGTAGCCAAATCAGCCTTGGTAAGTGCAGTCCATGTTGTTGAGCCTATGCATAACCTTCATCTCTGCCACCATGGCCATTTTATCCATGAGCCCATTGGGTGATGATGGGATGATTGTGGAAAGAGGCTGACTGGTGTCCATAGAATTAGTCATCCTATCTATTTGATTATTAAAATCCTCCTCTGTGGCAGGGTGCAGCAGCTCACACCTGTAATTCCAGCATTTTGGGAGGTCAAGGTGGGTGGATTGCTTGAGGCCAGGAGTTTTGAGTCCAGCTGGGCAACATGGTGAAACCCTGTCTCTACTGAAAATACAAAAAAAATTAGCCGGGTGTGGTGGTGTGTGCCTGTCATCCCAGCTACTCAGGAGGCTGAGATGGGAGAATCACCTGAGCCTGGGGAAGTCGAGGCTGCAGTAAACCTAAACCAAAATCATGCCACTGCACTCCAGCCTGGGCAATCGGAGTGACACCCTGTCTCAGAAAAATAAATAAATGAAAGGGGCCAGGCGCAGTGGCTCACACCTGTAATCCCAGCACTTTGGGAGGCTGAGGCGGGTGGATCACCTGAGGTCGGGAGTTTGAGACCAGCCTGACCAACATGGAGAAACCCTGTCTCTACTAAAAAAAAAAAATACAAAATTAGCTGGGTGTGGTTGTTCATGCCTGTAGTCCCAGCTATTTGAGAGGCTGAGGCAGAAGAATTGCTTGAACCCGGGAGGTGGAGGTTGCAGTGAGCTGAGACCGCGCCATTGCAGTCCAGCATGGGCAGCAAGAGCGAAAATCCATCTCAAAAATAAATAAATAAATAAATAAAAATAAAATCCTCCTCTGCTGAGGTCACTGTTTGGTGAGCATTCACATGGGAAACAAATATCTTCACATCTTTTGCCCAATCAGATAGGTCTATCCACATACTCTTCCCCAAATTTATTTGTCATCACTTTTGCAATTATGTTCCTTACAAGTCTGAGGCCATCCAGGAAACCACTGGCTACTATGAATCAGTATATAACCACATGTCTGGCCATTTCTCCTTCCAAATACATTGTGCAACCAAGTGCTCTGCCCAAAATTCTGTCCTAAGGACAGTGGTAAAGGGAATTCTTCCTAATGGAAGAGGGAAGAGATCGCTGCCCTGGCTGAGATGACTGCATACTCCAAGTGAACTGCCCACTCCAAGAGGTAGAAGCAAAGAGGAGACACAGGAGACTTCTAAGATCTCTCTTATTGCCCTTGAAGGCTGCAGATCCTGCTCCTTTGCCCCTGGGACCCTGGAGAGCCCCTGTCTTGAGGACCCCCAATTGCAGGTGCCTGTTTTGCTCTGGGATGCTCCTGCCTGGGTTGTAGTGCTAGAGGTGGCCCACGTGAGGCAGCAGCCTCCTGGGTCCCTGGTGCCCACTGAGCTTTGCTGGAGCAGTGGGAACTGAAGGATGATCATGTTGCAGACCCAACCAATGGTTCTGGTCCGTGGCCTGTTCGGAACCGGGCAGCACAGCAGGAGGTGAGTGGCGGGTGAGGTCCACCTCTTGTCAAATCAGCAGTGGCATTAGATTCTCATAGGAGCATGAACCCTATTGTGAACTGTGTAGGCGAGGGATCTAGGTTGTGTGCTCCTTATGAGAGTCTAATGCCTGATGATCTGAGGTGGAACAGTTTCATCCCGAAACCATCCCTCCACCCCTACCTTCGTCCTTCCATGGAAAAATTGTCTTTCACAAAACTGGTCCCTGCTGCTAAAATGATTGGGGACTACTGCTTTAGGGATGTCCCAGAAAGGGGCTGTTATGATGCAGCTGTCCACTTTTGGGTGGTGCCTGCACATTGTGCAGAACTATTACCAGGCCTGATCTCTTCTTCTGTGAACTGATCATTGGGTATTCCCAACAAGGTCATAGGTGCAGGCTGGGAGAGAGGAGGCAGTGAAGCAGAAGTAGGAATTATGGGCATTTGGGCCACTTCCTCATGTAATTTACTTGTTCTTCAGGACTTGCTTGAGCCTGACCACCTATATACCATTTCCATTTGATGATGGAGTACTGCTGTGCACATCCAACTTCATGGCTTAGTGGGTCAGATAGCACCCAGTTCATGATAGGCAGCTCAGGTCACATGGTAACTTGGTGGCCCATGGTCAAACATTCAGTCTCTACTGAGGCCCAGTAGCAGACCAAGAGCTGTCTCAAAAGGAGTGTAGTTATTTGTGAATGATGGCAGGAACTTGCTCCAAAATCCTGAAGGCCTCCACTGTGATTCACCCATGAGGGCCTGCCAAAGGCTCCAGACAGATCCCTATCTGTCACTGATACCTCAAGCACCATTGGATCTGATGGGTCATATGGCCCAAGTGACAGAGCAGCTTGCATAGCAGCCTGGACCTGTTACAGAGCCTTCTCCTTGTCTAGACTCCACTCAAAACCAGCAGCTTTTCAAGTCACTTGGTAAATGGGGCAGAGTTACACACCCAAATGAGGAACATGTTGCCTCCAAAATCCAAAGAGGCCTACTAGGCATTGCACCTCTTTTTTGGTTGTAGGAGGGGCCAGATGCTACAAGGTGTCCTTCACCTTAGAAGAGATATCTTGACATGCCCCATACCACTGGACCCCTAGAAGTCTCATTAAATGAAACCACATCCGAAATAAAACCACAACAGCAATACAACCACATCTGGTACAGCAGCTGCAGTGGGAATCATCACCTGGTTAAGTTCATAGTAATCCACTGTCATTCTCCATCTGTCTTTTGCACAGGCCAAATGGGCATGTGGAATAAGAATGTGGTGGGAATTGCCACCCCTGCCTCCTTGATGATGGCCCTACTCTCTGCAGTCCCTCCAGGAATTAAGTATTGCTTTTGGCTTACTCTTTTCCTAGGTAGAGGCAGTTCTAGTGTCTTCCACTTGGCCTTTCCCACCAGAATAGCCCTTCCTCCACAAGTCAGGGAACCAATGTGGGGATCTGTCAGCTGCTGAGTGTATCCATTTCAATTATGCATTCTGGAACTGGGGAAATAATCACAGGATGTCTTTGGGGATCCACTGGACCCACCGTGAGATGGACCTGGGAAAAAAAATCTTGAGCTGCATTCACATTAGTGATTCATAAACTGATAAGCATGAGAGCCTTTCAGGTTATAAGAAAGGGATACAAGGACGCAAAAGAGGGAATTCAACATAAATGAAGAAGGAACCTAACTCAGCCATGGGGCGAGAAGGTGTCTGTGAACTCACAGTGAGCAAGGCTGTATTTGGGAGATGGAAGTATTTTGAAGTGTTCTTTGAGGTTGACTCTTTAGCTTCCCTTCACATCAACCATGGTAATTCCATTCCCCTTGGGAGGGACTAGCTAAAGAATGGGCATGTATCCAATTCTGGCTAATGGTACAAAAAGAAGATTCTACAGGAGACTGCTGGTAAAAGCTTCCATGCTTCTGAAAAAACACGAAAGCTTTCTTTTTCTGCGTGTTATTGTGTTTGGTGCAGACGTCGTATTACCACAAAGGGAGCCAGCTGAAGGAAAAAGCCAATGTCCTGCGGAGAGAAAAGCAGAGAAATGGAGGCTGCTTGGCTCCTTGAGGACACCTTGAGCCACTCATCGTACCACACCTGGAACCCACTACTTCTAGACTAACTATTATATGAGATAATACATTTCCTTACATGTTTGAATCTGTGTTTTCTATTACTTATGGCTAAGGCATCCTAACCAACAGAGAGTATGGGACAGATTTCCTGCATTAACTGGTAGGAGCTTAGAGCTAAGATTTGGGTACTAAGGAGGTGTAACTGGTATCTTCACAGGCTGGGGGGACCAGGACAAAGGGGTCATTCATTCTTCTCTGCATGTCAGGGGAGACTCTACAACCCAGCTGAGGTAGGAAAATTGGATTTCTCTGTCTTTTGTTTGTATTTCTGTTTTGTTATTTATTTATGTATTGAGACAGAGTCTTGCTCTGTCACCCAGGCTGGAGTGCAATGTCACAATCTCGGCTCACTGCAACCTCTGCCTCCCAGGTTCAAGAAATTCTCCTGCCTCGCCAGGCACAGTGGCTCATGCCTGTAATCCCAACACTTTGGGAGGTCAAGGTGGGTGGATCACAAGGTCAGGATTTCAAGACCAGCCTGGGCAATATAGTGAAACCCCATGTCTACTAAAAATACAAAAAGATTAGCTGGCCGTGGGGGTGCCTGTAATCCCAGCTACTCGGGAGGCTGAGGCAGGAGAATGGCGTGAACCCAGGAGGCGGAGGTTGCAGTGAGCCAAGATCGTGCCACTGCACTCCAGCCTGGGCGACAGAACGATACTGTGTCTCAAAAAAAAAAAAAAAAAAAAAAAAGAAAAAGAAAAAAAAAAAAGAAATTCTCCTGCCTCAGCCTCCTGAGTACCTGGGAGTATAGATGTGCACCACCACACCTGGCTTTTTTTTGTATTTTTAGTAGTGACAGTGTTTTGCCATGTTGGCCAGGCTGGTGTCCAACTCCTGACCTCAGGTGATCCACCCGCCATGGCCTCCCAAAGTGCTGGGCTTACACGCATGAGCCGCTGCGCCCAGCCTCCGTTTTTTAAATCAAAATGAATCTAACCTTGAGCCCCCAGTCCTGTTCATTGGGCAGATTATTAATCTGTCATTCTGGAAGTGCAATCTCTCCCCTGAAATATTGTGCCTACCTGGGCAAAAGTGTGGGGGCCTCCCAACCAGTCATCAGCCGGTGATCTGCCCTAAGTTTTCCTTTGATGCCTCACATCCCTTCTGGTTTGTTGATTTTGCTGTTGCTGAGTCATACATGGGGCCCAGGAAATCTTTGGTGAGACTGGAGACTCAATGCCCAAGGCCTAAAATTTCCCCGAGATCTGGATGTCTCCTGGGGCTCTGGAAAGGGCTCCATTCTCAGAGTGAGACAGGTTTTCTGTTTTGTTTTGGTTTCTATCTTTCTGGTCTCTGAGCACTCTCCTCTGTCTTTCCTTGTCCTTCAAGGCTCCCCTCTCCCTGTCCCCCTCCCGCCTATCTCCCTCTGGGTATCTGCATCATCTCATCAGGAGCCAGGACTTTTACCCAAGGCATGAAGATCTGTTATCTTCAAACAGCTCTGCTTTCTGTCCTGCAAGGATTCGTAAGGCAAGAAAAACCAAAAAAGCTGACTTGTAGTACCTGCTTGGGAAAAGACGGCAATGGAAAAACACAGTAAACAAATTAATATCTTAATTATCTTGTCACAGGTGCCTCAGCGGAGCACTGTGACAGAGGAGCACAATAGGAGGGCTGACTCCAGGCTGAGTGGCAGCGAGCCAGCCAGCCAATGAGAGTGGGACAGGGAGAAAGAAGGTGGGAGCTGAGCAGTGCTGGGGAAGCTTTCTTGCAAACTTGCAAAACCTGCCTGGCAGCCTGAGAGCCTTGTGACAGGGATGCCTCTTTCCTATCTCAAGTCCTGAGGTGTCCTTAAACTTAGTTTTTCATTTCCAGAAGCCTTCTCGCTGTACCTTGTGGTCACACGTGGAGGGCTACGATACCTCCTCATCTCACCAGAGAGTGGGAAGTTTCAAATAAGAACATGCGGGAAAGATCTTTGAGTTGCTCTGCAGGAAGGAGGCCCTGGCAGCCCACCCCAGCCTCCTCCGTGGAGCTCACCCTCCATTCAGCCCTGGTGGTCCCCTGCAGCTTGTATCTGCCACAGCCCTGCAGGTGGCACTGGGACTCCTGGGCTTCTGGACTTGGCTCAGAGGTAAACAAGAACAGCAGATGTTCATGCAGCTTGGATTTAGATAGTATCTTCCCACCCAGAGCTGAAAAGACCTTTGAAATCATTGAGACCAACTCCCTACTCTTACAGTTAAGGGCCCAGAGGATAAGAGAAGCCAGGAGACTTGGCTAAGGTGACCTGAAGCTATAAGGAGGGACAACCAAGGCTCCTTATCTCTCTCAGCCCTCCCTTATCACCCTGATCTCTGGGTGCTGCCCCTTGATCCTGGTTGCCTCATGTGGTGCTTTTGAATGATTTACCTGTCCTTCTTGCCACTTGTGGGGCCAGCACGCCTTGCCCTTCCTGCAGATGCCTGCTGTCTCCTGGATGTTGGGCTGTCAGATGATTAACCCAAGGACAATGAAGGGTGTGCAGAGTCCCCAGACCTCAGATCTTGAGCTGGGCTCTTGCTCAGTTTTTCATCGGCATCCCGACAGCATTTGTTAAGGGGAATGGGACTGTGGGTTACTCAGAAGCCCTGGGCATTTTCCAGTTCACAGGCACCTTCTGAGCATGCTCATTTGTGACTTTCTGACCAAAACATTTCAGCCTGGAGATAATCTTCAAGTAAACAAGTATGGGGTCTTTTGTCTCCCATTGTTTTGATTGGTTTAATAACTAATCAATCATATATTCTGAGGCTGCCTTAAAATCCTCAACCATGCTGCAGGTCATTACATGTGTATAGCACTTTATAATTCAGAATACATTATTTCATCAGCTTTATGAGATTCTTTGACCATACCCATTTCACAGGTATGAAAACTGTGAGTCAGCAAGGTTAGATGACCTGCCGTTTTAGAAGGAAGAATCAGAGCCACAACTAAGATGATAGCCTGGATTCTAGTGCAGTGATCTTGTCCCTGGCCCTCCACTAGGTACAGGCTGGCTACATGGTCTTCAGTGGAGTGGGGCAGTGGAGATAGTGAGGGGAGCTGCCCACCATGGAAAAAGTGCTGATAAAACACTTGGGACTTGGCTGGGCGCGGTGGCTCACGCCTGTAATCCCAGCACTTTGGGAAGCCAAGGCAGGCCGATCATGAGGTCAGCAGATCAAGACCATCCTGGTCAACATAGTGAAAACCTGTCTCTACTAAAATACGAAAAAAAATAAGCCAGGCATGGTGGCATGCGCCTGTAGTCCCAAAGGCAGGGGAGTCACTTGAACCGGGAGGCGGAGATTGCAGTGAGCTGAGATTGCACCACTGCACTCTAGCCTGGCGACAGAGCGAGACTCCATCTCAAAAAAAGAAAAAAAAAAATACTTGGGACTTCGGAGACAGACTGGGATATGATCTAGTTGAAAAGTACCAAAGTTACCCCAAAAGCAGCTCTGTTTACTTCGTGATCCCCACCTCCAAGTTTCTCATCCTTGACCTTGTTCCTGGTCGCTCCTTTGACTCCATGATTTGGACTCTCAGCCCAAACCAGGTTTTACTCCAGTCCATCCAGATTCCATCCCCACGCCCATCTCAGATTGTCAGTTCCAGTTTCCTTCCAGACCCCAGGGCTTGCAGCTGCCCCTACTGGCCTCACTGTTGCCAGTGAGGGGCACGCCTGACTAGCTGCTGACCGAGCACTAGTGACCCTATTTAATTACTCTCTCGTGTTCAAGCATCTAAGAGCAGTTGTGAGAGAGCCAAGTGCAAGAGGCACCAAGCGATCTCCACCCAGAGGCAAGTCCCCCAACTGCAAAAGGGCCTGTGGAAGCTAAAGCGTCAAAGTTCAGGATGATTACGGTCAGAAAAGTCTAGGCCAAGGGCCTGTGGCCAGAGGTGTATCACCTCCTGACCTCTGATGACTCCTTATGCAAGTTCGCCCTTCCATCATCCAAGATCAGTGGCCCTCAAACTTGGATGGACAAAACAACACTGGAGAGCTATTAAAGTTACAAATGCCAGCTGGGCATGGTGGCTCACGCTTGTAATCCCAGCACTTTGGGAGGCTGAGGCAGGTGGATCACCTGAGGTAAGGTGTTCGAGACCAGCCTGGCCAACATGGTGAAACCCTGTTTCTACTAAACACAAAAAATTAGCTGGACGTGGTGGCACATGTCTGTAATCCCAGCTACTCGGGAGGCTGAAGGCAGGAGAATCGCTTGAACCCAGGAGGTGGAGGTTGTAGTGAGCTGAGATTGCACCATTGCACCCCAGCCTGGGCAACAAGAGTGAAACTCTGTCTCAAAAAATAAAAAAAAAAAAAAAATAAAGTTACAAATGCCTTTGCCCCCACCTAGACTTGCCGAAATAGATTGAAACCATCCCTACAAACTTTATAAAATTAATCAGGGAAGAAGGGAGGGGAGAAATGAAAACAAGCTAAGCTTGCAGCACACTCAGCATTAGTCATTAGGTCAGCTTGTGCCTGACCTGCTTCCACACAGTTGTTTGCCTATTGTCTTAGAATCACGTGGACCCTAGACTATAGGTCCCCTAAACAGCTAAAGAGATAACACCTTAAGCATTATGAAACATTATGTTTTCCATTTGAGATATTCTTTCAGGTCTTGCATACCAGTGTGACTACTGATATCAGCTAATCTGAAGGACCCCATGGGAGCTGACTCACTAAAGAATGCCATTTCCACCTCCTGATGATTTCATCTCCTGTATCCTGACCAATCTATGACCCTAATTTTCCAGCCCCTTGTCCTTCACAATCTCCTTAAAGATCCCACCTCAGGCTGGGCGCGGTGGTTCATACCTGTAATCCCAGCACTTTGGGAGGCCAAGATGGGCAGATCACCTGAGGTCAGGAATTCGAGACCAACCTGACCAACATAGAAAAACCCCATCTCTACTAAAAATACAAAATTAGCTGGGTGTGGTGGCGCATGCCTCTAATCCCAGCTACTCGGGAGGCTGAGGCAGGAGAATCACTTGAACCCAGGAGGTGGAGGTTGTAGGGAGCCGAGATAGTGCCATTGCACGATTGCCTGGGCAACAAGAGCAAAACTCCATCTCAAAAAAAAATTTAAAAAAATTTAAAAAAATGTCCCACCTCAAAACTGCTTGGAGAGATGTATTTGAGAGTCTCCTTCCCACCTCCTTGCTCTATGCCCTGTGAGCATCAAACTCTTTCTCTGCTGCAAACCCTGCTGTCTTAGTGTACTGGTCTGTTACTGTGCAGCAGGCACACAAACTTGTTGGTCCTATAACAAGGTTAGGACCAAATGTTCTTGCCCACACCTAGACTTGCTGAATCAGACACTTCAGGTTAGAACCAAAGACTGCATTTGTAACAAACAGCTTAGAGCATTCTGATGCAGATAGCCTATAGAGCAGACTGTAAGAAACATCAGTGTGTTTCCACTTAATATGTGAGTTTGGGCAAGGCTCTTACCCTCTGTAAAATAGGGAAAGAGTAGTTGTGAGGATTAAATGGAAAGATGGGAAGCAAAGTACTTAGCACAATGTCTTATATATGGTAAGCACTCAAAAAGGTTAACTGTTATTGCTATTATGATTATTTTATTTTATTTTACTTTTTTGAGATAGAGTCACTCTGTCACTCAGGCTGGAGTGCAGTGGTAGGATTTTGGGTCACTGCAACCTCCTCCTCCCAGGTTCAAGTGATTCTCCTGACTCAGACTCCTGAGTAGCTGGGATTACAGGAACCAGCCACCACACCCAGCTAATTGTTGTATTTTTAGTAGAGATGGGGTTTCACCATGTTGCCCAGGCTGGTCTTGAACTCCTGGCCTCAAGTGATCTGCCTGCCTTGGCCTCCCAAAGTGCTGGGATTACAGGCATGAGCCACTGCACCCAGACTATTGTGATTGTTTTGTCTCACTATTCAGCTAAACTCCCTGGTACTACTGCCTGCTTCAAATTTCTCCCTATTCCGAGAGGATTTTCTATTAGTCCTCCTCTTCTTCAATTCTATTCTTTCTGATCCCATCAAATGAATTTATTATCACTTACTCCCAAGCATAAACCAAAATGCAAGACTGCCAGCCCTCTCCTTTCCAGCCACAGATAGTCACAGACACACAGATGCATGCACGCGCCCACACACACACACACACACACAAAACATGTGCTCCAGCTCTGCACATTCCCTCCTGCAAATTCTGATTGTCAAGGTGCTGAGGGTGTGGACAGAAGTTGTCTTTGGGTGGGTGAGATTGTAGGTGGGGATTTTTTTATTTCCTTTCTTTGCTTGTCTGTATTTTCTGGTTTGTTTGTCATGGGTGTGTTTGCATTTGTACCAAGAAAAGTTATTTTTAATTTTTGTAAATTCTAGTTGTTGCCATGTCTAGAAACTCTCCCTGAAGGGTGCTACTGCATTCTGAGCACTCCTTTTAACTTCATGCCCCCTCATCCTCTCTTCTCTGTGCTCTTTGCTATTATACATTTACATTCACTAGTGAGTTGCTCTGTAGATGGTCTTAAAGGGGTTGAGCAACCTTGAGCAGACAGGCGGCACCTTGAGGGTAGAGGCTGTGTCCTCTCTTCTGTGCAAACAGCTTGCACATTTCTTAGCTAACTTCAGCTCTCTACCCTCCTGTCCTTACCACTGAGCCCAGGTGACTGTGAGAAATTGAAGGTGCTTGGTTAGAACAGGGCTTAGTTCTACTCAGCTGAATTTTCTATTATTTTCATTTTAAAATTTCTGACACTTGGGGTAGCAGTCTTGAGTGCACTAGACACATAGGCACAGTCTCTGGAGAACTCCGAACAATACACAGGGCAGGTTTATGCGGGGATTGACAGTGTCATGGGGCTTGGGGGTAGTGTCTTAGCCTGGTTGTGAATTTAACCCAGATCTTGCAAAATCTCCAGACATCCTTTTTTCTCACTTTTTTTTTTTTTTTTCAAGGCCCTCATGGCTCTGGGAGCTTTGGTCAAGGCTAAGACTCATTCCCTCTCCAGTGTATATTTAAGAACCAAACATGATTAAAAACAGATGTGATTAAGAATGTGAGCTTGAGATTAAACAGACCTAGGTTTAAATCCTAGCTCTGATCCTCAAGTAACTGTACCAAGTCATTTAACCTCTTCTAGCCTCAGTTTCCTCATCTGGAAAATGGAGACAGAAATTGTGTCCACCTAATAGGATAATAGGATTATTGTAAGAATTAAGGAAAACAATGCATGTAAAGCATTTGGTGCTCAGCAACTGGTAATGATCACTACCACCAGGATGTTTGGGAGCCGCAAAGATAGAAACCAAAGAGAAACAACACCTCTGACTTGGAAAAAACTTTCCTTCTCAAGGGGAGAAACAAAGAACCTCTGTGTGACATAGACAAAGTGAGTCCAAGGTAACATACTCACGGACAGGAGAGAGGGGCACACAGTATATCCAAGAGCTGGGAGCTTCCTACCAAGGGGAAATCTGAGAAATCTTCAGAAAAGAGGTAAGTCTTGGATGGACGTGGAGGGATAAGTGAGAGGAGAGATGACAGGTGGGCTAGAGGCCAGGAGCTGGCTGCTGGGGCTGTGGATATAGCTGTATAGGCTAGCAGTTAAGAGCTCAAGTGCTGGAGTCATAGGACATGTATTTGAGTCATTGACTGTGGTGTTGAGAAAGTAGACTGGGTGGCTTAGAAACAACACTGATTTATTTCTCATGGTTCTGGTGGCTGGGAAGTTCAAGATCAAGGTGCCAGCAGATTTGGTGTCTGATGAGGGCCTGCTTCCTGGTTCACAGACAGCTGCCTTCTCACTGTGTCCTCACATTGTGGAAGGAGTGAGGGAATCTCTCTGGGGTCCCTTTTTTGTTTGTTTGTTTGTTTGTTTAAGACAGGGTCTTGCTCTGGCATCCAGCCTAGAGTGCAGTGGCATGATCATAGCTCACTGCAGCTTCAACCTCCTGGGCTCAAGCAATCCTCCCACCTCAGCCTCACAAATAGCTGGGACCACAAGTAGATGCCACCACAGCTGACTTTTTAAAATTTTGTGTAGAGATAGGGACTCCTTATGTTGCCTGGGCTGTTCTCAAACTCCTGGGCTCAAGTGATCCTTTTGCCTCTGTCTCTCAAAGTAATGGGATTACAGGGATGAGCTACAGCGACCAGCCTGGAGCCTCTTTATGACAGCACTAATCTCATTCCCAAGGGCTCTGCCCTCATGACCTACTTACCTCCCAACGGCCCCCCTTCTAAATACCATCGTTTTGGGATTAGATTTCAACATGTGAATTTTGGGAGGACACAAACCTTCAGATTATAGCAGTTACCCTCCACAAGCCTCACTTTTCTTAATTTTGTAATATACAGAATGGTAGTTCCTTCCTATTAGGATTTTTATGAGGAGTTAGTAAAATAATGCTTGTAAAGTGCATTTTAAAAATTTAGTAATTACATTTCAGAGACACAGCCAACGTTACTGCTATTTTTGTATTGTATTTATTATTATAATTCCATACTTGGCCTTGTTTTCCAGAAGAATACTTACACAACCATTCAGGGTCTTTTTCCCCATGTTTTTGGATACCTGCATTCATTCATCTATTACATAATAATAATAGAATATATATATATATATAAATATATATAATTATTTTTTTTTTTCTGAGACGAGTCTCGCTCTGTTGCCCAGGCTGGAGTGCAGTAGCATGATCTCGGCTCACTGCAAGCTCCGCCTCCCGGGTTCACGCCATTCTCCTGCCTCAGCCAAATAGCTGGGACTACAGGTGCCCGCCACCACACCTGGCTAATTTTTTGTACTTTTAGTAGAGACGGGGTTCCACTGTGTTAGCCAGGATGGTCTTGATCTCCTGACCTCGTGATCTGCCCACCTTGGCCTCCCAAAGTGCTGGGATTACAGGTGTGAGCCACTGTGCCTGGCCAATAGAACATATATATATTATGTAATAATAACAGCTGACATTTAAATAGTATATTCTATGTGCCAGGCATTGTTCTAAGTACAGGGTATACTGGGTATGTACAAAACTCATTTAATCTTCCCAATATTGCTGTGAAGTAGGTACTGTTATTATTCATATTTTATAGAGGATAAAATTGAGGTCCAGAGAAGTTAAGCAGCTTGCCCAAGATTACACAGCTAGTAAGTCACAGAACTAGAATTTTTGGTCCCAGAGAGTCTGGCTCAGAATCCATGCTCTTAACTACTTGGCTATTGAACATGCACACTATTCTCAAAAACTCCGGGAAGAATGGAAGTACAAAAATATGAATTAAACACTGATCCTACCAGAAGGGAGATAGTAGCCAGGGCGAGTGATAAGACACAGTAAGATCATACCCACCCATAGCGGGTGATCATGTGGCCTGGAGGCCCACGTGGGCCTCTTGACCTGGCTGAGTTATCCACTGGAATCAGCTTGGGTCATTGGACGAAGTCCTTGTTGGAGCCTGTGTAAAGTTAGTCAACACACTAACAGTGCATTGCTGGCACCTTTTTGCCACAGGTATCAGCACAGTTGGTGCTCCCTGGCCCACTGGAAGGCTGGATGATAGAATGTGGCTGGATGAGTATAAACCCTCGCTAGTATTAACTGAAAAAATAACTTGAAGTACAGAGCCTACTGAGTGAGGGTTGAGTCATTGCCTCACTGAGACATTGTATCATTCACTGACTGGACACCTGTTTTTTGCCAAGTTATCTTCTCTGTGATGGATGTGACATTGAAAACATGTTTTGTTTTGTTTTTTTCCTCCTGAGCACACTCTCAAAATCCCTAGGATTATTCCCACTTGCCCCTTCCCAGCTTCAAATGGTTTATGCCTTAGTATAAACATTTAGAAGGTTGGAGCTAAAAAGGTCCTTGATAGTGAGTGGTATCCTGGATACCAGTTTGCAAGAACCAATTGTTAAATTTTCAGGAATTTTGTAAGCTGATTGTTAAACACAGCCGTTCTCAAAAAATTGAATTATATAAACTTACAATCAAATAAACCGTATTAAAACAAAGGTAATAAATATTCAAAACTGATTATTTCAGTAGAGCGCAGTGGCTTATGCCTGTAATCCCAGCACTTTGGGAGGCTGAGGCAGGTGGATCATTTGAGGTCAGAGGTTCGAGACTAGCCTGGGCAACATGGCAAAATCCTGCCTCTACTAAAAATACAGACATAGCTGGGTGTGGTGGTGGGTGCCTGTAATCCCAGCTACTCAGGAGGCTGAGGCAGGAGAATAAAGATACAATTCTACAGGAGAATCACTTGAACCTGGGAGGTGGAGTTTGCAGTTGAGTCGAGCTAGTGCCACTGCACTCCAGCCTGGGCAACAGAGCAAGACTCCATCTCAAAAAACAAAAAGAAAAAAAATCCCTTGTTACTTCATAATTACTTTACTATATGATATGCGATTGCATGGCCAATGCTGCATTCAGTGATGTGTTGTTGGTAAGTTCGAATTTAGCCATGGTGGTAGTATTTACACCACTGAAATCAGCAGACACTATAAATCAGTACCCCTTCCCCCAAAGCCCATTGTTGCCCAGAACATCATTTACCTTAGAAATAATCAAATCTGGTTATTTTCACCCTGGGTTTCAGTCAAGGGCATCCACCGAGAGTCCTTGGTTACTGCTAGAGGAGGAGGAAGGACAGGCAAGGTGAGAGCAGGTGAGGCTCTGCCCATTGTCCCTGCCCCTGAGCTAGGCCAGCCTGATGTGTGATTGTCATTTATTTATTTATTTATTTATTTATTTATTTATTTATTTGAGACAGAGTCTCACTCTGTTGCTCAGACTGAAGTGCAATGGCGTGATCTTGACTCACTGCAACCTCTGCCTCCCCACCCCCAGGTTCAAGCAATTCTCCTGCCTTAGCCTCCCAAGTAGCTGGGATTATAGGCACCTGCCACCACGCCCAGCTAATTTTTGTATTTTTAGTAGAGACAGGGTTTTACCATATTGACCAGGCTGGTCTTGAACTCCTGACCTTGTGATTCACCTGCCTTGGCCTCCCAAAGTGCTAGGATTACAGGTGTGAGCAACCACACCCGGCCTGTTTGTTTGATCTAGTCTAATCTTACTTTATTCTTTTTTTTTTTTGAGACAGAGTCTCGCTCTGTTGCCCAGGCTGGAGTGCAGTGGCACGATCTTGGCTCACTGCAACCTCTGCCTCCCAGGTTCAAGCGATCATCCTGCCTCAGCCCCCCTAGTAGCTGGGATTACAGGGGCGTGCCACCACGCCCAGCTAATTTTTTGTATTTTTAGTAGAGACAGGGTTTCACCATGTTGGCCAGGCTATCCTTGAACTCCTGACCTCAGGTGATCCACCCGCCTCGGCCTCCCAAAGTGCTGGGATTACAGGCGTGAGCCACCGTGCCCGGCCTATTTTATTCTTATTTATTGTTCAGGAAATTGAATTTTTACAGTTCAGATCCAGAGGTAAGTGACTCTAGGCCTCCCAGAGCCTAATCTACTTCCATATATGAGGGAGCTGACATCATGGCACCCCAGGTGGGAGACAGACTCCTGTAGACCCTGACCTGGGGCTTTTCTGGGCCCCCAGCCACGGGAGACTCTTTCTCTGCTCCTACCTGATATGTAGTCCTCATCGGAGCTGCGTCCACTGTGCCTTTTTGCCCTGTAGACATGGTGGATTCCCAACCAAGTCTTGCAGGTAGTTTTCCTCCCCTAATAAAAACCTCTCCTAACACCTCAGAGTGACTGCCTGATTTGCTGAACCCATCTTCCCTGACTGATTTGAGGTCAAGTAGAAAAATCTTACCCTCACAAACAGGTTTTCAAACCTGTCTCAACTTTTGGTTGCAGAAATCTGCATAAAGCCTTAGGAAAACAAACAAACCAAAACAGAATACAGCAGCTATTTTATTTTTCTTTTAATTTTTTTCAATTTTTGTGAATTATTTTATTTCTTCCTTGATGATTTAGAGGGACTATTTCAAACCAGTACAAATATTTCATACATAATACTGGCCAATTTCTAACCAATTCAGTAATTTGTGGCATACTTGCAGCAAGAAACACATTAAATTTGAATAGTAAAGACATTACATAATGAATTACCGCACAATTAAAATTTACCTTAAATATTTCTGTGGGAGGGCCGGGTGTGGTGGCTCACTCCTGTAATCCCAGCACTTTGGGAGGCCGAGGCAAGCAGATCACTGAGGTCAGGAGTTTGAGACTAGCCTGGCCAACATGGGGAAACCCCATCTTTACTAAAACTACCAAAAAAAATTAGCCGGGCATGGTGGCACATGCCTGTATTCCCAGCTACTCCGGAGGCTGAGGCAGAAGAATCGCTTGAACCCGGGAGGCGGAGGTTGTAGTGAGCCAAGATCGTGCCACTGCACTCCAGCCTGGGCGACAAGAGTGAGACTCCATCTCAAAAAAAAAAAAAAAATATATATATATATATATATATGTTTATATATATATATATTTATATATAAATCTATATTTATATATATATTTATATATAAATCTATATTTATATATAAATTTATATATATATAAATATAGATTTATATATAGATTTATATATATATATTTCTTTGCGGGAGAGGACACCACACTTCTCAATAAAGAGAAACATTTTTATAGTCTAGAGGTCTTTTTTTTTTTTTTAACACCTATTATGCCATGAATTCACAGGGAATAGGTTCCAGCAGCTCAGGCTCCTTCCCATTGGTTCTCACAAAGTGTGCTGCTCTGGATGGAGCAGGCTGGTGCTTCAGTTGAACCCAGGTACCTTTCTCTTTGGCTTCTTTCTTTTTCTGATCATTTTCCTTTACGTGTTTCAGGAAGCTATTTTGGCTCTTAGAGTGCTGAATGTGCTCAATACGCACATTAATTCTCTTGGCAAGAATCCTGCCCTTAACTTGTTTGTTTACAACAATGCCAACGGCGTGCTGGGTAACACTGCAGACTCTTCCAGTTTTGCCATGATAACACTCGCGGAGCATTCCTTTTTGAACAGTACCCATTCCCTTGATGTCTACGATATCTACGATATCACCTTTCTTTCCTTCTTTCTTTCTTTCTTTCTTTCTTTCTTTCTTTCTTTCTTTCTTTCTTTCTTTCTTTCTTTCTTTCTTTCTTTCTTTCTTTCCTGCTTTCTTTCTTTCTTTTCTCTTTCTTTCTTTCTTTCTTTCCTTCTTTCTTTCTTTCTTTCCTTCTTTCCTTCTTTCTCTTTCTTTCTTTCTTTTTCTTCCTTCCTTCATTCCTTCCTTCCTCTCTCTTTCTTTCTCTTTCTCTATTTCTCTCTTTCTTTTTTTTTTTTTTTTTTTTGAGACGGCGTCTCGCTCTGTCGCCCAGGCTGGAGTGCAGTGGCGTGATCTCGGCTCACTGCAAGCTCCGCCTCCCGGGTTCACGCATTCTCCTGCCTCACCCTCCGGAGTAGCCGGGACTACAGGCGCCTGCCACCACGCCCGGCTAATGTTTTGTATTTTTAGTAGAGACGGAGTTTCACCGTGTTAGCCAGGATGGTCTCTATCTCCTGACCTCGTGATCCGCCCGTCTCGGCCTCCCAAAGTGCTGGGATTAACAGGCGTGAGCCACCGCGTCCGGCCGATATCAACTTTCTTATAGATTCGCATACATGTGGCCAAAGGAACAACTCCATGTTTTCTAAAGGGCCTAGAGAACATATATCGGGTGCCTCTCCTCTTTCCCTTTGTGTTCGTCATTTTGGCGAATTACTGGAAGATGGCGGTTCTGGCCAAAAGGAAGGAGCTATTTTAATTTTTATTAGGCAGAGGCAGAAATGGATATCAGGGCCTGCTCAAGGGCACATGGATGTGTTGGCGGGTGTGTGTGTGTCGTGGGGGGGACTGGGTGATGGGGAAAGTGGAAGCATGGCGAAGTGGAGAGAGAAGAGGATATGGGAGTGAACAGATAAAAAAGAAACATTTAAAGGAATCATTTTGGGGGTTAAAAAAATAACTCTAGGTTTGAAGGAGTATACAATTTCCCGAGACTTCATAAAGTCCTGCCAACTTCTTCCCTCTAGCAAAACCTGTTTCCGTGTGTTATCAGTCAGTTGTGCCTTGTTCTGTAATCTCAATCACACAGCGCCCAGTAAGAACAACAAATGCATTGCACAAACACATCTTTGTGGTAACACCACAATGAAGAATTCTGTAAGAAACATGGAATGAGTTTGCTAGGGCTGCCACAAGAAAATACTACAGACAAGAGGGCCTAAACAACAGAAATGTGTTTGCTCGCAGTTCTGGAGGCTAAAAGTCCAAGCTCAAAGCGTGGTAAGGTTTGGTTTGTTCTGAGGCCTCTCCTTGGCTTGCAGATGGCCACCTTCTCGCTGGGACCCCACAGGTCTTTCATCCATGCCTGCGAACATGTCTGTTGTCTCTCTCTCTGTCCAAATTTCCTCTTCTTATAAGGATACCAATCATTTTGTATTAGGGCCCACTCTAAAGACCTCATTTTCACTTAATCATGCCTTTAAAGAACTTATCTCCAAATACAGTTACATTCTAAGGTAATACAGGTTAGGACTTCAACATAGGAATTTTATGGGGACACGACTTGGCCCATAACAAATGTTTAGACACTGTTCATTCTATACTGCATGAATATGACCCCAGTCACACACTTAGATATTAAGGGTATCTCCTCATTGACCCCGAGAGGTTTTATTATCTACAGAAATTGACTGTCATGCCTTGGGCTGAGAGTTTATCAGATGAAATGCCTTTGAAAGAAAGTATTGATTCCTCCCTTTCTTGTTAGGCACGAGCCAGGTGAAGCAAGAATTGCAGACCCCAAACTTCCTGTTTTCATCGTGTAGAAAGCTCTACTGCAAATATGGTCAATGTGCCTAAAACCAGAAGAGCTTTCTGTAAGAAGTGTGGCAAGCATCAGCCTTACAAAGTGCCCCAGTATAAGGGCAAGGATTCCTCCTATGCCCAGGGGAAGATGCGCTGTGATCAGAAGCAGAGTGGTTACGGTGGGCAGACAAAACTGATTTTCTGGAAGAAGGCTGAAACTACCCAGATGATTGTGCTAAGGCTGGAATGTAGGGAGCCTAACTGCAGATCCAAGGGGATGCTAGCCATTCAGAAATGCAAACTTTTTTTTTTTTTAAGACAGGGCCTCACTCTGTTTCTCAGGCTGGAGTGCAATCATGGCTCACTGCAGCCTTGACCTCCCTAGCTCAAGCAATCCTCCAACCTCAACCTCTCGAGTAGCTTGGTCTACAGGTACACATCATTATGCTTGGCTAACTTTATTTATTTTTTGTAAAGGTAAGGGCTCAATATGTTGCCCATGCTGGCCTTGAATCCCTGGGCTCAAGTGGTCCTCCCACCTCGGCCTCCCAAAGCACTGGGATAATAGGTGTGACCCACCACACCTGGCTGGGATTTTTTGGTGGTGTTTTTTTCATTTTGAGGAGAAAAGGTTGAAGCTATAGAAAAATTACCTGTTTGTACCCCAAACCTCAGCATCTTGCAATCTACACAGGTAACGAAGCTGCACATGTACCTGAATCTAAAATAAAAGTTGAAAAAGAAAAAAAGAAAAATCACCAGTAGGAAAATACAGTGATATTCTTACTTAAAAAAAAAATCCTATGCTGACTTAGAGAATTTTGAAGGTCCCGTTTCTCCTTCAAATTGCCTTTTTGTCTTGTTTATACAGGAATTAATTTAGATGGGAGGTCCTGAAAGGGTTTGCAATATTTGCAGAAGCTACTAATGCTCTAGAAACAGGTGCAGTGGCTGAGCATGGGCTGAAAGGAGGTAGCAAGGAGAGATCACTGGTCAAGGTAGAGAGGGTGGGTGAATATCAAACTATCCCTCATCTAAAATGCATTGTGTATTTCCTCTTGGACTATGTATTTCCTCTTGGACTGTGGCACCCCTTCCTTCACTCTTCCCTAGATCCGTTGGCATTTGTCAGGCATCTAACAAAAATGGGCTTGGCAACTGCAAATACACAGGTGAGTGATATCATCAACTCCCTGCCTGTGTGGCTTTACAGTTCAGCTGGGTTAGCTACTAAAAAAAATGATTCAAAAAAACATAGTCCCTTCCTTCCAAGCAGAGAGGTCCCTAAAGGGTCACAACCAGTAAATCTCTTTCAGTCTCCAGAAAATGACTTAAAAGATTGTAGGTTGGGTGTGGTGGCTTATGCCTGTAATCCCAGCACTTTGGGAGGCTGAAGTGGGAGGATCAGTTGAGTCCAGATGTTTGAGACCAGCCTGGGCAGTAGTGAGACCTCATCTCTACAGAAAAATTAGCTGGGCCCCCATGGTGGCATGCGCCAAGAGGCTGAGGCAGGAGGATTGTTTGAGCCCAGGAGGCAGAGGTTGCAGTGAGCCGTGATTATTCCACTAAACTCCAACCTGGGCAACAGAGTGAGACTCTGTCCCCCCTGCTCTCCAGAAAAAGATTGCAGTTTAAAACTTTTATGAACTGAAGTAAAACTCCTTCCTATCTCCCCATATGCACCCATTCAAATGAATCAGAAATATGAATTTTAGATCTTCCTTTAATGACCTGAGTAGTGAAAAACAAGAAAAAGCATTGTTTACACATGAGTTGATAAACCACTTGGGGATAAGAAACAAGATGTGTACTCTACAGCCCCGTGCATTCTTTGCATGAAGCAGATACTCGATATATATTCACTGATTGGATCTGAATCTCCAAGAGGAAAGATAATTTAACCAAAACCACTACCGTCCTTAAAAAATGTCATCACTGTGTCAGACTGTGGAAGGAGGTGAGGCCTGATTTCTCCAGAAAGCAACCCAGGTGACAAAAGGGAAGACGGCACTCCTCTTTCTTCAAGGGCATCTAGAAGTCTTTGTTCTTTTTTAAGTAATGAACTGGAGACAAGGGTCTGACAATGAGTTTCACCTGCTCTTCCTGCTGCCATTCCAAGGCATGCACTTGAGTAGCCAATAGCTGAGGTGTAATGGCTTTGTAGCCTACTCTCCATCAGTAGTAACCCAGGGTAACCCAGGGCTGCCTCTGAAACTGCCAGACTCAGAGTTAAAATCCAATCAATTCAACAGATATTTATTGTGTTATTCATAATAACATATCACAGTTGTTGTTATTCAACAGATATTTAATGTGTTGCAGAAGAGTGCTAGTTTAGATTATAATTAGAGAAGAACCCAGGAATCTGGTGAGGTAGCTTGGAATAAGATTAGCTTTTAAATGTTGAAGATTTCTCTCTAAGACCTAGGCATGGGGTCCCAAAATAATCAGCAGAACCTAAGCTGCTAGATGAGAAAATATATGTCTAAAAAGGTGGGATGCTCACCATTCCACACTGGCTATTTGATGATTAGTGTGATCTGAACATGGACAGTGTTCCCTTGGTCAGTGATAGTTTTAGGTATAGGTATGTGACCCAATGCTGGTCAATAAGAAACAAAAAGAACCAATGCAGGAAGGCAGGGAGGGGACAGCAAAAGAGAAGTTTTCCAAGAAAGGTTAATACTGATAAAATGCTCCTCCATCACTGTTATATTTCAGATAATAGCCACCACTTGAACACTCTAAGAAGAAAAGAATTTAATTCAGGAAATTAGGTGCTTAAAAATTCACTGGTAGGCTAAAGGAGCAGGTCCTAGGCTATGTTGCCAGCAATAACCAGCAGAACATTGCAGAAATGTCTGCTAAAGAAGCTGCTACCTGTGTCCCCGTCAAGAAGGTGAAGGGACCAGGAAGCCACCACAGTAGGTGTGGCTCCAGAATGACACCTGTGGAAGTCCAGTGCCCCTGTGCCCATATTTGCAAGGAAACAGCAGACAACACAGACCACAGCCTCCTTCCAAATCTCAAGCAGGTACAAGTGATATGCATTCTTCAGTGTGAAGAATCCTACCCACTAGTCTATTAATGGAACACTCCTGCCCCTGTTCCCTCCCACCCCTCACTCCGTCCCAGGAGAGGTAAGTGAGGTATCTGACTGGCAAGTGTAGAAGAAGAAACTTGACATGCATGGACCAATCCCCTCCTCTTCTCTTTTCTGCCCACAGGGAGTATGCTTTCTGCCCTGTACAGACGTTTCCCCTGCAGGAGATGAATATTTGGAGCTACCCATGACTGGGTGGGAAAATGATATTGGGGTTTAGTATTAGGAAGCTCACTTGTCTACAGATAATGCTAATATCAGAGTTACCAGAAATAAAGATAATATTTTGATCACCATATGCCAACTCCTCCTGCCCCCACCCTTCTTTCTCTACTGATTCAAGAATCTGGTGAAGAAACTAGGGCTAGAGAAATGGAATCAAACTTTCCCGTGCTGCTAGATAACACCAGGCACTTGGTCTGTCATGAGGCCTCCTGCTTTATTTTATTGAGACGGAGTTTTGCTCTTGCTGCCCAGGCTGGAGTGCAATGGCACGATCACAGCTCACCGCAACCTCCACCTCCCAGGTTCAAGCGATTCTCTTGCCTCAGCCTCCCAAGTAGCTGGGGCTACAGGCATGTGCCACCATGCCCGGCTAATTTTGTATTTTTAGTAGAGACAGGGTTTCACCATGTTGGTCAGGCTGATCTTGAACTCCCGACCTCAGGTGATCCACCCGCCTTGGCCTCCCAAAGTGCTGGGATTACAGGCGTGAGCCACTGCACCCTGCCTACTACTTTATAACTCTCACAGTTTTCACAGTATTTCACACCTGTATCTCATATGATCCTCTCAACAACCTGTTCACAGAGGCATAATGGGCATTATTAGCTGAGGAGCTAATGCTGCAACTCTTAATGTTCATAACCTGTTCCATATCATGATACACATAGGAAACGGAAAAAAACATTTATGTGCACACACACACACACACACACACACACATATCACACTATGGAAAAAGTATGAGGCTGCTGGCACCAGAGGTAATTAACCCAGAGGTTCTAGCTGCCCTAGGCCTTGCATTGAGAGGATCAATATCTTATCATACCTGTAACCCACTCCCTGGCCACCAGTTAGGAAGTTCTGGCTTGGAGAAGTGTGCTAATTAGTTCAAGGCCACAAGGTTAATATATTAGTAGTTGATCCTTGAATAACACAGGGACAAGGGCACCAACTCCTGTGCAGTAAGAACTTCACATGTAACTTTTAACTCCCCCAAAACTTAACTACTAATGGCCTACTGTTGACTGGAAACCTTACCAATATTATAAACAACCAACTAACACATATTTTGTATGTCTTATATACTTATATACAATAAAGTATATATGCTTATATACAATAAAGCTTACTTATATACAATAAAGTAAGCTAGAGGAAAGAAAATGTTATTAATTATAGGCCTTGCATGGTGGCTCACACCTGTAATCCTAGCACTTTGGGAGGCCAAGGCAGGAGAATCACTTGAGTCTAGCAGTTTGAGGCCAGCCTGGGCAACACAGTGAGTCTCCATCTCTACAAAATAAAAAATAATTGACTGGGCACGGTGGCCCAACACTTTGGGAGGCTGAGGTGGGCAGATCACCTGAGGTCAGGAGTTTGAGACCAGCCTGGCCAACATGGTGAAACCCCGTCTCTACTGAAAATATGAAAATTAGCCAGACATGGTGGTGGGCGCCTATAATCCCAGCTACACGGAAGGCTGAAGCAGGAGAATTGCTTGAACCTGGGAGGCAGAGGTTGCAGTGAGCCGAGATAATGCCACTGCACTCTAGCCTGGGTGACAGAATGAGACTCTATCTCAAAAAAAAGAAAAAATTAAAAAAATAAATAAATAATTAGCTGGGTGTGGTGTTGTGCACCTATAGTTCCAGCTACTCCAGAGGCTGAGACAGAAGGATCACTTGAGCCCAGGAGTTCAAGGCTGCAGTGAGCTATGATTGTGTCACTGCACTCCAGCCTGCATGACAGAGCAAGACTCTGTCAAGAAAGAAAGGAAGGAGGGAAGGAAGGAAAAAGCGAAGGAAGGAAGGAAGGAAAATGAGGGAAGGAAGGAAGGAAAAGGAAGGAAGAAGGGAAGGAAGGAGAAAGAGAAAATATATTTATATTCATTACATGGAAGTGGATCATCACTTCCACTTCATCCTTATCATGTTCATGTTAAGTAGGCAGACTGAGAAGGAGGAGGAGGAAGAGGAGGGTTTGGTCTTCTTGTCTCTGGGGTGGCAGAGGCAAAAGAAAATTCACGTATAAGTGGACTGTGTAGTTCAAACCTGTGTTGTTCAAGGGCTAATTGTATATAGAAATTTGAGCTCAGATCCTCTAAGTCCAAATCCAAAGAATCTCAAACACAATCTGAAGTGGAAGAGGCATTTGTTACCTGCACACATCCCCACTATAGCTTACCGTAGGGTCAGAGAAGGTTCAAAGGGATGGCCTTTCCTTCTGGACCAATCTCTATCTAGAGATGCAACCTGCCTCCTATCAGGTCTCTTCCTTTCTGAGCCAGAGCAGGTTTTTCTAGTTACCTTCTGGAGAGGGGAGATCAGAGGAGTCTGCATTAAGTATCATGATCTGGGTAGTCCTCTGCTGATCTGGAAATCCACCATGGGGTGGGCAGTGCCTATTAGATAACCAAAATGCTGTCCCCACTTCTGAATACAAGCTAAGCCCCCCTGTCCAATGTGGTCAGGACAGTAGATATTTCACTAACTAAAAATATCTGCAAGGGAAACCAGGGAAAATGGTAAAAGCATACCTTAAACTTTCAATTTTAACTTAAAGCACATAAAGGTAAGTTTCGTTATCATTTTCTTTAAGGGTAGGATCAAGGCATTTTCTTGGAGCAGGTATCTATTAATTGAAGTTCTGCTTTATCTTTCTTGCATTCCCTGTATCTACAGTTTATTTATTTATTTTTTTGAGACAGAGTCTCGCTCTTTCGCCAGGTTGGAGTGCAGTGGTGTGATCTCAGCACACTGCAACCTCCACCTCCCAGGTTCAAGCAATTCTCCTGCCTCAGCCTCCCGAGTAGCTGGGATTACAGGAGTGTGCCATCATGCCCAGCTAATTTTTGTATTTTTAGTAGAGACGGAGTTTCACCATGTTGGCCAGGCTCGTCTTGATCTCTCGATCTCATGACCCGCCCACCTCGGCCTCCCAAAGTGTTGGGATTACAGGCGTGAGCCACTGCGCCCAACCTACAGTTTGTTTATTCTACAAATATGTGTTGTGTTCCTACTATGTGCCAGACATAATTTAGGTGATAAGGACACAGCAGTAAACAACACAAAGTCTCTGCACTCACAGAGCTTACTTTTCTATTGGAATCTACCATACATTCCAGTTTGGGTTTCTTTAGAGTAGAAGGAGAACTGAAACACACAAGGCAATCCGAGCCTTACTCTACATTACCGAGAATTACCCTAAAATATTTATGATTTTTTTGCTAGTCTTCACCACATGTCTTTCCCACACTAATTCAACAGCAATTTTTGTGTGTAACTTCTTTTTATCAAATCTTTCCAAAGCATACAACTCTAGTTTTCATAGGAACAAGAACTTATTTTTGCACTCACATTTCATTGGTTTTCATGATAATTAAATTGCATAATCAGAATTGCAAGTAGCATGGGCAGATGTGGGTTGGGAACCAATAGCCCTGGCTTCTTGTGAGCGCTTAGCTCAATTTGTGGGAACAGAAGTACCTGAGAGTACCTCTACTAGTTGGGTATCTGGCACGCCGTGGGCATTAGCGGGTTCTATAGAGGCAACAGGGAGCATCTGCTACCCGGATGATTTGGTTAGGTGGAGGTTCGCTTCAAGAGCTTCTGCCATATTGACCCACCTCTCTTCTCCAGACCAAATGCCACTCTTCTGTTGAAGTGTTCAAGTACTTATTCTAAAGCTTTACAAAGGTGGAGGAAACAAGACATACCTTGGTTAGCTACATTTTGGTTTTTATAAAATTCACAAAGGCGACGATATGTTTCTGTGCTGCCTTTTGTGTGCTGTCTTATGTGAATGTTCTCCTTTTCTCTACAATCCTGTCTTACATGTGGCCCTCGTCAGGTGCCCCAGGCATACCACTTCTCTTAGGATAATGCAGTCCCAGCCCTGCAGTCCCTTCTTTTATTTATTTATTTATTTATTTATTTATTTGAGATGGAGTCTTGCTCTGTCGCCCAGGCTGGAGTGCAGTGGCACGATCTCGGCTCAGTGCAAGCTCCGCCTCCCAGGTTCACGCCATTCTCTTGCCTCAGCCTCCTGAGTAGCTGGAACTACAGGCGCCCGCCACCAGGCCCGGCTAATTTTTTGTATTTTTAGTAGAGACGGGGTTTCACCGTGTTAGCCAGGATGGTCTCGATCTCCTGACCTCATGATCCGCCCGCCTTGGCCTCCCAAAGTGCTGGGATTACAGGCGTGAGCCACTGCGCCCGGCCTGTCCCTTCTTGAGCCTCACAAATTCTGTCTCTTCAGGCATCAGCTGGGATCACTGCATTTTCCCTTAGCTTAGGCTTTTGCTGGCTCTGTAGAGGCAAGAGGTAAATTCTGACACATAAACAGGGCTAAAGGAGAAGTAGGAGAACGCTGGCTTCTTTCCATCTGAAGGCAAATATACATCACCACCACCAAATAATGTAGATTTCTTCAGAAAACCCTCCAGTCTGGTCTTCTTTATTTTTCATGAAAAATGCACATTTCTCTTATTATTATAGCTTGGCCCCTATTTTCCTGGCTGAATTTCATTAAAGAGCCCCCCTCCCCCCCCTACATTAACTGAAAATGCCCCCACTCCGGGAACAATTTGGGACCAAAGGCACAGTGTTCAAATAGCATACACGGATGTCAAATCTTCTCCCTAAGCAGTAGAGGTGGATCATTCAGCTCATTCTCTACAATAGAGCTCCTGCTCTACAGGAGAGCCAGTTGCCCTCCCTTTTGTAAAGGGATAAGAAGAGAATACGTGCTTATTTATCCTGACAATACAACAGAGCAAGCCATATTAGAGAAAAACAGGAAAAATAATGATGCTAAGAAGTCAACGATAAAGACTGTTCCGTGCTCCACAGTGTTCCTTAGGTGACAATGAGGCGATAGAGATCATTTAATCCAACCAGTTTATGTCAAAAATAAGAATACCAAGACACTTGGGTAAAATGACTCGCACAAGACAGAGCCAGCCTGAGGCAAAGCTGGGGTAAGTCTCTGACTTTGAGTCATTTGTTGCATCCACTACACCAGCTGTTCTCGAAGTGTGATCCATAGACCCCTGAGGGTTCCTGCCATTCTTCTGAGGTATTCCTGAAATCAAAACTACTTTCATAATAATCATATGATGTTTTCTGCCTTTTTCACTGTGTCGACAATTTGCACTGATGGTGGGTAAAACTACTGGCATTTTAGCATGAACCAAAGCCTAAGCATCCAACTGTGCTAGTCATCACTGTCACACACTTGCAGGAAAAACGAATGCCAAATTCACTTAAACAAATGCCCTTAGGCTGGGTGCCTTGGCTCACCCCATCATCCCAGCACTTCGGGAGGCCTCAGCCGAGGCCAGAGGATCATTTGAGGCCAGGAGTCTGAGACCCTGCCTCTACTTAAAAAAAAAAAAAAAAAAAAAAAAGAGAGAGAGTGTCTTTGGTGAAGCAGTCAAAATTAATTCTATTAAATATTGACAATTTTCAAAATAATCTGTGTGCTATGGTTTCAGTATGTCCCCTAAAGTTCTTGTGTTGGAAACTTAATCCCCATTGCAACAGTGTTGAGAAGTGGGACTTTTCAGAGGTGATTATGGTCATGAGGGCTCTGCCCTCATCAACGGATTAATGTCATTATCGCAGGAGTGTGTTGCTGATAAAAAGGAGGAACTCGGCCTCCTTTCTCCTCTTGCACATGCAGCTCTCTCGCCCTTCTGCCTTCTGCCATGGGATGACAGAACAAGGAGGCCCTCCCCAGAGGCGGGCCCCTTAACTTCTCAGCCTCCAGAACTGTAAAAAATACATTTCTTTTCTTTATAAATTACCCAGTCAGTGATATTCTGTTATGGAAACACACAACAGACTGAGCCACTGTGTAACAAAATGAGAAGTATGCATAAAGTACTTTTGCTGTGTTCCAAACTATGATAGTTATCTCTAGGAAAAACACTTAGGCGATTATTTGAGTTGTGAGTTGAACAAACCACTTTTTTTCATGGAGCATCTTTTTTTCTTTTTTCTTGAAAGAACAAATGACAAAGAATGCTATTTCAGACTAAGCATTTGGCAGACATTTTCTTAAAAATGAACAAAGGGAGCCTGTCACTTCAAGGAAAACAACTGATAGTATTTGTTGCTGATGATAAAATTTGAGCTTCCAAGCAAAAATTAGAATTTGGAAAAACTTTTGTTTACCACTGTGGAGCTCGACAGCTTCTCAATACATAAGGTTTTTTTAAGGAAATAGATTGGTGATATTAATGACCGTGATTTTTTTCTGATATGGTATAATAAAATGTGTCAACATTTGAAATACCTGCATAATTCAAAGACAAATATTTTCCAATGACCATTGAATGCACTGTATTACAAAATCATGCATGGGTAAAAGATCCATTCTAAGTACACAACAAACCAATGGATTTTAATGTAACAGAACACGAAAAGTTCATTGACATAATTTCAGACTTCACATTGCAACTAACCTTTAAGACACCTGTTTTGGTGTAGTACCAAAAAAGAATATCCACAATTATCTAAGAGGACTATTAAATACTCTTCCCTTTTCCAGCTACATATCTGTGTGAAGCTGGATTTTCTTCACACATTTTGACCAAACCAACATATTGCAATATACTGAATGCAAAAGTAAATATTTGAGAATCCATTCATCTTCCGTTATGCACACATTTTAAAAATTTCAAAATATTTCACAATGCAAAACAATGCCATTTTTCAAAAATGTAAAATAATCTCACTTTTCTTGCTGAAAATTTTGTTTGGAAGATATGATTTTTAAAAATAGAAATTTGGGCCGGGCACGGTGGCCCATGCCTGTAATTCCAGCACTTTGGGAGGCTAAGGCGGGCAAATCACCTGAGGTCAGGAGTTCGAGACCACCCTGGCCAACGTGGAGAAACCCCGTCTCTACTAAAAATACAAAAAATAGCTGGGCATGCGCTTGTAATCCCAGCTACTCAGGAGGCTGAGGCAGGAGAATCGCTTGAACCCAGGAGACAGAGGTTGCAGTGAGCCAAGATCGTGCCACTGCACTCCAGCCTGGGCAACAGAGCGAGACTCCGTCTCAAAAATAAATAAATAAATAAATAAATAATAAAATATTCTGGTGCCTCCACTCCATCCCCCACGGGTCTGCTGTGTGTGCCATGGACGGCATTGTCCCAGATATAGCAGTTGGTACAAAGCGGGGATCTGACGAGCTTTTCTCTGCTTGTGTCACTAACAGACCATTTATCATGAGCAGCAACTCGGCCTCTGCAGCAAATGGACATGGCAGCAAGAAGTTCAAAGGTGACAGCAGAAGCGCCGGTGTCCCCTCCAGAGTGACCCACATCCAGAAGCTCCCATCGACGTCATCGAAGGGGAGGTGATCTCCCTGGAGCTGCCCTTTGGGAAGGTTACTAACCTCCTGATGCTGAAGGGGAAAAACCAGGCCTTCATCAAGATGAGCACGGAGGAGGCTGCCAACACCATGGTGAATTACTACACCTCGGTGACGCCCGTGCTGCGCGGCCAGCCCATCTACATCCAGTTCTCCAACCACAAGGGGCTGAAGACCGACAGCTCTCCCAACCAGGCGCGGGACCCGGCAGCCCTCAGGCCGTGAACTCGGTCCAGTCGGGGAACCTGGCCTGGACTGCCCCGGCGGCAGCCGTAGACGCAGGGATGGCGATGGCCGGGCAGAGCCTGGTGCTCAGGATCATCGTGGAGAACCTCTTCTACCCCACGACCCTGGATGTGCTGCACCAGATTTTCTCCAAGTTCGGCACAGTGAAGACCATCACATTCATCAAGGACAACCAGTTCCAGGCCCTGCTGCAGTACACGGACCCCGAGAACGCCCAGCATACCAAGCTGTCGCTGGATTGGCAGAACACCTACAACGCCTGCCACACGCTGTGCATCGACTTCTCCAAGCTCATCAGCCTCAACGTAAAGTACAACAACGACAAGAGCCGCGACTACCACGCCCGGACCTGCCCTCCGGGGACAGCTAGCCCTCGCTGGACCAGACATGGCCGTGGCCTTCGACCTTTCAGTTCCCAACATCCACGGAGCCCTGGCCCCCCGGCCATCCCCTCGGCGGTGGCGGCAGCTGCAGCGGCAGGCCAGATCGCCATCCTGGGCCTGGCGGGGACAGGAAATTCTGTCTTGCTGGTCAGCGGCCTCAACCCAGAGAGAGTCACACCCCAAAGCCTCTGTTTTTGTTTGTTTGTTTGTTTTAGACGGAGTCTTGCTCTGTTGCCCAGGCTGGAGTGTGATCTCGGCTCATTGCAACCTCTCCCTCCGGGGTTCAAGTGATTCTGCTGCCTCAGCCTCCCGAGTAGCTGGGATTACAACCGCGCCACCACGCCCGACTAATTTTTGTATTTTTAGTAGAGACGGGGTTTCACCATGTTGGTCAGGCTGGTCTCGAACTCCTGACCTCGTGATCCGCCTGCCTCAGCCTCCCAAAGTCCTGGGATTAAAAGCGTGAGCCACCGCGCCCAGCCCCCAAAGCCTCTTTATTCTTTTCAGCGTCTACGGGGACGTGCAGCGCGTGAAGATCCCGTTCAATAAGAAGGAGAACGCTCTGGTTCAGATGGCGGACGGCAACCAGGCCCAGCTGGCCATGAGCCACCTGAACTGGCACAAGCTGCACGGGAAGCCCATCCGCATCTCATCCGTATCACGCCCTTGAAGCACCAGAACGTGCAGCTGCCCCGCGAGGGCCGGGAGGACCAGGGCCTGACCAAGGACTATGGCAACTCGCCCCTGCACCGCTTCAAGAAGCCAGGCTTCAAGAACTTCCAGAACATATTCCCGCCCTCGGCCACCGTGCACCTCTCCAACATCCCGCCCTCAGTATCCGAGGAAGATCTCAAGGTCCTCTCCTCCAGCCATGGGGGCATAGTCATAGGATTCAAGTTCTTCCAGAAGAACCGCAAGATGGCGCTGATCCAAATGCGCTCCGTGGAGGAGGCGGTCCAGACCCCCATTGCCCTACACAACCACGACATCTGGGAGAACCACCACCTGCGGGTCTCCTTCTCCAAGTCCACCATCTATGGGCACAGGCCCACCACAGCCGGGCCCCCTGGCGACAACTTCCATCATTCCAAAAAAAGCGACTTTAAAAAGCAGCTGAAGTGACCTTAACTGACCAGAGATTTTCTTTCTTTCTTTTTTTTTTTTTTTTTTTTTTTTTGAGAAGGCGTCTCGCTCTGTCGCCCAGGCTGGAGTGGAGTGGCGCGATCTCGGCTCACTGCAAGCTCCGCCTCCCAGGTTCACGCCTTTCTCCTGCCTCAGGCTCCCGAGTAGCTGGGGCTACAGGCGCCCACCACCATGCCCAGCTAATTTTTTGTATTTTTAGTAGAGACAGGGTTTCACCGTGTTAGCCAGGATGGTCTCGATCTCCTGACCTCGTGATCCGCCCGCCTCGGCCTCCCAAAGTGCTGGGATTACAGGCATGAGCCACCGAGCCCGGCCTTTCTTTCTTTAAAAAGAAATCAGTTTACCTGTTTTTTTTTTAAATTAAATCTAGTTCACTGTGCTAAAATTAATTAATTTAATTTAATTTAAATAGAAATATGTATATTAACATGTAATGGGTTTATTATTGTGATCTTAAAATTGACAAATATTTTAAATTTTCTGCCACTAACCTACATACATTTTAAGAGTATATACAAGGGTCCTGAGACAAAAAAATTTGAGAACTGCTGTATTACCCCATCTTGCCCTGCAGAACGTGGACTGAAGGGAAGTACTTTTTTCCTTTCTACTTAAATAACCCAGTGCTGTTACTGTTTTATTTTAAAATCCAATCTACCCTCTTCCTCCAGAATTATTAAAAAGTAGACTGCAAAAGAACCATAGCTTCCTGAAATCAAAGGACCCAAAACAAAGAGAAAGCAAAAGCAGTGAATAAAAGGACTTCTCCAGAGACTGGCAGGCCGACCAAAGACCACTCCCCCTCCAGCCAGCCTGGTAGGAGTTGCCTATTCCTTTTTGCTTCGTTGTTCTCACACCCAGTCACCCACTCCCATCCCCTACATCCCAACCCCCATCCTGGAAAGCTATTGTTCTCCAGGGCCTCAAAACACAAAGGGACTTCACAAATCTTTGGGCTGACTCCCCACCCCATCCTCTCTCTGAGATTACAGTGCAGGGAAGGGCACTTTCAGATTCTGCCTGAGCCTCCACCAGCCCCCTGTTCTCAGGCTCGGGGCTGAGATGAAAAGGGAACACCACTGTTTCTGGCCTGAAAAGGAAATGTAAATGCATTGCAAGCCAGAAGCTGCCAGAAGACCATTTCCCTGTTAGTAAACAGGGCTGCCTGAGCCATCTTTCTCCTCTTTAATAACCTGTGGGGCACCTATTGATTGCGCATGCTGGTCCCTCATAAATTAAAACAGGGATGCCTTCCGGTTGCTCTGTAGCTGCGTAGATGGTGAAATTGGCTCACTAATACTTCATGTTCATGGAGCACAGTGTATCCCGCCACATAAACATGAAGAATATGTATCATCAGGCTCTGGGATTGCACGGAAAACAACCCCGGAAGCTTCTGGGCATGCTGCAGACTTTAATTAGGCAGTTTCTTCCACTAGGATTGGAGACCGGCAGAAACACCAATTGCATGCCTCCTGCCGCAGCCTGTTCTGCTTTCAAATGGGAGGAAGGAGCAAGCCCTGGTGGGTAGGAGATGAGCCTGCTCCTCTCTCTACCCCCTTACCAGGATAGGCACCCGTAAGCAGAAAGGAATGTTCATCTCTCATGCTGTGGTAGAGAGAGCACCAAGTTAGCAGTCAGAAAACATTCAGAACTTCTGCTTTAGCCACTTACAGCTACATGATCATGGGCGCAAGTGCCTTAACCTCTCGGAATCACAGCATCTCATCTGGAAAGTGGACAAAGTAATAACACCTAGCTGCTTGTGAGGCTTGAGGAAAATAAGTCTTTCCTGGCGCCCAGTATGGTCTCAGTAAATACTGAAACTGAAATTGAAGCAGATGAAGAACAGAGTGGCAGGTACAGGGCTGATACTATTTCTTTCTCTCACCTCAAAAATCTGGCATCAGGAACTTTCCACCACTACCCCTAGCCAACATTTTGCTCTTTAAGTAAGAAGTGAGGCCCTGCAACTCATACCTTGGTACATTGGAAATGTTTCTCTTACCCTTCCATCTTTCTGTGCCCACTCCTGAGCTGGCTCTCAATTGAAAATTCATTTAGCAGGAAACCTCTCTAAAATGCATGGTAAACATCGAAAAACATGCTAGCATAGTTTACCATTCTACCAAAAATAGCTTGGCACCCACATGCCAACACTTAGCAGAACCTTCCGAGTTTCTCTGACTTTAAACAGACCCTAGGCAACCAGATCCACTTACGCTTCCCAGAGTGTGTAGCATTTCATTAAAGTTTTACTACAGTCCCCTTCCTCTGCCATTGCTAATTAAAATGAACAAGGACAATGTGGAGAGCCATATTTTGCTATTCCTGGAAATATCTGCTGCTCCAGGGAGGGTGTAGGACATTGAATGGTCCCCTCACCCTAAAGGATATGGTCGCATCCTGGAACTCATGGATGGGTCCAGGATGTGATTGGGTGTGAGAAAAATGAAGCAAAAAAGGTCTTGGCAGATGTAAAAATAAAAGATCTTAAAATGAGATGATCCTGGATTACCTGGGTGGGCCCTAAATCCAATGACAAGTGTTTTTGTGTTTTTTGGGGTTTTTTGGTTTTGTTTTTTTTTTTTTAGACAGTGTTTCACTCTTGTTGCCCAAGCTGGAGTGCAATGTCGTGATCTTGGCTCACCGCAACCTCCGCCTCCAGGGTTCAAGCAATTCTCCTGCCTCAGCCTCCTGAATAGCTGGGATTAAAGGCATGTGCCACCACACCTGGCTAATTTTGTATTTTTAGTAGAGATGGGGTTTCTCCATGTTGGTCAGGCTGGTCTTGAAATCCTGACCTCAGGTGATCCACCCGCCTCGGCCTCCCAAAATGCTGGGATTAGAGGCGTGAGCCACCATGCCCAGCCATGACAAGTGTTTTTATAAGAGACAGAAAAGGGTCTGGTGCAGTGGCTCACGCATGTAATCTCAGCAGTTTGGAAGGCCAAGGTGGGAGGATCGCTTGAGACCAGCCCAGGCAACACGGTGAGACCCCATCTCTACAAAGAATTAGCCAGGCACAGTGGCACGCACCTGTGGCCCCAGATACTCAGAAAGCTGAGATGGGAGAATCGCTTGAGCTTCAGAGGTCGAAGCTGAGGTGAACAGTGTTCACACCACTGCACTCCAGCCTGGGCGACAGAGCGAGACCCAGTCTCAAAAACAGACAGACAGAAGAGGAGAAGGCCCAGAGGGGAAGTCCATGTGAACATGGAGGCAGAGGCTGAAGTGATGCAGCCACAGGCCAAGGAACAAAGAAGCCACCAGAAGCTGGAGAGGCCAGGGAGGATCGTCCACTAGAGGCATTGGAAGGAGTGTGGCCCCAACAACACCTTGATTTTGGAGTTCTGGCTCCAAAACTGTGAGAGAATCAATTTCTGGTATTTTAGGCCACCCAGTTTGTGGTCATTTGATTATGTGCAACATACAGAAAAATGTCTGGTAGGATACATTCCATGGCAGATTGCTGGTAGTTGCCCTGTCCATTTTTCCTTCCTTTTTGGTAACAAAAAACCGCCTTTTGCGGGGATGGTCATGTGCTCAGTGAAAGCTTCCCTTCCCCAGCATCTCTTGCAGCGAACTGTGGCCATAAGACTAAGTTTTGACGAAAGAAGTATAAACAAAGAAGCGTAAGAGACTTCTACAAAGTCTCTTTATGGGAGAGTGTTGTGGGTTAAATTGTCTCTCCCCAAAATTTATATATAAAAGTCCTAATCCCTCGTACCTCAGCATGTGACCTTATTTGGAATAGGGCACTCGCAAATGTAATTAGTTAAAATGAGGTCATGAGGGTGGGCCCTAATCCAATATAAATATGTCCTTATATAAAGGGGAAAATTGGACACAGAAACACACACACAGGGAGAATGCCATGTGACGACCGAGGCAGAGATTGGGGTGATGCTTCCACAAGGTAAGGAAACTCAAAGATTTCCAGCCAATCACGAGCAGCTAGGGGAGAGGCATGGGACGGAATTTTCCTTACAGTTCTCAGAAGGAACCAATCCTGCCTGATACATTGATGTTGGACTTCTAGCCTGCAGAATTGTGAGAATTGTGAGACAATAAGTAAATTTTTGTGGTATGAGCTGCTCAATTTGTGGTCCTTTGTCACAGCAGCCCTAGCAAACTAATACAGAGAGATACACCCTTCCACTTTTCCATCTTGCTACCTAGTCCTAATATAGATAAGAGGGATGGTTCTCCATTAGCCATTGTGCTACATGAGGATGGGGGCCACATTCACAGATGGTAGGGCAGGGAGCTAGAAGAAACTTGGGACCCTAAAAACTTCATGGAGGTGCCATATTAGCCCTGGACTGCCTATTCCTTGGCTTATCTTTCTGAAAAATAAATAAAATTAAAGCTTTTGTTATTATTATGTTTTTTGAAACATGTAGTTGAATATAATTTTTTTTTTTTGAGATGGAGTCTCGCTCTGTCACCCAGGCTGAAGTGCAGTGTGCAATCTCGGCTCACTGCAACCTCCACCTCCTAGGTTCAAGCAATTCTCCTGTCTCAGCCTCCCCAGTAGCTGGGATTACAGGCATGCGCCACCACGCCCGGCTATTTTGTATTTTTAGTGGAGACGCAGTTTCACCATATTGGTCAGGCTGGTCTCGAACTCCTGACCTCAGGTAATCCACCTACCTCGGCCTCCCAAAGTGCTGGGATTACAGGCGTGAGCCAGTGTGCCCGGCCAGTTGAATATAATCTTAACCAATACACACACAATTTTGATAAATGAGTTCTTTGGGGAGAGGACTGGGATTGGACTGTCATAGGTAGGAAATGTTTGCTTTACCTGTATGTTTCAAGTTTGATGTCAGGAATGTAGTCGTGTACTCTTTTGTAATTAAAAATAAATCTGTTTTATAATAAATAAAAGGAAAAAAGAGGGATGGGAACCTGTAGATTCAAGAAGACCTAAGAAATATATCAACTATAATGGATGATTGGATGCAGGAAAAAAACAAAAAGAAATATATCAACCAATTGCAATGTATGAGTCTTATTTGGATCTTGATTTAAACCCCAAATTTTTTAAATGTACAAGATAATCGGGGAAATTTTAATATTAATCAGATATTCTATATTAAGGAATTATTGTTTTTATGAATGCTAACAATATTGTAGTGATGTATTTAGAGTGTTCTTCTCTTTTAGACTCTAAAACATGGTTTTCGACCTTGTCACAATTGTTATTTTGAGCCATGTAGTTCTTTGTCGTGAGGCGCTGGCCTGTGCATTGCAGAATGTTTCGTAGCAGCCCTGTTTCTACCCTGTCTTCCAGTAGCTAGATGCTGGGTGCACACCCCCTCCCCCCAACGTTGTAAAAACAAAAAAAGGTCTCCACATATTGCCAAATGTCCCCTAGGGGGCAAAACTGTCCTGGGCTGAGAATAACAGCTCTAAAATTTAGAGATACTGACTGGACTATGTATGGGCGAAATGATTCGATGACTGGATTTTGCTTCAAAATAATCCAGGTGATGGGGAGGGAGGGCGGTGGGTAAAATGTTCCATGATGGAAAGTTTAACATACATTTAAAATTTTTTAAAGAGTCCATTCGGACTTCTCTTTACATCAATATGGGGAACTTAATATTCTTAAATAGTCTCTCACTATAAGACAGGAATATACTGGATAAAATGCAACAGATGTTCACCTCCTCGGTCCAAGATCTTGTCTCATGTCTTCCACAAGAGCATTAAAATCCAAGGATCTAAGTTCCAAGTATGACTGGGCAAGGCAAGCCCTCCCTCCCAACCCTCCCCGCCAGGCATTCTCGGTGCTGCACCCCGGGCATACTCAGCTAGGAGCTGCTCCTACGTCTTCTTCAGTTGCTTGGTAACCCTAACTCCTGAGATGTCCTCTCAGCTCTGCCCCCTGGGCCTCCTCCTTTCCCAGTCCCCAAGCTTAAGCTAGAGGGGGTGTGCTTGGAGCCAGATTCATTAGGGCCATGCCTTGCCCATCCCTGCGAGGGCCCAGACCATGAGCCTCCTCCTCACTGTTTGCAGCTGCTCTCTACAGAGCACTGAGCAGCCCACGCTTTCACCAGGCTCACACCTGCGCCCGTGTTCTCCACCAGCTGCTTCACTCCAGGCCGTGCTCGGGACAGCCGGGCCTTTCTAGGGCCCACGCGCCCCTGGGCGTCTCCGCTGAGACCGACTTTCACGCCCACCTGGTCTTCCCCAAGACATGGAGCCTTCAAAGGTTTCATCAGAATTCCCTCAGGATGTGGGTTTTGAGTTGTCATCCGAGCCCATCAGGGGCCAGAGTGTAGGTGGGCCCAGGGGCCTCTGAGCTGGAGGCTAATGGGGCTTGAAAGGCCTCTGAGCGGAGCCAGGAACCCGCCCTCTGGGGGCCTGGGAGCCGGGCTGCGCGCTCAGGTCCCAACACGAGGTCTGAGGCGCTCTCTGCTTGCTTCAGGGGCCGCAGAGGGAGGCTGACCATAGCTGCGACACCCCCTCAGTGCTGGACACCGGGCAGGAAGCCTCTCTTGCACCGACTAGACCAGAAGGGCAGACATTTTCCCGACAAGGAAGGGAAGCAAGATTGAGTAAGATAAGCCCGGTTATTTTTATGCAGACATTGTTCCAACCACAACGACTGTTTTCGAAGGTGGGTGGTATTTGTTTGGTGGAAGGATCTTTGAGGTAAGAGGCAGCAGGGTGCTTCAGCACCACCACTTCCTTTACTTTTCTGAGTGTTCCCTTATCAAGCCACCAGTTTGGGTTCTGCTCCATTTTTCTGTCTGGTAAAGAAGTAGAATGAGGTGAAATCTGGCTACCTACTTCCCCTGGGGGGACGGTCATGGCTGCTGGTGAGTTTCAAGTGATTTGAGAACTGTTGGTATACTTAAGTGAGGAGCTCTTTCCCTCCCCTTCATAGAAATGGAATAATGTGCAGGTTCCTAACGGGACTTAGGAGTCGGAGAGCCCTGGGTTCAAATCCCAGAGCCTCCATATTTTGGTTGTGTGAAAAAAAACAGTAGGCAAGGTAGTCAACATGTCTGTGCCTCACCTTCCCCATACATAAAGCCTACTTTTTCATAAGGTTGTTGTGTGGGTATTAAGTCTCAGTAGATGCCTACTTGAAATATTTGGGGGGACAGCTGTGGCCAGGCGCGGTGGCTTATGCCTGTAATCCCAGCACTTTGAGAGGCCGAGGCAGGAGGATCACCTGAGCCCAGGAGTTTGAGACCATCCTGGGCAACATGGTGAAACCCCATCTCTACGAAAAATACAAAAAATTAGCTGGGTGCAGTGATGTTTGCCTGTGGTTCCAGCTACTCTGAAGGCTGAGGAGGGAGGATCACTTGAGCCCAGAAGACAGAGGTTGCCGTGAGCGCCATGACACTCCAGCCTGGGCAACAGAGTCAGACCCCCATCTCAAAAAATAATAATAATAATAATAATGTGGCTGTGCCTATGATCACAGGCGTTATAAACAATAGCTGCAACGTATTGAAAGCCTGCTCTCAGAGATAAAGACTCTTTCCATCCCCAGGCCCTGTTGTCAAGCAACTAAGTAGATTCAGAGAAGGAAGAGAGCTGACTGGCAAAGAGGGAGCAATGGAGAGCCATTTAAGATGTTGGGGCAAGAAAGTCATTTAAATGATCAATTATAGGCACAACGTGACTAATACTATTTGAGGGCGGAGGCCTATTGAGTTCTTAGAGGTGTTTGGGGTTAGGGCTCACCAAAAATGGTGCTCCTAGCCTTTGATTGTGGACACTTGTTTTTGCCTGCCCACCATCCCTCCTCCATCCTGAATATGAAGTGTTCCTTTGGGAACCACCCATCTTCCACTCTCTGTCCATGTAGTTCAAGTGAGGTTGACCTCAGTCCCTGACTCCAGGGGTGGGTGTATGACCCAGGACCGACTAACTGCAGTCATAATAAGTGGTTGAGGAGTAATCCCTTTGTCCAGAGTGAGCCGATGAGAGTCAGCATTAGGACTTCTGCTGAAAGAGGCACCCTTTCTCCACTGGGGTTGCAAAGCTGAGGGGATGTAAGCCATCTTTACCACTGCATGAGTAGAGTCTGCTGGAGAGTAAGGACAACAGAGATAAAAAGCAAATCCAAGAGAAAGATAGATTTCTTGTTGCCCTTGCTGAGCACCTGGAGCTAGCCATTCCTGAAGATGTCAAATATCTATCTATGTGGGCTAACATATATCACCTTCTGAAAGATACTTGAACTGAGTTTCTGTTAGTGGCAACTAAAGGAGTTGTGACTAATTCATCTTTCTATTTATTTTTTATTTTGATGAAAAATTTTCAATTGTTACATTATGGCATAAAAACAGAACTCTGACGTGTTTGACAACATACTTTTGACAGTTTTATCTATTTCTGACAAGGACATGCTGGGAAGTTGTGGGAACATATCTCCTGTGTCCGTCCCCCTCCTTTCGAAGTATATTTTTATTCAGAGATACATAAATGTATGCTAATGATCTTATGATGATGATGATCAGAACTGTGCTCCAAGAAGATTATAGCAACCATGAGTAGGATTAGAGTAGGGAGAGACAAGGGGCAAAAATACCCCTCAGGAAGCCAATATAATAATTCAAATGGTAAGTAGGAAGGATTGTCTCAAGGTGGTAGCTGCAGAAATGGGAAAGAGAGAGGTGGGATCATTGTGGTTTGGCAACAAATTAAAGGGTAAATGAGTGAAAATAAAATGCTTTTATCTACAAGGCCCTACAGAAACTGATTTTCCCCCACCCCTGTTTTATCCCTGATTTATTTCTCATCATTCTTTCCCTGGCCTGGTCTGCCCAGCTACATTGGTCTTTGCATTTACTGTGCCCTCTGCTTGGGACACTCTTACTCCAGAGGTCCCTGGCTCATGTTTTCACTTCCTCAGACCTCTGCCTCACATCAAAAGGATTCCCTTCATTCCCCATCTATTATTGCATCCCCCACCCTAAGCATTCCTTGTATTTGCTTATTAATTTTTCCCCGGGCTGGGCAAAAATTAATTCTAGCACTTTGGTAGCTCCATGCAGGTGGGTCACCTGAACTCAGGAGTTCAAGTCCAGCCTTGAGGCCCAAAGGCAGAGACTGCAGTGAACTGAGATCACACCATCTATTCCAGCCTGGGTGACAGAACAAGAGCCTGTCTCAAAAAAGAAACTTTAAGGAAATATTTTTTTTTTCTTTTTTGAGCGGCGTGTCGCTTTTTTGCGCAGGCTGGAGTACGGTGGCGCGATCTCAGCTCGCTGCAATCTCCAGCTCCTGGGTTCAAGCAATTCTCCTGCCTCAGCCTCCCGAGTAGCTGGGATTACAGGTGTGTGCCACCACACCTGGCTAATTTTTGTATTTTTAATAGAGATGGGGTTTCACCATGTTGGCCAGGCTGGTCTCGAACTCCTGACCTCAAGTGATCCACCCGCCTCAGCCTCCCAAAGTGCTGGGATTATAGATGTGAGCCACTGCACTTGGCCATAAAAATTTTTGAAAAATAATGTTGCTCCACAGTACTTAACTCTCTCTCTGTCTCTCTCTCTCTCTCTCTCTCTCTCTCTCTCTCTCTCTCTATATATATATATATTTTTTTTTTTTTTTTTTCTGTCTCTCTTGACTAAAATGCAAGTTCCGTGAGGGCTCCATGACTCTTGCTCACTGCTGAGTCCCCAGCACCTAGGAACCTGGCACAGAGGAGGTATTCAATGAATATGAGTCAATATTACAAATCTTGAACAACTGAAACAATGCTGTGGCATTGACAAATGCGGAAATACAGGGAAGATGAGTGGGAGCAGGGTTGGTGGGGTGGAGGCGTGAGAGGGTGACTCATTTAGAACCCATGGGATTTGAGGTTAGCTGTGTAAATGACAATAAAGCCTGATGGTTGAAATGCTGGCCTGGTGCTCAGGAGCAGCCAGAGGTGAGGGTCTGTTGGGGAATTATGCATCAAAAGTTGGTGAAAGCTGTGGAGTCAGTGAAATCTCTGGGAAGACCATGGGAAAAGAGAGAGGTGAGAACCGAGGACGAAGTCCCAGAAGTCCTAAGATGACCTACCTATTTTTTTTTCCAGGACTTTACTGGCTTAAAAACTAAAAGTCCAGGCCAGGAGTGGTGGCTCACACCTGTAAACTCAGCACTTTGGGAGGCTAAGGTGGGTGGATCACCCGAGCCCAGGAGTTTCAGAGCAGCCTGGCCAACATGGCTAAACCCTGCCTCTACTAAAAATACAAAAATTAGCCAGGCGTGGTGGCGCGTGCCTGTAGACCCAGTTAATTGGGAGACTGAGACATAAGAATCTCTCAAATCCAGGAGGCAGAGATTGCAGTGAGCCGAGATCCCATGACTGCACTCCAGCCTGGGTGACAGAGCAAGACTGTTTCAAAAAACAAAAACAAACAAACAAAAAACTAAAAGTCCACATCTTGGGAACCCCCTTGGTCCCAGGCAAACTGAAATGGTCGGTCAACCTAAGAAGGTGGAAGAATGGGGAAGTGCCAGGTGGAGGAAACAGAGGCCAGCAGCCCAGAGCTTCCTCCCAGAACCCAAGGAAGGGAGGGCTTAGGAGGACAGGGCTCCTTCCTTTTCCTGCCCAAGACCAGTTTGGTTCTGACCTTCTAAGCCCAGCAAGGCTGAATTACCTCTGAGTTCCTGACCCTCACGCTTCCCAGCAACACTGGATAGCTTCCTGATAAGCCCGGTAACTGGTTTGGTTCCAGGGCTTGGTCCCCAGCTCCAATCAACTGGAGAAAGTATGAACCCTTAAATTTTCGGTCAAGGGGGCTTTGGTGGTACCCTGGCTCAGGAGTTCTCAGTTGGTGATCGTTGTCTGCTTGTCCTAAGATGGAGCTTAAGAGTGTAAGTGACTCTGCAGCCACTGTGGCTAAGGAAACAGGAAGCTGCCTCTCCTCTTGTAAACAATGCAGGCCAAGATTAGCGGTACTTGTAAGGTGCCAGCTCTTACAAGTGGGCACTGAATTGTGCTCACCACTAAATTTCAAATAAGATTATTGCTGGATGTGTAGAAACTAAAAAGAGACTGGGTGTGGTGGCTCACGCCTGTAATCCCAACACTTTGGGAGGCCGAGGTGGGCAGATCACAAGGTCAGGAGTTCAAGACCAGCCTGGCCAATATGGTGAAACCCCATCTCTACTAAAAATAGAAAAATTAGTTGGGCGTGGTGCTGGGCGCCTGTAGTCCCAGCTACTCGGGAGGCTGCGGCAGGAGAATCGCTTGAACCGGGAAGCAGAGGTTGCAGTGAGCCAAGATCACGCCACTGTACTCCAGCCTGGGCGACAGAGCAAGACTCTGTATCAAAAAAAAAAAAAAAAAAAAGAAAAGAAAAGAAACAAGAAACACAAAAGAACTCAAAGGAACATTTCCAACTTCTTTTTAACTTGGCAGTACAGTGACCTAAACCAGGTATGTGGAGCCTTGATTACTATAAAGAGCAAATAAGACAAAAATTAGAAAATATCTTGTACATTTTAAATAATGCTGCAAATATAAGGTCCTGTCACTGAGTCTTGTTTGAAATAAAAGAACTATCAATATTTGATCAATAGAAAACATGGTGCTTGTCCTTAGAGAGCTTTATGGTTTACCTGCAGAGGCTCATAAGAATTTAGCTATATTTACTCAGCAATATATAAGGGAATAGAAATAAATATTGTGTCAACTCCCTGACTGTCACCCCTTCTCAGTTCCCTAACCCACAACACACATATCTTCCTTCCTTTCTTTTTTTTTTTTTAAACAGGGTCTTGCTCTGTCACCCAGGCTGGGGTGTAGTGGCACCATCATAGGTCATTGCAGTCTCAACCTCCAGGGCTCAAGTGATTCTCCCACCTCAGCCTTCCAAGTAGCTGAGACCATAGGTGTATGCCACCACACCCAGTTAACTTTTTTATTTTTTGTAGAGATGGGGGTCTCGCTCTGTTGCCCAGGCTGGTCTTGAACTCTTGGACTCAAGCAATCCTCCCTGTAAACCCAGCACTTTGGGCCTCCAAAAGTGCTGGGATTACAGGTGTGAGCCACCACACCCAGCCATATCCACCTTTCTAATGAGCATGGACAAAGATGCCCTAATTCATTCAGACCAGAAGGTGATGGGGAACGTTTCCAGTCACCTTTCTTTACCCACAGACCTATTCTGGGAAGAAAGGATCAAGAATGGCTGGGCGCAGTGGCTCACACCTGTAATCCCAGCACTTTGGGAGGCCGAGGCGGGCAGATCACAAGGTCAGGAGTTTGAGACCAGCCTGACCAATATGGTGAAACCCCGTCTCTACTAAAAACACAAAAATTAGCCAGGCATGGTGGCAGGCGTCTATGATCCCAGCTACTCAGGAGCCTGAGACAGGAGAATCACTTGAACCCGTGAGGTGGAGGTTGCAGTGAGCCAAGATAGCACCACTGCACCCCAGCCTGGGCGACAGAGCTAGACTCCGTCTCAAAAAAAAAGAAAGGGTCAAGAATGTGGCAAGTCTGGGCTTTAATACATTGCCTAGAAATTTAATTCAATAAATATCTATAGGCCATCTATTTGAGGCCCAATGGTGCCTTAGGCCCTGTGGTTATCTAAAAGAACGTCCCTGCCCTTAATCTCACCAGAGTGATAAAGCTAAGGTCCCTAAAACAAGATCTTATATTACTAAGTGCCAATGTTAACTATAAGTGCAGTAAGATTCTAGAAAAGGGAAACATGAACTTTGTTGTTTTTTGTTTTGTTTTGTTTTTTTGAGATGTAGTTTCGTTCTTGTTGCCCAGGCTGGAGTACAGTGGTGCAATCTTGGCTTACTACGACCTCCGCCTCCTGGGTTCAAGCGATCCTCCTGCCTCAGCCTCCCAAGTAGCTGGGATTACAGGCATGCGCCACCACGCCTGGCTAATGTTTGTATTTTTAGTAGAGAAGAGGTTTCTCTGTGTTGGTCAGGCTGGTCTCAAACTCCCGACCTCAGGTGATCCTCCCGCCTTGGGCTCCCAAAGTGCTGGGATTACAGGCGTGAGCCACTGCGACTGGCCATGGAAACATGAACATTTTAAGCAGACTTTATACTTCATGAAGGCTAGGCCATCAACTGGACAAACTGACAAAACAAAAGGAAACTTGATAAGTCAAGGTATAGAAGAATGAATGAGTGTGGCATTTGGAAAAATAGCAGCAAGACTTTCTGCTGAGATCCAGCTTGAAAAGGAAGGGGGAATGTTTTATCCTTCCTTAAAAAATATAGGTTGCTGTTGGCAGTATAAAAAGAATCCATGGCTCTTAAGAAGTTAAGAGGCGGCTGGGCGTGGTGGCTCACGCCTGTAATCCCAGCACTTTGGGAGGCCGAGGCGGGCGGATCACAAGGTCAGGAGATTGAGACCGACCTGGCTAATGCAGTGAAACCCCGTCTCTACTAAAAATACAAAAAAATTAGCCGGGCGTCGTGGCGGGCGCCTGTAGTCCCAGCTACTCGGGAGGCTGAGGTAGGAGAATGTCATGAACCTGGGAGGTGGAGCTTGCAGTGAGCCGAGATTGCGCCACTGCACTCCAGCCTGGGTGACAGAGCAAGACTCCATCAAAAAAAATAAAAATAAAAATAAGAAGTTAAGAGGCTTAAATGGAGAAACCTCCACACCCTAGGACTTGAGTAGATAACCTAGCACTTTAGGCATTTAAGACTCCAAGTCTTGGAACACGAAGGCCCATGGTGCCTCTCCATCAGGACAGGAGAGATTATGCTTTGGCAACAATGAATCTCTAATCTCACTGGCTTGATATAGTAAAGCATTCATTTCTTGTTTATGTGACATGTCCAGTGTAGATAAGGATGGGGCTCAGGGGAGATTTGCTCCATATAATCTCTCAGGGACCCAGGTTGATGGAGGTTCTACCATCTTAGAATGTTGCCATCTCATGTGACTTTCAGGATTGCTGCAGCAGGGGCAAAAACCCTGTAGGATGTTTATAAGCGTCAAGACTGAGGGTGGCTATCATTTCCACCAGTAATCAATTGGCTAAAACCTAGCTGTACATGAAAGGAACAATGCAGTATATAATCTTCCTTTCTGCCCTGAAAGAGGAAAAATGAAATAGGATTTCATAAACACATATAATATCAATCATGACCGATTATCCAAAGAATCTTACTTTGTTAATAATAGCTAACACTTATATTTTGCTAATCTTTACAATCCATCCTGTGAGGCAGCTTTTATTATTATCTCTGTTTTATTTTATTTTACTTTATTTTATTTTTTTAAACAGGGTCTTGCTCTGTAGCCCAGGCTGGAATGCAGTGGCATGTAGCCTGGAATTCCTAGGTTCAAGTGATCTCACCTCAGCCTCTTGGGTAGCTGGGACTACAGGTGTGCTCCACCACACCTGGCTAATTTTTTAATTGTTTTGTAGAGATGAGGTCTCACTATGTTGCTCAGGCTGGTCTCGAACTCCTGAGCTCAAGTGATCCTCCTGCCTCAGCCTCCCAAAGTGCTGGGATTACAGGTGCAAACCACTGTGCCTGGCTATCTCCATATTAAAGATAGGAAGGTGAAGCAAAAAGAAATTAAATCATTTATTCATGGCCCCACAGCTAGTAAGTGGCACAACATGGAGTCACTCAAGAAGTTTTTCTCTAGAGTTCATACCGTGCCCAGGCTGTAGTGTAGTGGCAGATTCATAGCTCACTACAGCCTCAATCTCCCCTGGCTCAGGTGATCCTCCTAACTCAGCCTCCTGAGTAGCTGGGACTACAGGCATGCACCATCACACCCAGCTACAGAGTTCATGTTCTTAACAACTATGTTCTACCTCCTTTGTCATGGGCTTAGTTAAAATGGAAGTCAAATCATGATTCCATGTACCCTGCATCTCTTACATTGGGTTATAGAAAGCTTCTAGCAATGGTGTCATACTTGACTCTGACTAGTCCACCCTGCCAATATTCCCATAGCATCAGTTGTATATATACACTCACCATGCTCTTGACTGGCCTGTCTTGGTACTCTATCTGTTCAAAGGGATGTGGATGAGAGCTTGATTGTGTGTAAGCTATATGGATGTATATACACACACACACACACACACACACACACACACACTATATGGGTATATATATGGATATAGATGCTGTTTCTAAATGCAAACATTCTTGCATAGGCATCAGCAACCCTCAAGAGCATTGTGTCCTCTGTTTCTGTCCTTGTTCCCCTGTTCTCAACTGCTCTCCAGCACAAGTTATTCTCATTCTTTGGAAAACAGAAGTGAACTATGTTTTTCTCCTAAATCAGTGTAATGGAGCAGATTATGTACAGATGAGTAGTGGGGGAGACATTGGCAGCTGGCCCTGAGCAGGGCTGAGTAATGGAAATCCAAGTTATCTCAAGCCTCAGAATTATTCAAGTTTCCTTATGTAACCTGTGTGTCCAAGGTCAGACTAGTCTGAAAACAACATAAGGTTACAATTTCAATAACTTCCAGTCTTTAAACCTAATGTGATCAGGGATTTTGTTTATGTTGTTCATTATTATATAGTGAGTGTCTAGAACAGTGCCTGGAATATAGTAGACATGCAATAAATGTTAAGTAAATTTATTGACCAAATTCTGGTCCTCTTTGGAGGCATGATGGTGTAGTGGTAGAGTGATATGATTTGGCTCTGTGTGCCCACCCAATCTCATGTCAAATTGTAATTCTCAGTGTTGGAGGAGGGATCTGGTGGGAGGTGGTTAGATCATGGGGCAGAATTCCCCCTTGCTTTTCTCATGATAGTAAGTTCTCACGAGAGCTGATGGTTTAAAAGTGTGTGGCACTTCCCCCTTCGTTCCCTGTCTCTCTCTCCTGCTCTGCCATGGTAAGACATGCTTGCTTACCCTTCGCCTTCCACTGTGATTATTAGGTACCTGAGGCCTCCTCAGCTATGCCTCCTATACAGCCTGCAGAACTGTAAGTTAATTAACCCTTTTTTCTCCATAAATTGCCCAGTCTCTTGTATGTCTTTATAGCAGTGTGAGAACAGACGAATACATACATCATTGACTTTAGAATCAAATAGACTTGTGTTTGAACTTCACAGGCTGTGTGACTCCTCATTAGTTATGTACCTTCTCTGACCTCTTCCTTCCTCATTGGTACAATGAGGCTAATATTACCTACCTCTTGGATTGTTGTGAGAATTAAATGTGATAATTGATGTCAGGCACTCGGTATATTGAAGCTAGCTATGGCTCTGCCCTATATCACAAAAATCCTTGGAGCCCAGCCTGGTCACACACACCTGTAGTCCCAGATACTCAGGAGGCTGAGGCAGGAGGATGGCTTGAGCCCAGGAGTTTGAGGCTGTAGTACGCTATCATCGTGCCTATAAATAGCCACCTGGACAATATAGCAAGACCCTGTCTCTAAATAAATAAATACATTTTCAAAAAGAAAAATCTCTGGAGACCCTGTTGTTCCTCAGGGTTCCCCTCAGACATTTCTGTAAGTCTTCAGGGGTGTCTCAGGTATGTTCACCAGTAAGTCTTCGTAGCTACCAAATCTCACATTTATCTTGGATTCTCCGCCAACCTCCCCCTCCTCTACTCTGCTTTCTTTTGGTCTTGTCTGACTGTGAGCTCTCGCCTACCATTTTGCAGTGCCTGCCATGTAGGGTACTAATATCTGAGCAAATAGTGCTGCCTCCTGCTTAAAGCCAATGATGTCAACACTGAGTCAATAGCACCAAGGCCGCTGCAACTGCCACTCCCTAAAGCTTAAGGTATTCACCAAAGGTACCACCATCCCCCATTGCAGCTGCCTTGTGCCTGTCTCCTAGGTCACCTCGGAGAGCCTCCTAGCTGAGACTCTACCCACTGAAGCAGGAAGTGTTCCTTGGTGGCTCCTATTCCACAGGTCCCACGTGGATCTGCAAGTTGAGGAAGATCCCTGAACCATACTCGCTTCTGCTTGTCCCCACAGTGCTGTCTGTGTGTCCTCAATATCTCAAAGAAATTTTGTGTGACTGTGTCTACATCAGCTCTCCATCACCTAAGCCTCCTATCCTATCCTGTGTGATTAGGACTTAATCACAGCCATGGGATGCTGGGTGGGAAACAACTGGAGAGACATACACCCAGCAGTTACTTGAAACCACTCCTTCCCCCCACCAGAAGCCAAGGGCATTATTACCAACTAGTGTTTTTCAGTTTCTCTCTCTTATTTATTTATTTTTAGAGACAGGGTCTTGCTCTGTTGCCCAGGGTAGAGTGCAGTGGTGTAAGCATAGCTCATTGCAGCCTTGAACTCCTGGCTCAGTACATTGCAGCTAGCTATGGCTCTGCCCTGTATCAGAAAAATCCCTGGAGCTCGGCCTGGTTGCACACGCCTGTTGTCCCAGCTACTCAGGAGGCTGAGGCAGGAGGATGGCTTGAGCCCAGGAGTTTGAGGCTGCAGTACACTATCATTATGCCTGTCAATAGCCACATGGGCAATATAGCAAGACCCTGTCTCTAAATAAATAAATAAATTTTTAAAAAGAAAAGATCTCTTGGGGCTGGGCACAGTGGCTCACGCCTGTAATCCCAGCACTTTGGGAGGCCAAGGCAGGTGGGTCACCTGAGGTCAGGAGTTGGAGACTAGCCTGACCAACATGGTGAAACCCTGTCTCTACTAAAAATACAAACATTAGCCAGGCATGGTGGCGCAAGCCTGTAATCCCAGCTACTCAGAAGGCTGAGTGAGGCAGGAGAATCACTTGAACCCGGGAGGTGGAGGTTGCAGTGAGCGGAGATTGTGCCATTGCACTCCAGCCTGGGTGACAAGAGCGAAACTCCGTCCGAAAAAAAAAAAAAAAAAGAAAGAAAAGGAAAGAAAAGAAAAAAATCTTTGTAGACCTTGTCATTCCTCAGGGTTCCCCTCAGACATTTCTGTAAGTCATCAGGGGTGTCTCAGGTATGTTCACCAGTAAGTCCTCTTAGCCCAGGAGTTTGAGACTGTAGTACACTATCATTATGCCTGTCAATAGGCACCTGGGCAATATAGCAAGACCCTGTCTCTAAATAAATAAATAAATAAATATGTTTTTAAAAAGAAAAATCTCTGGAGACCTCCCACCTCAGCCTCCTGAGTAGCTGGGGCTACAGGCACGTTCGCCGTGCCAAGCTATTTTTTTTTTAATCTTTATTTTTGTAGAGATAGGGTCTCACTATGTTGTCCAGGCTGACCTCAAACTCCTGGCCTCAGTGATTCTCCCACATCAGCCTCCCAAGGTGCTGGGATTACAGATCTGAGCAACCCACCCAGCCTCTCACTCTCGTAGAAAGAGTCTTTTCTGGTGGCTTCCAGGTCCCTCATACAAAAAAAGGCTCCTGACAGGGTTCTCCACTGGCCCTATACCCAAGACCAGACATGAGCCCCCATCTAAAGACAGCTTGTTTCCAGCCCAGAGCCTCATCACTTTTAAAAGGGAAAAATTCGACAGTAAAAGCATTAACTTTCTTAGGCCTTTCAGATTTGATCAACTGAAAATTAATACCGAGAATTACAAAATTAAGGACTTCTTGGATAAACATTAGAAAAACAAAACTGATTAAGATTATTTGGTAAAAAGCAGAGGTAGAAAGTTCTACCCTTTAAGAACAGATTAGAGGAAAAATTGCACAGAAGCCGGTAAGGAAGGAGTTATCTGCAGAGCCGGTGTCTGATATGCAAAATGCTGATAAGGCTTAGAAACTCAGAAGACCTGAGGAGGCCCCCTTTGATACTGTTTGATAAAGCAACAAGCGCAATCACAGTGCCAGGGCCTGTGCTAGGAATTGTATGTACCCTGTCTTTAATCTTCAAACAACTCTGTGTTACTGGAAAAAACACCTGCCCACACCCACTCCCTCCCCTACTCACCCAACAGGGCCTGGGAGGAAAAGAAGTCCTGTTTCTCAGAGCAAATGTAACCTGGCAGCCCTTAAAAATACAATTGGTGGCCAGGCATGGGGGCTCATACCTGTAATCCCAGCACTTTGGGAGGCTGAGGCGGACAGATCACCTGAGGTCGGGAGTTCAAGACCAGCCTGACTAACATGGAGAAAACCTGTCTCTATTAAAAATACAAAAATTAGCCAGGCATGGTTGCACATGCCTGTAATCCCAGCTACTCGGGAGGCTGAGGCAGGAGAATCACTTGAACCCAGGAGGCAGAGGTTGCCGTGAGCTGAGATCGCGCCATTGCACTCTAGCCTGGGCAACAAGAGCGAAACTCTGTCTCAAAAAAAAAAAAATACAATTGGTAATTTTAAAGCTTTAGCAGAGTTCTTGGATATGTGGAGGGAGAGCAAAGTTTGCAGCAGGAACTGGAGAGAGATGAATTGGTTGCGTTATGTTATGCCGTTATTATCCCTTAGGAAGGATCTGTGTTTCCTCTAGAAGGTGAGGGCAGAGGAGGAAGAGAAAGGAAAGAAAAGGAAGACAAAGTGGCTCGAGAACATATCGGGAGACTGGATCCGGAACAGGGAAAAATGCCAAGGGACAGACAGACTGAGAGAATACATAATATGTATGTAGAGAGAGCTTATATCTATAGAGTGCCATATATGTGTGTGTGTGTGTGTGTGTGTGTGTGTGTGTGTGTGTGTGTGTGTGTGTGTATAAATTTAGTGTAGAGAAAGGATCTCGCTTTGTTGCCCAGACTGGTCCAAAACGCTTAACTTCAAGTGATCCACCCACCTCAGCTACCAAAGTGCTGGGATTACAGGTGTGAGCCACCACACCCAGCTAACAATATTGATTTTTTAGTATGCCTAGCAGGATATAAATCCCTCCATGCCAAGCTTGTCTAAACCGCGGCCTACGGACTGCATGTGGCCCAGGACGGCTTTGGATGTGGCCCAACACAAATTTGTATACTCTCTTAAAACATTATGAGATTTATGCACGGACCATTTTTTTTTTTTTTTTTTTTTAGTTCATCAGCTATCGTTAGTGTTAGTGTATTTTATGTGTGGCCCAAGACAATTCTTCTTCTTCCAATGTGGCCCAGGGAAGCCAAAAGATTGGATACCTCTGCTCTATGCAAAGCCTTAGGTGACTGAGTTTTTGTTGAAATTAAGGAAAGAACTGAGCTCTACAACTGGATTGACATGGCATAGGTTAGAGGCAGCGTGTGACAGGTGATGAGCCAATATTCCAGAATTTAAATAATCCTGGGGAAGTAGGAGCTCACAGCCTGGGTGATTGTATGCATAGGACGATTGTATGCATCTTCAGAAAGTTTTCAGAAATCCCAGGGGGGTAATGGACTGCCTATACCCCTGTGACGGGTATTTGAGGACATCTTACCTAAAAATTAAGGGCCAGGAAGACTCTCCAACCTCTGTTTATACCTAAAATTACATAGTATGTATGATTTTTGAATCAAGTTGTCATTTTGCATCACATTTATAAACATTTCCAATGTCATTAGAATGTCTTCACTTTTAAAGTTTAGCGCAATGTGGGTACACCTTAATTTTAATTCTATAAAATTGACTATTCTGGCTGTTTCCAGCCTTGTTTTATGTTTTGTGTTTTTTTGCAATTATAACTACCGCTATGATAAACATCTGCGCAATACATTTTTACTAGGCAGCAGCTTAACCATGCCAACGTAATCCAGACTGACCAGGATTCTCAAATTTAGTCTCCATCGAGAGACCAAATATGCAAATGGACAATGGCCAGACCATATATGAAAACTGAACTCTGATCCACAGCCTCTGTAGCGACCAGCCCAGGAAGCCAAACCACAGCCTCTATAGCAATCAGCCCCCAGTCAGGACTTGGTCAATCATTGCCAGGTTCCCTAAATTTTGGCCCTCCTTCCAACTCAGGACCAACCAGAGAAAGCCAGATATGCTCTCTACACCAATTCTATAGGGCACCCTGCTTCTCAGTAGCCTGCCTCCAGCTCTTTCATGCCAACAACCTCCTATCAGAGCACACCTGAAGCCCTCCCCTTTTTTTCTCACTCTAAAGCTTGCCTACTCCCCCGCCTGACTTTGACTATCTGCTAAAACCAAGTGCTAGTGGCTGACTCCCTCGCTATAGAGAGCTCTCCATAAATCTTCTCTGCTTGTTCTCATTCGGGTTTATGTCTACACTGAGATATGCAAAGCGTATCTCAGGTCAACCTGGTAGACACTGAACCCAAAGGACTATCACAGGCCAAACACTACATAGGAGGCTTTTCTATCATGAGCCATTGGAAAATTCCTGGCCATTTCTAGAAGGACATCTAGCAGAAAAACACCACCTCCACACGCCATGCATACCTACCAGATAGAAGGCCCTGGGCCCCATGTTGGCTTTGACCACTTCATGCCTTTGCAGTACCAGAAGCAGCAGAAGCAGAAAGCCACAGAAAATAAATCAGCTGCTGAGTTCAAATTGCTGCAGTCCATCACGCTGCCGTGTCGCCAGCTCGTGGTGCCAGGCCAATTACTACCACAAGCACTGAAGTCACTTTTCAAAACATGGTCAAACAAACTCCAGCAGGGCCAGCTAGGCGTTAAAACACTCAGACACAATTGTCAAAGCAAAGATTTATGTGCCAGTAAATAAAAGTCAGGGCTCCAGTTTAGTAATCACCTGGCCGACAGCCTGAAGGTTAACCCTTTCTGGACAGACCTGACCCACTGTCAATTCAGAGAGACAAGAATAAAGAGGGCAGAAGGGGATGGGGTGGGAGGGAGCAGGGTGGGGTCCAGTCAGACTGAAACTGGGGTGATTTTCTGTGCTGTCATTCCTAGGCCACCACAACTTTGGGGGCTGTGGGTGACTGTCAACTCAGATCATCTGTGAGGCAGGTGTGACTGTTTCCTATGTCTTCTTAAGCCTCTTAAGTTCACACAGTTACCCAGAACCATCAGGAAACGGAGATAGATTTTCTCCCACTGTGTCCAGCACTGAGGTTCCCTTAAGGTTTGCAAGTTTCTTTTTAGTATTTAACTCTTTGAAGGACACATGACAAGTAGACCCACCCTTATTTGATTAGGACTCCCTCACCAGGGGTGTTAGAAGTGCCATTGCAGATGCTTACATTCTAGGCACACAAGAAAAAATCTTAAAAGCTCCTCTCTAGCCCAGCATTCTGAGAAATGATGCTGTCTAACTTTAAATAGGCTTTTAAAGTCTATTAAGCATCATTTACAAATCCCACTGGGTTTTAATCTCTGCAAACCTTCCGAGTTGGTATCACCATTATCATTATTCCCTTCTGAGGCTCAGAGAGTTTAACTGACTTGCCCATGAGCACGAAGCTAGGAAGCGACACAGCTGGGGCTCATCTGACTCCAGAATCCAGTGGTACTTTGGGGATGGGGCTGGAGGGTTAGGGGTGGGAGGCGGGTAGGAAATCCAGCTTTCACTAGAGCTGGAGGTGTTTGCCCTAAGCTTCCTGATACAAGGGGAGGGTGGTGATTTTGAGGGTTTACAAGGCTCACAGGGAGACCCATGGCTGGAAATCACCTCTGGGTTCTCTTCAAGCCCCGGAAAGGGAGTGCCCGAATGAAACAGCTCTTCTGGTATTTTAATGGAACAAAAAGCCCGAAATACAAGGAGCTGGCTGGTTGCTGGGACGGCCCCTAACTTACTCTTTAACTGTAATGAACTGGTCATTTCCTGGATGTAAAGGAAAAGTTTAAGAAAAAAGTGACAGAGAAACCCCCTCCCAGCCCCCCAGCCCCCCAGCCCAGCCAGCTGCAGCGAGGAAAACAAATGAGCTTCTATAGATGGAATCCTTTGTTTGAATAGAGGCTAATTGTGGCTCCTCTGCTTGTAACCTGGGGTCAGGTGGCTGACACCCAAACGGTTCCCTCAAGGCAGTAACTACGAGCCCCTGGAAGAATGAGCACACTGGGACTCGGGAAGGGACCACTTACAAGAAAGGTCTGAATCTGGAAGAAGCAAAGGATCAAGTCAGACGTGTGAAGAATAAGGAGCCCGTGGATCTAGAGAGAAAGAACATTTTTCTGTGAAGAGTTTCCCCTCCTTATCCTCTCTCCCTGCCACATTTAGGTAAAAAGACCCAGTGATAAATAGCACCTGCCAGCCATGGTAGGCATGACCAGAGTGGCATGCGGCCTGTGCATAGGGTGCTGGATGAGGGCAGAGGCACCCATGGAGGTGCAAGCCTGTTTCGCTGCCCCTCCTGACCCCAGCATCCCTAGCCACCAGTGTGATAAAGTGAGTGCCTCCAGAGGGCAGGAAGGCAGAGACCCTGCCCAGCCCCTTCTCCTGTCCTCTGGCCTCCTCATCTGCCTCGCGCCACTTCCTTCCACCTAGCTCTTCTCTCTTGGCCAGCCTCCCACATGCAGGTGCCAGTGAGAATAACACTTGCACTTAGATTGATTCTGTATTTTCTCTCCTTTTTTTTTTTTTTTCTTTTTTGAGACGGAGTCTCTCACTGTGTCACCCAGGCTGGAGTACAGTGGTGTGATCTCGGCTCACTGCAACCTCCGCCTCCCAGGTTCAAGCAATTCTGCCTCAGCCTCCTGAGTAGCTGGGATTGCAGGCACCCGCCACCACGCCCAGCTAATTTTTGTATTTTTAGTAGAGACAGGGTTTCACCATATTGGCCAGGCTGGTCTCGAACTCCTGACCTCGTGATCCGCCTGCCTCGGCCTCCCAAAGTGCTGGGATTATAAGTGTGAGCCACTGTGCCCAGGCTTCTCTCCTTTTTACTAAGCTGTCCAGGACACGGTCCCCTCAGGGTGCTAAACACCCTCCTGGCCTGAGAACAAAAGAGAACAGAGCTGGAAGTGGAGGAAGCTATTCTTCTGCTTTTCTTGATCTCTGATCCTATCCCCTTCTAGCATCCCAGTCAGCTTGTGCCCCCTGAGTGGCATCTTCCTGCTGTGGGACTCTTGTGAAAGCCACGTCAGGGCCCTGTGGTAGTGAGGGGGAGAGAGCTACCAGTGACTCTGATGGGAAGGAGATCTCCCTGTGCTGTCGCCATCACAGGGCTGGGCCATGTGCTTCAGAGACTGCCTGAGAGAAGGGAGCTCAGGATGTTTGAGGTGGGACTGAGTTTTGACCTGAAGACTTTTGAAATGTTTGTGAAAAGAGGAGAAAACACACAGGGAAATTCAACAATAAACCTAGGCTTTTAAAAGAATCCAGAAGTGAGTCTTGAATTTTCTAAGAGGCAAGACATGGATACAACTTTAGGGCAGATGGTTACTTAGTTTTGGAAAAACCAGTGTAATGGCTCATTTAATTATGCAAATGTGGGGATATAGTAGCTGGAAGGGAAAAGTGCTCTGGAGGTAAAGTGAATGGGTGTGTCTGTGTTAGAGTCTGCCATAGATCTCTGCTGCTTCCTTAGGAAAAACTAGATTTGCTGAGAAAGAAGTTGACCTGTGCCAGACCGATGCTACATTGTAGCTGCCTGTGTTCTTGTAGCACTCATCATAGATGAAGACTCTGCTTTTGTGAAGTCTTTGTGGGGACTGGGAACACACAGTTGAGATTTTTTTTTTTTTTTTTTTTTTTTTTTTGAGACAGAGTCTCGCTCTGTCACCCAGGCTAGAGTGTGCAGTGACGTCATCTCGGCTCACTGCAATCTCCGCCTCCCAGGTTCAAGCGATTCTCCCACCTCAGCCTCCTGAGTAGCTGGGATTACAGGTGTCTGCCACCACGCTCGGCTAATTTTTTGGGTATTTTTAGTAGAGATGGGGTTTCACCATGTTGGCCAGGCTAGTCTTGAACTCCGACCTCAGGTGATCTGCGTATCTCGGCCTTCCAAGTGCTGGGATTACAGTCGTGAGCCACAATGCCTGGCCAGTTGGGGAGATTCTATATGCAGCCCAGCCCTACAGACTGCTTTGGGATTCCCAGGAGAGACCCTGTTGGCCAAGACATTGGTGTCCCCATTATGGGCATTACTAATAATGAGGCCCTTTTGAGTGGCTTCTCTAGTATCAAACATTCACTAGGTAAGGCTTAGGATTTCTTTCTTTTCTTTTCTTTTTTTTTTTTTTTTGAGACAGGGTCTCGCTCTGTCGCCCAGGCTGGAGTACAGTGGCGCAATCTCGGCTCACTGCAACCTCTGCCTCCTGGGTTCAAGTGATTCTCTTGCCTCAGCCTGCTGAGTAACTGGGATTACAGGCACACGCCACCACGCCCAGCTAATTTTTTTGTATTTTTAGTAGAGACAGGGTTTCACCATGTTGATCAGGCTGGTCTTGGACTCCGGTTCAGGAGTTCTTATCCTGAGTCCGTGGACCCGCCGTGAGGTCAGTGAATAAAATTCAGAGACTCTATGTACTTGAATGAAAAAAATATATATATTTTTTACTAACTTCTAAATGATTTTAGCGTTTTCTTGAGTAGTAATACAGGTAAGAAACTACAGTCATATTAGCAGAACTGGTGACTTTATCACTGCTATGGTTTAGATATGGTTTCTTTGGTCCCCCCCCAAAGAAATTGATCCCCAGTGTTGGAGGTGGGGCCTAATAGGTTTTAGGGTCATGGGGCTGAATCCCTCATGACTGGCTTGGTGCCTCCTCGAGGTAATGAGTTCTCACTCTACTAGTTCTTATAAGAGCTGATGGTTAGAAAGAGCCTGGCACCTTCCCCCTCTCTCTTGCTTCCTCGCTCACCACATGATTTCTAAACACCAGCTCCCCTTTGCCTCACACCATGAGTGGAGGCAGCCTGAAGCCCTCACCAGAAGCAGATTCTTATGCCATGCTTCTGGTACAGCCTGCAGAATCATGAGCCACATCAACCACGTTTCTTTATAAATTACCCAGCCTCAAGTATTTCTTTATAGCAACAAAAAACAGACTAAGATAGTCACCAATAGAAACTATGGATATTTTCATGTCACCTTACTGTTGTTAATGTTATCTTGAAGTATTGTGTACATTTATTACTGCTTGAAATTTACAGTAGCTATTAGGCCTGTCCCTAGAAACTGGCAGGGTTAAACTCAACTTCCAGTTGGCATCAGGTGATAGAATCACTTGCAGGTGGTTTAACACTGGACTGGACTCAATCCTTGGCTCAGGCCATCCTGAAAGCCTATAAGCTACTGATCCATTTGGGGAAAGGGGAGAGTACCTACGCAGTATTTACAGCCAATGCACCTATCTTGAACACAACTCATTTTACCAGTGAAAATTAATATCTAACATTTATTATGCTAGCTAACAAGCCCTCTGGTGTTAATATGAAATAAAGATGGTTGAAGTTGTAGTGGTGTGGCCCTCTGGTTAGATCTTTTTTGCTTAGAGTTCTGCTTATAATCTTTCAGATGTTATTCATTCCTGAAGAGTGCCTTTCCTTTAGAAGACACCAAATGTTAATTAACTGCTCCCAGTGTGTAGATGACATATATATCATATTAATTATGCTGAAATATTTAAAAGTAAATGATCACAATATAATGCAAATCAAAGCTGACCCAGAAGTTTGGTAGAAATTGTAGGTTATCTGACACATCCAGTGAATCCTTGTGCTTCTTTTGGGTAGCTAAACATCAAATGTCTTCTTGAATTTATAGTCGAAACCACTTGGGAAACAGCACCAGGTACGTGGCCTCATGTATTAGTCTGTTCTCATGCTGCTATAAAGAACTGCCTGAGACTGGGCAATTTATAAAGGAGAGTGGTTGGTTTTGTTTGTTTGTTTGTTTGGTTTTTTTTTTGAGATGGAGTCTCGCTCTGTCGCCCAGGCTGGAGTGCAGTGGGGTGATCTCAGCTCACTGCAAACTCCGCCTCCCGGGTTCACGCCATTCTCCTGCCTCAGCCTCCCGAGTAGCTGGGACTACAGGCGCCCGCCACTAAGCCGGGCTAATTTTTTTTGTATTTTTATTAGAGACAGGGTTTCACCATGTTAGCCAGGATGGTCTCGATCTCCTGACCTCATGATCCATCCAATTAAACCAAGAAAGTGGTTTAATTGACTCAGTTCAGCAGGGCTGGAGAAGCTTCAGGAAACTTAAAATCGTGGCAGAAGGGAAAGCAAACACATCCTTCTACACATGATGGCAGGGAGAAGATTGAGAGCTCAGTAAAGGGGGAAGCCCCTTATAAAATGATCCGATATCATGAGAACTCACTCACTATCATGAGAATAGCATGTGGGAAGCCACCCCCATGATTGAATTACCTCCCACTGGGTCTCTTCTACCACTTGTGGGGATTATGGGAACTACAATTCAAGATGAGATTTGGGTGGGGACACAGCCAAACCATATCACCTCACATATTACTGTACCCCTTGGTCAAGAGTGGACTGTCAGAGCAAGTCTGGCAAACTGTCTAATGCTGGGTCATTAGAAAAAGAAATTCCTGGAGCAGGAAACCACTGCTGCATCTCTTTGCTCTTTCCTTGGAAAGAAACATTATTTCACAGAAAGACAACAGATAAATGCTGAATGGTTGCTTTCCCCTGCTCTTAGCTATACATTGCAAATGTCCTATTCTCAAAGATGCTAGCTCTAGCTAAATATAGCCAAGGTATTGAGTCTAAGAGCAGGGGATGCTGCTCTTTACCACTCTTGGTATCATTTTCAAATGTAAAGAGGCTCAGTGCCCTTTAGCAAATAGAGACCAGGATTCAGTTTTCTCCCTTTTGAAATTGAACTACCTTTTGGCCAGAAAGAATGAAGTTATTTAAAACCTCAGCATTATTAATGCAAGAAGGGACCACAAAGAGTACTTGGTCCCTCTTCCCCACTTAACAGATGAGGAAGGAAAGGCCAAGAGAGATACAGTGTAATCATCCCTAATCTGAAAATCTGAAATTCAAAACACTCCAAAATCCAAAACTATTTGAGTGCTGCCATGATGCTGTACATGGAAAATTCCACACCTAACCCCACGTGATGGGTTGCAGTCAAAACACAGGCACATAATATGCCGTTTAAATTCGTGGGGTTCTTAGTGTTTGTTTTTATTTGTAGTTTGTTTAGAAATAGGGCCACCCAGGTTGGAGTGCAGTGGCTCAATCAAGGCTCACTGCAGCCTTGAACTCCTGGGCTCCAATGATCCTCCTGCCTCAACCTCCCACATAGCTAGGACTACAGGTGCATGCCACCACATCTGGCTTGTGTTTTTTTTTTTTTTTTTTTTTTTGAGACAGTCTCGCTCTGTTGCCCAGGCTGGAGTGCAGTGGTGCAGTCTCGGCTCACTGCAAGCTCCACCTCCTGGGTTCACGCCATTGTCCTGCCTTAGCCTCCCAAGTAGCTGGGACTACAGGTGCCCGCCACCACGCTCGGCTAATTTTTTGTATTTTTAGTAGAGACAGGGTTTCACCGTGTAAAGCCAGGATGGTCTTGATCTCCTGACCTCGTGATCCGCCTGCCTCAGCCTCCCAAAGTGCTGGGATTACAGGCGTGAGCCCCCGCACCTGGCCTTTTTTTTTTTTTAAATTAATGCTAAAGTATTTTTTACTTTTAAGTACTTATGTGTAAGTAAATGTTAGAAAATTATTGGTAGCTATGGATGGCAGCTCACACCTGTAATCCTGGCACTTTGGGAAGCTGAGGTAGGAGGATCACTTGAGGCCAAAAGTTCAGGACCAACCTGGACACTATGGTAAGACTCCATCTCTACAAAAAAATTGTAAAGTTAGCTGGGCATGGTGATTTGCACCTGTAGTCCTCACTACTCAGGAGGCTGAGGTGGGAGAATCGTTTGAGCCCAGGAGGTTGAGGTTGCAGTGAGCTATGATGGCACCACTGCACTCCACCCTGGGCAACACAGCGAGACTCTGTCTCAAAAACAAAAACCAAAAACAGGGAAATGATTGTTTATTGGTAGCACATAAATTAAGTCAGGAGTTATGGTGATGCCAAATAACTACAGGTTGTCCACATACGTGGCTGCGATAATGACACCTTTGCTTTCTGATGGTTCAGTGTATGCAAAGTTTTTTCAACACAAAGTTATTATTACTATTATATTTTTAGAGACAGTGTCCTGTTCTGTCACCCAGGCTGGAGCACAGTGACAAAATCATAGCTCACTGTAACCTTAAACTTCTACATTCAAGGGATCTTCCCACCTCAGCCTCCTAAGTAGCTGGTACAATATGCTGGCTGTTTTAAATTTTTTGTAGCGACGGGGTCTCACTGTGTTGCCCAGGACAGTCTTGAATTCCTGGCCTTGAGCAATCTTCTTACGTAGACTTCCCAAAGCACTGGGATTACAGGTGTGTGCCACTGAGCCTGGCCCAAGCATAAAATTATTAAAAATATTGTACAAAATTACCTTCAGGCTATGTATATATGGTATAGATGGAACATAAATAAATTTCATGTTTATTTAGACTTGGGTCCCATCCCCATGATATCTCATTGTGGATATAGGTAAATACTACAAAATCTGAAAAAAAAAAAGTCCAAAACATTTCTGGTCCCAAGCATTTCAATTCAGGGAAACTCAAGCTGTATTTGTTTAATGGCTACAGAGCAGGCATACTGACCAGTCTCAGAGGGTCTTCCTTCAACACAAATATCCAGTTCCTGCTGAGATGAGACAGTGGGAGATGATAAAATTGTACCTTCAAAGTAAATGTGTAGCCTATATACTGGCAATAACCACTCAGAAAATGTGACAGGAAAAATACCTCACTTATAGTGGCAGCAAAAATGATAAAATTCCCTGGGTAGATTTCTTCAGATCGTTCACAAAAACACATTCTGGATGGATTAAAGAGCTAAGTGTAAGAAACAAACAAACAAACAAAAAACCCCCGCAAAGCTATAAAGTGCTAACAGAAATAAATAGGAGATTATTTTTATGATTTTTGAAGAGGGATGAATGACCTTCCAAAGCAAGAAACAAAACCCAAATCATAAATGAAAAGATCTACTGATATGATTGAATAAAAATGAAAAACCACTGTAAACAACAGCAAATGACAAGCAAAAGATTAAGAGGAAATATTTGAAACATTTATAACAAGCAAAAGGTTAATACCCACAATATATAAAAAAAAATTTGGCCGGGCACAATGGCTGACACCTGTAATCCCAGGACTTTGGGAGACTGAGGCAGGTGGATCACCTGAGGTCAGGAGTTTGAGACCAGCCTAGCCAACATGGTGGAGCCTTCTCTCTACTAAAAATACAAAATTAACCAGGCGTGGTGGCGGGCATCTGTAATCCCAGCTACTCAGGAGGCTGAGGTGGGAAAATTGCTTGAACCCAGGTGGCAGAGGTTTTCGTGAGCTGAGATCGTGCCACTGCACTTCAACCTGGGCAACAAGAGCAAAACTCCATCTCAAAAAAAAAAATTTTTTTTTCAAAGAATAAATATAAAAAACAAAAACAATTCAATTAAAAAAAATGGACAAAGAATTTGAAACGGCCAATCACATAAGAAATACAAATTTTCACTGGGCATATGAACAGATGATTTTAGGGAAATAGATTTTTAGTTGTGGTTTTCAGATTACACTCAGCTTTAGAACCATCCAAACAAGAGTATTAAATCACAGGCTACATTCTCTTTGCCTTTAAAAAGTAAAAATAAAAATAAAATCATAGGCGAAGGATGGTCTTCGGGGAAATGCGCTTTCCAGAAAGTTGGAAAGGTACAGGCGGAGTTATTGTTCAAGGACAGCTGGACATGTTAAGTTTATTTCAAGAGCCAGGAGAACACAAGGTTGATAACATCCCTGTAGACAGAAACATGGCTTGTGTGTATAAAGGTCTTCTTAAAAGGCAGTAAAAATCCTGGGTATAGTGAGATTAAAGCATAAAAAGACTTGAACTTTTCCATATCTGCTTTGACTCCCCTTGGGTGCACAGTGTGCCCCACTCTGAGGCCTGGAGACCAGGGAAAGCTGCTTGGAGACATCCACCTTTGCTTCACGCAGCCACTCCGCTGCTGATAAGATTTTATATTGTCAGCTACTTAAATCAAGACCTTAATTTTTTCTGCATTGGGTGTGTGTGTTTTCTCTGTGTTCTCGTCCTATCATCTGATAACTACCTGAAATGCTGCAACGTTTATCCTAATTAATCTGAGAAATGCAAATTAAAATGTGCTACAACAAGCCTAATTAGAGTACATCTATTTTTGTTTAATTGATCAGAGAAATATTTAAAATACTTCTAATACCCGGTGTCAGCAAGAGGTGGGGTAAAGTATACTCTAATAAACTGTTGGTAAGGATGTTATTAATAAAACCATTTGAGGGTCCAGTTTGGCAGTATCTCTTAAATACCAAATATTTGTTCCTTTTGACCTAGCAATTAAAATTCAGGAATATGTGCACATTTTTTAGGCAACATGGATGAAGATTTTATTGCAGTGTTATTTTTGTTGAAAATCAGAAGCAACCTAAAAACGGCCATTAATAAGAAATGATGAAATTAACTACAGCATATCCATGCTGTTTTAGTTTATGTTCTCTCAGAATCAGACCTTGTAAGTAGGATTCAAGTGCAAAATGTTTGGAAAGTGTAAGTAGGGAAATGGGGAAATGATACAGAGAAGGGCAGAAAACCAATGAAGGGTGTGTTATTAAGCCAGTTATAAAGATAAGCAACTAGAGTTTAATCTTTTAGGGAAACTCCAAAAACAGTACAAAACACATGCCTCAGAATTAACCTAGCTAAGGGGTCAGAGAGCAGGAGTAGTTATACTCCTACAACTTTTAGTCATTGGCTAAAGGCTGTCTCCCAGAGGACCATTCGTTCCCAAGTACTTCCAGCCAACCATCCATTGGCAAACTAATTTCAGTGGCTGGAGGGAGCCATCTAACAATGATACAGTTTGGCTTTGTGTCCCCAACCAAATCCCATCTCAAATTGTAATCTGAGATTGGGGCGTGGCCTGGTGGGAGGTGATTGAGTCATGAGGGCAGACGTCCCCCTTACTGTTCTCCTGATAGAGTTCTCCTGAGATCTGGTTGTTTTGGTAAGTCTCTGGTGCGCCTTCCCTGCTACCGACTCTCTCACTCTCTCTCTCTCTTGCCACCACGATTGTAAGTTTCCTGAGGCCTCCCCAGCCATGCAGAACTGTGAACCTCTTTTGTTTATCTCAGGTAGTTCTTTATAGCAGTGTGAAAATACACTAATACAAACACGACGGAGGGACTGGCCATTGGAAGACAGGCTGTTATAGGTGGAAATGACAAGAGTTCCTAAGAGGATACGCACATAACACAGACGGTGTCTGCTACACATGCTAACAAATACAAAGAGGACATTAAGAGAAACAAGACATCCATGCTACAAGACAGACTAAGAAGCAAATAATTAGATATCAAATGCTTCCATTTTAGCAATACAAATGACACATCAAATTGTCCGTAGTGGTTATCTCTTAAAAAAAAAAAAAAAAAAAAAAGGCTGAAGGATGTGAATTTTCATTTTTTATTTATTTATTTATTTATTTATTTATTTATTTTATTTATTTATTTATTTTTTGAGATGGAGTCTTGCTCTGTCACCCAGGCTGGAGTGCAGTGGTGCGATCTCGGCTCACCAGAACCTCTACCTCCCGGATTCAAGCGATTCTTCTGCCTCAGCCTCCCAAGTAGCTGGGACTACAGGTGCCCGCCACCATGCCCAGCTAATTTTGTATTTTTAGTAGAGATGGGGTTTAATCATATTGGCCAGGCTGGTCTCGAACTCCTGACCTTGTGATCTGCCCACCTTGGCCTTCCAAAGTGCTGGGATTACAGGCGTGAGCCACCACGCCCGGTGTGAATTTTCATTTTTTAGTATATACATTTTTGAGTTTTGTTTTGTTTTGTTTTTACAACGAGCCTATAGAGTACTTTTTAAATTAAAAGAAACAATGAAAAAATGAGAAAACGTTCATGGGAAATAAGAAAAAGGCAAGGAAACGGAAAATATATTCATTACTTTAGTCATTCCACAAATTTGTATAACGTGCCTTCTGTGCAGCAGGCTCCACATTAGGGACTGGCTACAGTGGCCAGTAAATACTTTCCTAATGGGCTTACTATACTCAACCTAAGAGTCACCTCTTGCAAGTTCTTGGCATTGGTGGAAAGTTAGGTTTTTTACCCCTTGAAGCAGTAATGCCATTCCCAAAGCTTCTGAAGCTAAATGTTTATACTTTTGGGGGATTTCTAGGTCCAGTTAAAAGGGAAAAAAGCACAAAGCTTCAGAATACATGTGAATTTGCTTTAAAAAGTTGAAAGCACTATGTACATAGTAAATTGTGATTGTTTTCATATGTATCTTGAACAGCAGTGAAGTGTTCATTGACAAATAAAAAGGGTGGTGGCTTTTTCATCCATTGGGAATTTTAACTCTATTTTCCAGGTACAGTTCTTAAGTGTTTGCGCTATGTGTTAGCAAATTCTTCTTATTATTTTCTGAGGCAGGGTCTCTGTTGCCCAGGCTGGTGTGCTGTGGCATGATCTCAGCTCACTGCAACCTCCACTTCCTGGGTTCAAGTGATCCTCCAGCCTCAGTCTCCCAGGTAGTTGGAACCACAAGCACAAGCCACCATGCCTGGATAATTTTTGTAGAAATGGGGTTTCCCATGTTGCCCAGGCTGGTCATGAACTCCTGAGCTCAAAGCGATCGGCCCACCCTGGCCTCCCAAAGTGCTAGGATTACAGGCATGAGCCACCACACCCAGCCAGCAAATTCTTTCTGAAAAACAAACAAAAAAAATCTGTATTCCCCTCTCCTGAAATCAAAGATGCCAACTCTGTGGAAAAGAAGAATGCACATGGAGAGGCCCTTTTAGTTCTCAAACATTGACCTCTACAACTTTTGTTATTTCCTGTTGAAAACCTTAAGAATTTTTTTTTTTTTTTTTTTTTTTTAACACAGTCTCACTCTGTTGCCCAGGCTGGAGTGCAGTGTCACGATCTCAGCTCACTGCAACCTCCACCTCCCAGGTTCAGGCAATTTTCCTGTCTCAGCTTCCTGAGTAGCTGGGACTACAGGCGCACAGTACCATGCCCCGCTAATTTTTGTATTTTTAGTAGAGAAGGGGTTTCACCATATTGGTCAGCGGAAAATCTTAAGAATTTAAGAGGGGGCGGCAAGGCGCGGTGGTTCACGCCTGTAATCCCAGCACTTTGGGAGGCTGAGATGGGCAGATCACCTGAGGTCAGGAGTTTGAGACCAGCCTGACTGACACAGAGAGACCCTGTCTCTACTAAAAATACAAAATTAGCCAGGCATGGTGGCACATGCCTGTAATCCCAGCTACTTGGGAGGCTGAGGCAGGAGAATCACTTGAACCCAGGAGGCAGAGAGTGCAGTAAGCCGAGATCGCACCATTGCACTCCAGCCTGGGCAACAAGAGCGAAACTCTGTCTCAAAAAAAAAAAAAAAAAAAAAAGAGGGGGCATCTGTGCGGCCTTGTGTGAATTGCTTCAACCTCTTTGCTCTTCAGCCTCCTCATTCAGAAGGCAGAGATAATAGTGGACACTCACAGGGATGTTAGAGGACCAAAGGGGAAAGTGGAGGGCACAATGCAGAGCCCAGAGCAAGTGCTCAGTTTGTGTTGGTCCCTGTCCTTTCCTGCTGGCAAGAACCCCTTCCTGACCTTAGTGAAAAACTATCAGAAAAGCTGCTGAGTGAGTATTGCCCCACCTTCTGATGAGACCTCTGTGGCAGACAGACCCTAAGGTGACCACTGATGATTTCCCATCTCCTCGTGCCCACACCTCTGTGTAATCCCCTCCCCTTAAACCACAAGTAGAACCTGTGACTTCCAAAGGTAAAGGGGTGTTAGTCCCTTAATTAGGTTACATCACATGGCAAGGCAAAGGGATTTTGCATTGTGACTGAGGTCTCAAATCAGTTCATTTTGAGTTCATAAAAAGGGAGATTATCCTGGGCAGGCCTGGTTTAGTCAGGAGAAAGCCCTTTAAAGAGTGACTAGGACCTCCCTAAGTCAGAGAAACTCTCCCCATTGTCAGCCTTGAGGATATAAGCTGCCATGTGGTGAAAGGACCTAACAGAGAGGGCCACATGGCAATGAACAGTAGGCAGCCCCTAGGAGCTGACAGTAGCCAGCAAGTAAACTGAGATCTCACTCCTATAGCTGCAAAGAGATGAATTCTACCAACAACCAGAGGGATCTTGGTACTATATCCTTCCCCAGCCAAGCTTCTGATGAGACTGCAGCCCCCTAGCCAATGCCCTGACTAGTGAGATCCTGAAAGCAGAGAACCCAGCTGATCCACAGAAATGGTGACATAATAAATGTGTGTTGTTTTAAGCTCTAAGTTGTACAACTTGTGCAACAGTAGAAAACAAATACAATCTCCCCCAGCTCTTCTGCTTAATATTAAGCTGATAATAAAAAAGATTAAGGGCCAGGCCCAGTGGCTCATGCCGTTAATCCCAGCACTTTGGGAGGCCAAGGCAGGTGGATTGCTTGAGGTCAGGAGTTCAAGACCAGCCTGACCAACATAGTGAGACCCCATCTCTATTAAAAATACAAAAATTAGCCAAGTGTGGTGGCAGGCACCTGTAGTCCCAGCTACTTGGGAGGCTGAGGCAGGAGAATCGCTTGAACCTGGGAGGCAGAGGTTGCAGTGAGCCAAGATTGTGCCACTGCACTCCAGCCTGGGTGACAAAGTAAGACTCCGTCTCAAAACAAACAAACAAACAAACAAGGATTAAAAGGGTGATGAGGATAATGAAAGAATAGAAGGAGAAGAAGGAAGATAAATAGAAAAATTGTATTGAATACTTATTATGCATCAGGCACATTAGTCAAGGTGCTGAAAGAAGACAAATGGGACACTCAAATGGTGAAGAGAATTTAACATAGGGACTATGTGCAGAAGCGTGCATAGGGTTAGGGTGCTCAACAAGCAATGCTGAGGCCATTAGCGTCTCTAGGTCTGAAAGGGTAAGAGGAGAGAGCAGAGATAATGGGACCATTATGGAGCTTCTTTGAGGGAGAGGGCTGCCTGACAGTGGCTGGGGATGGAGGTAGAGGTATACAGCCTCTGTTGAAATGGTGACCTAGCATTGTGAAAGCCAGGGGATTAAACACCTGGGCTCTTTATTATCCTTCTGAGCAGCCAATGTCTTCTGCCATTAGCTCCTTTGGATGAATCCAGCTAGAAGCCAGAGGGCAAAGGACACTGGGTGATACAGTCTTAGAGGTTGATCTCTTAGGGCACAGAGCAGGGATGAAGAAATGGATAGAGAATGGAACTGGAAGGGCAAATGGAGAGGAATGAAACTTCATGGATTAGCTCATTGATGTTCATGACTTTTGGCACATGAGGATTTAAGCACAGCAATGTTAAGTAACTTGCCCAAGGTAAGATAACTAGGAGGTGGTAGAACAAAGTTCGGAACCCAGGCAGATCTAGCCCCAGAGCCTGGACTCTTTTTTTTTTTTTTTTTTTTAAGCAGAGTCTCGCTCTGTCGCCCAGGCTGGAGTGCAGTGGCGCCATCGCGCTCACTGCAAGCTCCGCCTCCCTGGTTCACGCCATTCTCCTGCCTCAGCCTCCCGAGTAGCGGGACTACAGGCGCCCGCCACCACACCCGGCTAATTTTTTGTATTTTTAGTAGAGACGGGGTTTCACCATGTTAGCCAGGATGGTCTCGATCTCCTGACCTCGTGATCCACCCGCCTCGGCCTCCCAAAGTCCTAGGATTACAGGCGTGAGCCACCGCGCCCGGCCGAGCCTGGACTCTTGACCACTACAGATACAGTTGTCAGGACCCCTTGTCTCTGCTGCCTTTCTATTCTGAGTTTTCCTTTGAAACGAGACAATCCCTTCTACTGTCAGCAGCAGTGCAGGCCTGGCACCTCTTTGTTCTCAGTGTCTGGCCGCATTCACATTATCCAAGTCAAGTGCTAGCATCTTGCTTGTGGTTGACAAGAACGGACCCTCCATCATCAATGTGTGTGACCAGCTGAGAAAAGAAACAAGCCTTTTCTCATGAGATTTCCAGCCTAGTTGTGCGGGACCAGCAAGATCAGAACTCTCCAATGTTTTAAGAACCATGAAGCACAGCCTTTGACATTTCCTCCCAGGCATCCCCAAATTACTTCAAAGTGTTTGTTCACACCTGGCAGGCGGGCAGGAGAGGGAGCGAGAAAGCCATCTGTGGAGATTTGCAGCCCTCACTTTTATCGGCAAAGCCTCCCCCTCTGAAGACATGATGAATTCAGCTATTTTGGGAGCAGGGATTATAGATGTGACCCACCTGGCTCAGCTCTGAGTAACTGCCTAAAATTCTTGACAATAGCAAAAAGAAAGGAGAATGAAAGTTAAAAAAAAAAAAAAATCTCTCAGTATAGTTCACTAACCTGCCAAATGCTTGATTGGCTTCTTTTTAGGCCCACAGCTCATTTTCTTCCAGAAAACATCCCAGGAGAACAGCAAGGATATGGGATCTGGGGAGTCGGAGGTCTTGGTTCTGGTCCCGGTTCTGCCATATATTAGCAGTGTGACCTTGGGCAAGTCATTCATCTGGCAAACATTTATTGAGGGCTTTATCCATGAGAATCATGGAAATGAAAGGTACAGTTTCTGCCTTCTGTGAGTGCACAGAAAATTGAGTAGAAAAAGATATTAGTAAGTAACTGTATCACAGTGTGATGAGCACTAAGACAGAGGTCCCATGAGAGAAGCCTAGAGGAGGGGTACCTAGCTCAGCCTGAAGGTGTGGTCAGGAAGTCTCCTAACCTCTCTGAGTTTCAGTTCCTCAGCTGTAAAATAGGGAGCTTTTATATATTTGTGAAGGGAACTGATAGAATGAAATGTACTTCATCTCCCAAATGAAGCCCCTTCAGTGACTCACACCTGTTTCTGTTTGTGAAAAGAAAGCTCATCACTGATCCCTACTATCCCTCCACTCAGGACTCTTTTTTTTTTTTTTTCTTGAGACAGGGTCTCACTCTGTCACCCAGGCTGGAGTGCAGCGGCATGATCTTGACTCACCACAACCTCCGCCTCCCAAGCTCAAGCAATTCTCGAGCCTCAGCCTCCCAAGTAGCTGGGATTACAGGCATGCGCCACCACTGCCTGGCTAATTTTTGTATTTTTAGTAGAGACCGGGTTTCACCATATTGGCCAGGTTTGTCTTGAACTCTTGACCTCAAATGATTCACCTCCTTTGGCCTTCCAAAGTGCTGGGATTACAGGTGTGAGCCACCGTGCCTGGCCACACTCAGGACTCTTTTGAGAAAAGGTTCTTGCCTCTCCCTGCTCCTACTTCAGTTTCCCCCCCACAGACCATGTACTTTCTTGGCTACCCATATGATCCATATGTATTAAATACTTTCCACGTAAATGTGCTAATGTGCTACACTGAGAGAGATGAGATTTACTGTACTGGGAGAGGAGGGAGCTGCTGGGCAAAAGGGATTAAAACTCAACTGGGGCAAAACAAAGAACAAGGAGGAGAGGTGAGATTCGACAGGAGGACCAGGAAAGCTGAAGGCAAATGAGACCAGCTCCTGGGAGAATCCTGACCTGTGCCCAGACAGGAACATAGGAAATACCTTGACAGATCCAGAAGTTCAGGACTGTTTGCCACTACATGAGGAAGAAGAAAAGCCAGCAGAACTGTTTCTTTTTAGTAGCCAGATTCGTTTAGCAAAAGCTCTGTCTTCTTAAGGGAACAAAATCAAAATGAAATTAAGAAGAGAACACAGACTTCTTGGATAATTAGGAAGATGATACCACTGCTTGCAAAGGCATATGCTTTCCTTCAAAGGCAAATCAAAAAGTGCATTTTTCATTCATTAATGCCTGCAGGCACTCATTCACTTAGTGCTGGGCACTGAATGGAATACAAAATTGTGCAAGACTCAGCTCTTGCCTTCAATTTTATCCTAGTAAGCTTTTCAATATAATTGTTTTAAATTTTTTTTTGTAGAGATGGGGATCTTGCTATATTGCCCAGGCTGGTCTCGGACTCTTGGGCTCAAATGATTCTCCTGCCTTGGCCTTCTGAAGTGCTGGTATTACAGGCATGAGCCACCATGCCTGGCCCTAGCAAACATTTATTGAGCATCTCTCTGTGTCAGACACTGGGCTCCATCCCAGGATTTAAAACTAAATAGCTGGGCGTGGTGGCTCATGCCTGTAATCCCAGCACTTTGGGAGGCCAAAGTGGGTGGATCACCTGAGGTCAGAAGTTTGAGACCAGCCTGGTCAACATGATGAAACCTTCTCTGTACTAAAAATACAAAAATTAGCTGGGCATGGAGGTGCATGCCTGTAATCCCAGCTACTCAGGAGGCTGAGGCAGGAGAATCACTTGAACCTAGGAGGTGGAGGTTGCAGTGAACTGAGATTGCCTGGGCAATAGAGTGAGACTCTGAAAGAAAGAGAGAGAGAGAAAGAGAAAGAAAGAGAGAAAGAAAGAAAGAAAAAGGAAGGAGAAAAAAATAGAGCACAATTTCTTACCTTAAGGAGAAAATCTGGTGGATTTGCTAATAAAATGTCTTCACACTTCTAATATTCTAAACATTGACTTGAACAGATATTATTCTTGCCTGTGATTCTGTCAGTTTTCTGGCCCTTGTTGGAAGAATAAATCCTCTGAATTTATTCTAGAGGCCTGGCAGTTCAGCTCTGAGCTCACAGTAGTTGTGACTGAGAGAAAAAATGGTCTGTTTCCCTATCTCTCCCCTACAGGTCTAAAAATGTACCTGGCTGGATCAGGAACATCCACTTTTTTCTCCAAATGAGAGGTTACACAAAGTGAGTCATTTTTCTAGCTTTTTAAAAAGCTTGATTCAACCTTCCAATTTCCCACCTTTCTCTTCCACCTGCCTTGTTTAATAATTAGGCTGTTTAATAAATGCATTTGATGAGGAGGAGCGGGAGGAGGATGGTGATTGTTAGGCCTTACAAGTCCCTGGGGAATGTAACAGCGTCCTCAGCCAGAGTCACTATGTTCTGGGTTGTCCCCTGAGCATCTTGCTGAGTGAAAAGGCCAGAGGCCCTTCCTGCTTTAGGGTGCAGGTTTGACTGACCTTGGGTCATTCTTTCCCTAAGTGCCCTGCCAAGAAACCAGGTTTGGTTCTTATCTCTTAACTTCCTTTTTGTTCTGCTCCTAGTTTAGCTTACATTTTTCTTACTTGGAGCTTTTACTAACAGCAGATGACCACTACTTTTCAAGTACCTGCTGGGCTTGGAAGGTAGAGAGCAAACTAGACTGGGTGAGGTGAGAAAAATCATCCAGGCCAGCTTGTGACAATGCAGAAGGGTCAGGAGGCCTCACTGGTGAAGCACATTTCAGTAGGCAGGCACGCAAGGCATGGACTTCAGGAAAGGAAGTGGTGGGAACCTACCCACAGATGAGAGAGAAACAGAGACAGCAGGACAGGGAGAGGTCGAGCTGGAGACAGACAGACACACATGTACGGGGGCCAGTGGGGAGGAGAGGAGAGAGACTATGTTCACAGTGACAGGCTACATAGCCTGGGGGTAAAAGGAGTCACAGAGATATGGGTTCATATTTCAGCTCCACCATTTACTAGCTCTATGTGACTTGCATATTACTAAGCAAGTCACTTAGCCTTCTCTAGCTTCTGTTTCCTCATCTATAAAATAGAGCTAATAATACCTATCTTGCACAGTCATTGTGAGAACTAGTGATAAAATATGCCAAGTCACTTGCACACAATAGGCCCTCAATTAATGGCAGCTGTAGTTATTTTTGGAGTACTTTTTATGTTCTAAGTACTAGCTAAGTTTGGGGGATATGGGTAGAAAGTGTGGTGTGACAAATAGGAATATCCAATGAATGGTCCTAAGAGCTCCTTTTGGGTTTGCCTGGCAATGGGCTACCTTACTGTTTCCCCAAGAGGAGAGGCTGGCTGTGCCCAACTTCAACTTCCTATGGTACCAGGAGATCTGAAGACACTAGCTGGGCATTTCATAGCACTTCCTTAAGCCTTGGGCCCCTATGCTCATGCTGATCAGTGTCTGAACCCTGAAATACTTTCCCACCACAGCAAAGTCCCTCTCAAGTTGACCTATGAAAAGGAAGAGGTACCAGGGGTCCCTCCTCAGATGATTGATGGTGCATCCAGCTGCACCCCAAAAAGCCCAACTGTCTACAGGATCCAGGGAGAGAAGAGGACCTGGATACCTGCACCTTTCTTGAGTTTTACCTGCCAACACCAATTAGCTTTTGTCTTAAATATATCTTATGGCTAGGTGCAGTGGCTCACACTTGTAATCCCAGTGCTTTGAGAGGCCAAGGCAGGAGGATTACTTGAGGCCAGGAGTTCAAGACCAACCTGGGAAATATAGCAAGACCCCACCTCTACAAAAAAAAAAAATTAAAAACTAGCTGGGTGTGGTGGTGTGTGCCTCTAGTCCCAGCTACCCAGAAAGCTGAGGTGGAAGGATCACTTGAGCCCAGGAGCTCAAGGCTGCAGTGAGCCATGATCAAGCCACTGCACTCCAGCCTGGGTGACAGAGCAAGACCCTCTGTCTTTTCAGTTATCAAATAAACTAATATTTCTTTGTAAGACCATATTGAAGGGTTTCCCTGACTGAGACATGTTCTGGAGAACTTCAGTACCACCACTATTTACTGATGGCTCACAATCAGAACATCATGATAAGGTTTGTGTGCAACTGGATCAATTAAGACCATCGATCTGAGTGCACTTTACAAACTCTAGGGTGCTGTACTAATGTTAGCCAACAAAACGTCTTATGTCGGCCGGGTGTAGTGGCTCACACCTGTAATCCCAGCACTTTGGGGACCGAGGCGGGATGATCACGAGGTCAGGAGTTCGAGACCAGCCTGACCAACATGGCGAAACCCCGTCTCTACTAAAAATACAAAATTAGCCGGGCGCGGTGGTGCATGCCTGTAATCCCAGCTACTCCGGAGGCTGAGGCAGGAGACTCGCTTGATCCCGGAAGGCGGAGGTTGCAGTGAGCCGAGATCACGCCACTGTACTCCAGCCTGGGCAATAGAGCCAGACTGCGTCTCAAAAAAAAAAAAAAAATGTCTAATGTAGTATGAAGACTACATTTATATAGAAGTAGGTTGAATGGTTCTCGCAGTGTTTTTGCTCAATACCTAGGGAGATATTTTGTACTCTGGAGTAGGGGAACAGTAAACGCTGAGGCTGATATCGTAGGTTGCTGTGTCTGCTGTCAAGTGTCCACCATGGAAGGAGCCTTTATAAAGCCTCAGTGTCCTTTTGCCTCTGAGTGCCTCTGGCCTCTAGCAACCTGTCTCCCAAACCACTCAGGTGATTAATCTGAGGTTTCCTAACCACGTGGATTTCAACAAACCACCAGATCCTACCTGCGATGGGAGCAAAAATTCCTCCCAGTTTCTCCCTAGGCATCCGGGGTCTGAGTGCAGCTCTCCCTGCCACATAAGGAGGGTTGACTTGGTGGAGAATATGGGAACAAGTATAGCATCTTCTTTGTTCCTTAAAACACCCTCAACTTAACATTTTACTTCTGTCTGCTTCAGCTGACAGCTTGAGAAAAACCAAATTGGTGGTTGGCTGGTTGGGTTTTTTTTCAACCTAACAACAAGCCTGGCTTAGAGCTATTCATTCTTCAGCTCCTGATACTGTGTGTCTATAGATAAACCGGCATATATATTATCAACTTTTGTTTACTTCTCCCCTAATGGAAGTCCATTAATTTCCCAATATATATTACAGAATGACTTGCCTGTTGCCAGCATTGGGAGGATAAATTAATCTTTAGTCCCTAGATGTTTAAGTTGGAAAATAATGGGAAATAGAAGAAATAGAAGGACCGAGATGACTCATTTATTTCAGATGCTCACCCTAAACTACTTTGGAAATGCCAGCCGTGAATTAAAACCCGAATCTAGAAGAATGACCTAAATCACACTTTACCAGAGAGACTCTTTAGTTCCTTAGCAAAAATTGCACTTTATGTCTAGAATGGAAGAGGTTGATGATGGCTGGAGTCAAGTAGCATGAACTTAACTCCATCCGATCTGGGGATAAGGAATCAATATTGTCTCTCTAGAGAGGGCAGAAACCTCTTTAGAAGAAGATAAAGGGAAGCCACAGTCAAGTATAAGATACTGACATCCTAAGCCAGGCACGGTGGCTCACACCTGTAATCCCAGCACTTTGGGAGACCAAAGCAGGCGGATCACTTTTGGTCAGGAGTTCGAGACCAGCCTGGCCAACATGGTGAAACCCCATCTCTACTAAAAATACAAAAATTAGCCGGGCATGGTGGCAGGCACCTGTAGTCCCAGCTGTTCGGATGGCTGAGGCAGGAGAATCGCTTGAGAACTCTAGCCTGGGTGACACAGCAAGACACTGTCTCAAAAACAAAAACAAAAAAATTAAAAAATTAGCCTGGCATGGTGGTGTGCGCCTCTAGTCCCAGCTACTCAGGAGATCGAGGCAGGAGGATTGCTTGAGCCCAGGAGGTTGAGGCTGCAGTGAGCCCTGTTCACATCACTGCACTCCATCCTGGGCAACACAGCGATACTCTTGTCTCAAAAAAAAAAAAAAAAAAAAAAAGATACTGACATCCTATAATATGTTAGTGCTGAGAAAGAGAGGAGAGCTGGCTTGGGAAAAGAGCAAGATCTTTTTTGCTCACTGAATCACAGGCCAAACCTGTTCCCCTGTTTATTCTGTGGTGATCCTCCTAACTTAATTTTCCCTAGGTACAACAAATGAGGTGGCCCTACACAGTTACATTAACTGATTTTTCTATAAGGTTATCTGAAGGCTAAGGATCTCAGGATGTAATGGATAGTAAAGCCCAGGATTATGATTTAGGCAAAAATCAGAAAGGAGAGTCAGGTAAAGGAAAAGAAATTCTTGGCCCGGCACAGTGGCTCACGCCTGTAATCCCAGCACTTTGGGAGGCCAAGGCTGGCGGATCACCTGAGGTCAGGAGTTTGAGACCAGCCTGGCCAACAGGGTGAAACCCCTTCGCTACTAAAAAAATACAAAAATTACCCGGGCATGGTGGCACTTGCCTGTAATCCCAGCTACTCGGGAGGCTGAGGCAGGAGAATCGCTTGAACCCCGGAGGCAGAGGTTGCGGTGAGCCGAGATTGCGCCACTGCACTCCAGCCTGGGCAACAGAACGAGACTCCATCTCAAAAAAAAAAAAAAAAAAAAAGGAATAGAAATTCTCTTTATTGAAAGACAATAAGAATTCATATTTGACTAGCTACTGCAGGGAAGCAACTAATCTTACAACATAATAGATGTTGTTAATAATGTTCATTACCTCCTTGGATGCCACCAATAAATGACTTTCAATTTTATACATGTATTGTCCAAGTTGTGAATTTGGTCTTGGAATTAACAGGTGGTAAATTCCTGGAAAGCTTAATAAGGGAGATTGTTTACTTTGTGTATAAATAAAGAGAATATGGGATCAAGTATAGCATCTTCTTTGTTCCTTAAAACACCCTCAACTTAACATTTTACTTCTCTCTGCTTCAGCTGACAGCTTGAGAAAAACCAAATTGGTGGTTGGCTGGTTGGGTTTTTTTTCAACCTAACAACAAGCCTGGCTTAGAACTATTCATTCTTCAGCTCCCGATACTGTGTGTCTATAGATAAACAGGCATATATATTATCAACTTTGAAGGAATGAAGATTATTATGTGGGAACACGAACTGGCATAGTCATTATGGAGAACAGTATGGCGTTTCCTCAAAAAACTACAAATCAAACTTCCATATGATCCAGCAATCCCCCTACTGGGTATATACTAAAAGGGTATGAAATCAACATATTGAAGAGACATCTGCACCCCCATATTTACTGCAGTACTATTCACAATAGCCAAGATAGGGAGTCAACCCAGGTGTCCAACAACAGATGAATTGGTAAAGAAAATGTGGTATATATACACAATAAAATACTACTCAGCCATAAAAAGGACAAAATCCTGTCATTTGCAATAACATGGATGGAATGGAGGACATTGTGCTAAGTGAAATAAACCAGATAACTTGAACAGAAAGTTAAACACCACATGTTCTCACCCATATGTGGAAACTAAAAAAGGTCGATCTTATGGAAGTAAAAAGTAGAACAGAGGATACTAGAGGCTTGGGAAGGTAGCGGGAAGTGGGTATGGGAAGAGATTTGTAAAGGATACAAAATTACAGCTAGATAGGAGGAATAAGTTGGAATAAATTCTAGTGTTCTAAAGCACTGTAGGATGACTATAGTTAACAGTAGTATATTATATAGTTTCAAATAACTCCAAGAGGATATTGAATGTTCCCAACACAAATAAATGATAAATGTTTGATTAGCCAGGTTGTGGTGAATGCATATAGTCCTAGCTACTCTGGAGGCCGAGGCAGGCAGATTGCTTAAGTCCAGGAGTTTGAGGTTATAGTGAACTATGAACTATGATCAAGCCACTGCACTCCAGCCTGGGCAACAGAGCAATACCCTGTCTCTAAACCAAAAAAGATAAATGTTCAAGATGATGGATATGCTAATTACCCTGATCTGATGATCACTATATATTATGTGTATTGAAATATCACTATGTGTCCCATAAATATGTTTTGTTGTGTGTGTCGGCTAAAAATGATTTTTGGCCAGGTGTGGTGGTTCATGCCTGTAATCCCAGCCCTTTGGGAGGCCGAGGCCGGCAGATCACCTGAGGTTGGGAGTTCAAGACCAGCCTGACCAACATGGAGAAACCCCGTCTCTACTAAAAATACAAAATTAGCCGGGCGTGGTGGTGCATGCCTGAAATCCCAGCTACTCAGGAGGCTGAGGCAGGGTAATCGCTTGAACCTGGGAGGCGGAGGTTGCAGTGAGCCGAGATCGCGCCATTGCACTCCAGCCTGGCAGCAAGAGCGAAACTCCGTCTCAAAAAAACAAACAAAAAAAAGATTTTTAATAAAAAAATACTTATAAAAGGAAGAGAGAAGAGAAAAGGAGAGAGAGAGAGAGAGGAGAGAGGGGGAGAGAGAGGGGCAGTGTGTGTGTGTGTGTGTGTATGTGTGTGTGTGTGTGTGTGTGTGTGTGTTTGTGTGTGTGTGTGAAAGTCTAAACCTAACCTAACCTAACCTTGGGCTGGTTACTTAGGTGGGCTCCCTGAGAGCAGCATTATGTTGGTGAGGGTGGTCTTGGGGCGAGGACTGGTCCTCAGCCTTGCAGATGTAGGATCTCCATTTTATTAGTATACCTGGCAGTGGGCAGGCTCTGGTAGGGTTGACAGAAAAATACAGGGTGCCCAGTAAAATTTGAATCTTAGATAAACAATGAATAATTTTTAGTATAAGTGTATCCCATGTGATATTTGTTTTGTTTTAGAGACAGAGTCTCTCTTTGTCACCCAGGCTGGAGTGCAGTTCTGCGATTGCCGCTCACTGCAACCCTTAGAACTCCTGGGATTAGGAGATCCTCCTGCCTCAGCCTCCCAAACAGCTAAGACTGCATGTGTGTGCCACCGTGCCCAGCTGCTAATTTTTAAAATTTTTTGTAGAGACAGGGTCTCACTATGTTGTCCAGGCTGGTCCAGAACTCCTGGCCTCAAGTGATTCTTCCAATTCAGACTTCCAAAGTGCTAGTATTACAGGCATGAACCACTGCACTTGGCCCCAATATTTGTATTTTTATTTGCTACATCTGACAACCCTATCTAGGAGGCATCCATTAATTAACTCACCAGAGACTTATTTGTAAACCAGAACCCCAATGTGTGGGTTTACAGGGCAGGGCACACGTTTCAACATAGCAGAGCCTTTGTGCCTACTATTTGCACCTCTCTCCTTTAGGTGTTTGGAAAACCAAGTTTGTCATCGGTGAATTTCAAACTGTAGTGAAGCACGTTGAATAGCTTCATGGGCTATGCATCCAGACCACAGTAGAACATAGGAACTCTGGAGGTTTGACTGCAGGGACACCACTCAGAACCTGGAATAACAATCCAGTCTAACAGACACAGTGTCTTTCTTCCCTAGACAGTGTTGCAATAATGCTGGGCTTCCACTCCCCTTTTTCAATGTTTATTTATTTTTATTATTATTATTTTTTGAGACGGAGTCTCACTCTGTCACCCAGGCTGGAGTACAGTGGTTCCATCTCTGCTTACTGCAAACTCTGTCTCCTAGGTTAAAGCAATTCTCCTGCCTCAGCCTACCGAGTACCTGGGATTACAGGCACCAATCACCATGCCTGGCTAATTTTGTATTTTTAGTGGAGACGGGGTTTCACCATGTTGGCCAGGCTGGTCTCAAACCCCTGACCCCTGCCCGCCTTGGCCTCCCAAAGTGCTGGGATTATAGGCATGAGCCTGCGCCTGTCCTCAATATTTAATTTTCAATGTTTTTATGTCACTCAAAACTCCTTGTAAACACACTGCCATTTTAAAGATATCTGCTGATTCAATCTATTTCGTATTGATTGTTGTGCTACTTTTTAGGGAGCCATACTACGTCTTGCTCATCTTGCTGAGTTTTGGGAAGCTTGATAGTTCTAATGATTAGCAGGCATTAATTTTATGAGATAGTTTTAGATATGTACGGATACATCTGTGATTTTCTAAAACAGAACACAATTTTGATCTTAGACTCTCATTCTGTGTAATGCAGAAAAATTAATCCAGTAGGAAATTCATTCATTCATACTCATCCTCTCTCCCTTGATCTCCTTTAGCTGGAATCTCAATTGTAGGAGAGTGGGAAGGAGGAACCCTTGTAACACCATGTGCTCGGAGTTGGTAGCTCCAGAGATGGGGAACAGCTCATCCCTGGGCATCCAGAGATACTAGCATAGCCCCGTGTTGTCCTCTAAAGCAGCTGTATGCCCATCTAGTTTGCTCAGCTCATGCTGCTATTGACAAAGGGTCAAACTCTGTAAACTATTTGAAGAAATTTATTCTGAGCCAAATATGAGTGGCCAATGGCCCATGACACAGCCCTCAGGAGATGTTTCTGACAACATGTTCCCAAGGTGGTCAGGCTACAGCTTGGTTTTATACACCTTAGGGAGACATAAGATATCAGTCAATACCTGTAAGATGTACATTGGTTTGGTTCAGAAAGGACAACCAGAAGCAGGGGCTTCTAGGTCATAGGCAGATTCAAAGATTTTCTGATTGGCAGTTGGTTGAAAGAGTTATTATCAATAGAAAGGTATGTCTGGGCCAGGTGCAGTGGCTCATGCCTGTAATCCCAGCACTGTGGGAGGCTGAGGTGAGCAGATCACTTGAGCTCAGGTGTTCAAGACCAGCCCGGGCAACGTGATGAAATGCCATCTCTACAAAAAATACAAAAATGAGCTGGGGTGGTGGCTCACGCCTGCAATCCCAGCTACTTGGAAGTGGAGGCAGGAGAATTGCTTGAGCCCAGGAAGCAGAGGTTGCAGTGAGTGAGACTGCGCCACTGCACTCCAGACTGGGTGACAGAGCGAGACCCTGTCTCAGAAAAAAGAATGCCTGGGTTAAGATAAGGGGTTGTAGAGACCAAGATTTTGTCATGCAGGTGAGGCCTCCAGGCAGCAGACTTCAGAGGGAATAGACTGTAAATGTTTGTCAGACTTAGTCTGTTAACAAGTCTTAAGGTCTGTGCTGATGTTAATGCTGGTCAGCTTTTCCTGAATACTCAAAGAGAGGAAGGTATGATGAAGCATGTCTGACCCCCCTTCCCATCATGGCCTGAACTAACTTTTCAGGTTAACATTGGAATGTCCTTTGCTGAGATGAGGAGGTCCATTCAGGTGGCTGGGGGCTTAGAATTTTTGGTTTGCACTGCCATCCATCATTGTTTCTCCATGGCATGACCACTTTGAGCTGCCAACTCTCCCTCTCAGCTCACCTCTGAGCACTTCTCGGCATGACAGTGGGGCAGTCCAGCTACTTTCCCACAGCTACCACAGCCAGAAACAAGGCTGTCACTGAGCTCTCTCCCCCATCACCCGAACAACCATCTGTGCTCTGTTGACCCCATATCACTGTAGCATAAGCAAATGTGTGGGGTCAGCTGCCCTCCCTAGATAGGAAGTAGACACAAATTTCCTCTATTCTTAGTTTCCTCAAGGCTTATCTTGTGTTCTACTTGCCAGCCAGAGTTCCCTCTCTGCTAAAATAATTCACCCTGGGAAGATGATAGGGGCCTTCCTTGGAGACCACACATCTCTCCAGTCTAGATAACCCTACGAAAGTATCTAGGGGCTGGTAATCTTGCATGGAGGAGTGGGGAGAGTTCTTTCAGACCGTTCTTATTTGGTTCAAAATAACGATTTAGGGCCAAAGAGTTCCTGAATGCTCAAAAAGTATTTTCTCTCAAATCTAGGTCTTGTGTTCAGCAATCTCATTTGAATCTCAAAAGTTAACCACTGACTTTCTTTTTCTTGGCATTCCAGCTATGATAACCTCACTTTTCCCTGGGGCAGGGCATGCCTGGGTCTGCAGAGCAGTAGAATGTGGTGAAGTGTGTTTTGTTGATGGTAGAAGGGAGGACCTGTTTAATGTCTCAAAATACCTTCTGGAGTTGCAATGTTCCAGCCTCTATTTTTATGCTAAGTACCTTAAACCCATGTAATCTTCAGAACAATCTCAAGAACTAAGTATAATCATTCCAACGCAGATGAGGAAATGAAAATTCAAAGGGAGAATGGGGAATTTGTTAAAAGATTCCAGTTGTAAGTGGTGGCAAAATAATGAACCTAGGATAACCTGATTCCAAAGTCTTCATTTTAAACCCCAACAGTGAGGCTGGGCACAGTGGCTCAAGCCTGTAATCCCAGAAATTTGGGAGGCCAAGGCAGAATCACTTGAGGCCAGGAGTTCTAGACCAGTCTGGGCAACATGGTGAGACTCTGTCTCTACAAAAAACAAAAAAATCAGCTGGGCATGGTGGTGTGTACATGTAGTCCTAGCTACTTGGGAGGCTGTGGCAGAAGGATCACTTGAGCCCAGGAAGTTGAGGCTGCAGTGAGCCATGACAGTGCCACTACAATCCAGCCTGGGTAACAGAGGGATCTTGTCTCTAAATAAATAAATAACCCCCAACAGTGGCCTCATATCTTGTCCAACAACTAACTCTCTAGGAGATTTGTTAAAAATAATTTTGATATGCCAGGTTCTCGCCTGTAATCCCAGCACTTTGGGAGGCCAAGGCAGGTTGATCACTTGAGGTCAGGAGTTTGAGACCAGCTTGGCCAACATGGTGAAACCCTGTCTCCACTAAAATACAAAAATTAGCCGGGTATGGTGGTGCGTGCCTGTCATCCCAGCTACTCAGGAGGCTGAGGCAGGACAATCGCTTGAACCCAAGAGGTGGAGGGTTGCAGTGAGCTGAGATCACGCCACTGCGCTCCAGCCTGGGTGACAGAGTGAGCCTCCATCTCAATAATAATAATAATAATAATAATAATAATAATAATAATAATTTTGATAAAGATCCACTCCAGGAGATCCTGATCCAGTTGGTCTCGGTTAGAGCCTGGTCATTAGTATTTTGAACAGTGTCAACCTTGTGAAAGGAAAATAAATCTTTGGACCCCCCCAAAGAGAAAAGTCAAGCTGGGAGCTGCTTAGGGCAAACATGCCTCCCATTCTATTCCTTAAAGGAGATAGCTACTAAGATAAAAAAGCTATATACCTGCCTCACAATTTGTCTACAAGGAAATTCCTTTTGGACAAAGGACAAACAGAACGCAAAGTCATCCCTCTGCTCACTGAGATAAATGCATATCTGATTGCTTCTTTTGGAAAGGGTAATTGGAAACTCAAAAGAATGTTTGTCTATCTATGACCTGGAGGCCCCCTCCCTGCTTCAAGTTGTCCCACCTTTCTGATTGAACCAATGTACATCTTACATATATTGATTGACGTCTTATGTCTTCCTAAAATGTATGAAACCAAGCTGTGCCCCGACCACCTTGGGCACATGTCATGGGACTTCCTGAGGCTGTGTCACGGGTGCATCCTTAACCTTGAAAAAATAAAGTTTCTAAATTGAGACCTGTCTCAGATATTTGGGGTTCACAACCTAAATTAATGAGATTCTGAAGAGATGATTAAATATAGAGTTTGTAACCATAATCGTTTCATTGCCCAATGTGCATAGCAAGTCAATACGCTGAAACACCTAGTTGCAAGAGAGAAAGAGGTTTAATTGTAGGGCAGCTGAATGTGATGGGAGGAAACCTCAAATCAGTCTCTCCAAGGAATTTGGGTCTAGAATTTTTAGTGATTTTGGAGTGGGCTGAAGTGTGGAGATCTTTGCTTGGCCCAAGGGTGCAGGATGAAGTCATAGAACAGGGAGATGAAGAAACTATATTCTCATGCTGATTCTGCTCTCCTCTGGGGGTCTTCAAACTTGTTGGCATCAGCTCAAATTTGGGATCTGAAAAACATCTTAAGCAATTCTTAAACAAAAGCCTTATGATTCTAATGTCAGAGATTCTATCTATCTTAATCAGAGGCCTGATGATTCTAACCTCAGACAGAAATACTATCTGTAGGAACAATGAGGATGCAAGTGGTCAGGATCTAGTACTCCACAACTTTCACTTCCTGTTGTTACAAGGAAGTGAGCCACAGTGCAGCCTAATTAATGCTTAATCATAACTATATTTCTGTCCAGAATTCTTGTTAACATGGTGAAGATGGCTTCAAGTTTATTCAAGCTCAAAGCTTGAGGGTGGCCACCCAAGAGCATAGATTCAAGTTGCCCTAAACCCACACTCTGATTAGAAATAGCTACAAGAGGATTTTTAAGGAATAAAGAAGAGGCAGCTCCTAAATTGTTTACCAAGAATTTATACTAAAATAACATAAGCTATTGATTGGGTATGTGTTATTCTTTGCATCACAAATTCCAACATGAAGATAATGGGTAAGGCAGTTAAGCAGGAACAAAATGCCTTTACACAGTTGCCCTGGACATGGGCGCAGAGATGTGACTGAAGTCCCATACTCCTGTCTCTCCAGGCTTGATAAATTTTGTATACTTCACATAGCTCAGACTGATCTGAGCTATTTTTCTTTCTCAGCGGAGTCTCCGTAGTCTCCGTAATTCAGAGGCACACCAAAATTTGAAAGCCAGCTCTACCACTGACTAATTGTGTGATTTTGGACAAATTAGTTCATCTCCTAGTATCTCAGTTTCCTCATTTGCTAAATGGGGAAAATAACAGCTCCAACATCATTGAGCTGTTGTGGAAATTAAATTAATTTAAAATGAAAGCACTTGGAAGAGTACTTGGCACATAATAAATGCTCAATAAGTGTTAAAGATTGCTACTTTTCCTGTCCCTTAGCAACTAAAAAATATCTTTTAAGGAGCGCCATTTCCTGGACATACTACAAAAAAGGGGAATTGCCTGCATTTACATAGATTTTTTGATAGTTGATGTCTCTGAGAGCAATATTCTTTTAGCCCCTTCTCTAAATCCAGGTTTATGCCTAATTTAGATCCCACGGTCTCCTGTGGTCCTAACCACCTTGTGAACATGTTATGAAGGTAAATTGAAGTTAATCTAGGGATGGAATGATGAGAGCAGGTAAAAGATAAATAGTTCAATGGTTCTCAACCTTGGCTATACCTTATAATTATCTGGAGAGCTTTAAACAATGCCCAAGTCAGCTGGGCATGGTTGCTCACGCCTATAATCCCAGCTCTTTGGGAGGCTGAGTCAGGAGGACTGCTTGAGGCCAGGAGTTTGAGACCAGCTAGGCAACATGGTAAGACCCCCTCTCTATTATATATTAAAAATAATTTTTAAAAAATGCCTAAGTCACACCCCAGACCAATTAATATCAGAATCTGTGGGAACAGGGCTCAGCTATCAGTCTATTTTAATCTCCAGATGATTCCAGTGTGTAGCCACTGGCCTCATCTTAGCTCGGCTGAGCTGGTGAGACCCAGTAATCTGTATTCTAACAAGCCTTCTGCAAATCTCAGGACCTTTGGTGTGAACCATCCCATCATCCTCCCAATGTCCAGGCCTCTGATTTCACTTCTCTGCCCAGTGGGTGTGACTTGAAAGCAAGAGAGGAGGTGCAACAACCCTTAGTTTCTGTAAGAAGGTACAAGGAGACCAGTTCTGTATATCAAATCCTGGTTTATTCTAGCCAGACCTGTCTTAGGGACAATGATGGTCTTTCAGCCTAAATGCTTGCTTCTCAGGAAGCAGGTGAGCCAATGAAGGGCCCCACTCTCTCCAAGTGGAGACTATAGCATTTGCCTAAAATACCCCTTCTCTCCAGTCCTAACTGTCCTGGAAGCTTCTCAGAGGCCAAATATGTAAACAAGTTCCAAACCAACACATCTGCTTTTCATTTCCTGCGGAATGCTAAAACGAGTCTTTTAAGGTTGCTTAAAATATGTTCTCTCCTCCCGCCCCACCCCCCAGGGCATTTGCTGTGCGTCCTCAGACCACCTCAGCTCCTCCTTCCCTACACCTGGGACTCTTCTGCGCAGACTTGGCTTCAAACAAGGCTCACGGTTCTTCCTGGCATTTGCTTTTTTGGCTTAGCGAGTGCACATTCAATATCTTTTTCTTCTTTTTCTTGAAAGCACTGTCTTCAGTCTCCTCACTTGTCCCTTTCTCCTCTGGCAAGCGTAATGCTATCAACATTTGAAAGTGGCCTGATTCCCTGGTGTCTGGTAAATGGCCTTGCTGGTGAACTTCTTTAGGAGAACTGCAAAGAAACTAGAGCAGGGGCTAAAGAGAGCTGCTCTCTTGGGGCTCAGATGCCCCTCCTGGGGCCCCACCTCACACTAGGTGGGTTTCCTTCCTAAATTTGAGCAACGACTCTGTGTGACCTTAGCCACCCTTAACTTTGCTCTGCTTCTGTTTAGCATCTGTTAAGGAGTGACCTTTGCCACCAATTAATGAGGGTGAGGCCCCATTCAGTTGCAAAGAACGTGGAATTGTAAACAAACTTGCAAGTGGAAAGACTAGTTCCAGGGGAAATGTAGGTAAGAAAGGTGCTCCCGTATTCTCCTTTTAGTATCAGAGAGATGCCGCCTTGCTCCTCCTGTTCAAGGAGCAAGGCGGCATCTCTCTCCTAAATATGCTGTTGTGTCTCATACCTCAGCTTCTCAGGGCCCTGCCAAGAGCGGGTAGGTAACATAACAACAGCTGTTACTGCCCCAATGTATCCTCCCTCCAAATGTCAACAACATACACTTTGGAGTGGCCTCTTTATGTTAAGGCCTTGAGCTTTAAGACTCAGCTCTGGCCTTTAAGAATCGTATGTTCCCGTTGAAGAGACAGGATGTGTGTAAAGATAGCAGCTAGAGACCATGCCCAACAGATAACAAACATTAAGGGAATACATAAGTATTGAACAAATATATATGGAGCACTAATTATGTTTTGTTGTAAGCTCTGAGGCTAAAGTGTTATAGGACTTTCTCCTTAGTTCAACTAAAAGCCGGATTCTTGTCACACAGCCATGAGAGATTAGGCTTGCAGACACTTTGAAGGGTGAGAAGAATGGAACTTATTGGGCAAAAAGGAAAATAAATGGAAACAGGGACTCTCAGCAAAGTGAGAGTCCTGCTTGCTGGTTTTTCCTGCCTCACTGATTGAATCCCATGTACTACCCTGGATCAGGAGAGGCCAGGCTCCTTCCTGCTGCAAAGGGTGTGAACTTCTGCAGCTCCACCCTGTTCTCCCAGTGCGCAGGCCAGTCGGAGTTTCTCAGGGGACCCCTTTACACTTGGCTGTCTCAAAAAACAGGGAGCAAAACAGATAAAACCCCTGGCTTTATGGATCTTATGTTCCTTATATATATATATGTATAAGGAACACACGTATATATGTGTATATATGTATATATATATTTTTAGGTTCTGGAATAAATGTGCACAACATGCAGCTTTGTTACATAGGTATATACATGCCATGGTGGTTTGCTGCACCCATCAACCCGTCATCTACATTAGGTATTTCTCCTAATGCTATCCCTCCCCTATTCCCCCACCCCCTAGATCTTATGTTCTAATGAGACAAGACATACTTTGAGAGGCCAAGATGAGTGTCAGCAAATAAATATGTATAATACACCAGCTTCTGGGAAGTACTTTGAAGGAAAATGAAGCAGATTAAGGAGGGTAGAGTGACATGGTTAAGAGAATGTGGTTTTTTAGATGGGAGATCAGAGAAGACCTCTCTGGTAAGGAGACATTTGAGTCAAAATCTGAAGAAGGAGGGAGTGAGTCATCTGAGTCTGTGAAGAATTTTCTAAGCAAGGCGAGCAGCAAGCACGAAGGCTCTCAGGAAGGAGTGTGCTTGGTGAGTTCTAAGAACAAGCAGGCCAGTGTAGCTGGAAAGTAGTGAGCAGGAGACTGTGGGCAGGAGAGGACATGAGAGAGGTGACAGAGTGGATCACTGAGGACCCTGCAAGTGGTGGTAAGGACTTTAGATTTTGTTTTGAAGCCATTGGAGGGCTTTGAGTAGAGCAGTGACATGATTGGACTCACACCTTGGAAGGATCACTCTGAGCATGGACTCCAAGAGTGCACAAGGAGAAGTGTGAGGCCAGTGAGAAGGGTGCTGCAATAATCCGGGATGAGATGAAGATGATGGTGGCTTGGACCAGAGAGAAGAGACTAAGGGTGGTGAGATGAGATTAGATTCTGATATATAATGAAGGTAGAGTAGACAAGATAGATGAGATATAGGGTTATGATTTATGACATAAAGAGAGAAATCAGGAATGATTCCAGTGTTTTTGGCCGATACTCAAGGTTTTAAATTTATAGCAGGGATGGGCTGCTTCTGGTTAAGATAATAAGGGAAAGATTAATGAAAGACCCAAGATTTGAGCTGCACTTTGAAAAACTAGTAGGATTTTGTGACTTATAAAAAGTCTCAAGGGCTTATTTTGAGACCATTTTATCTCCTGGAGTGCAGCCTCCTACCCTAGTTCCACTTCTTTCAGTTATATCAACCAGGAGCTCTGGGATGCGGGACTCAGCCAGCCCAAGGAAGGTGAATCTGGATTCTTTAGGCCAATCATGAAAATTTTCTACTCTTGCCAGTAACTGGTTTAGAAATGGGCTGGTTTAAGAATGGGAATGTACTGGCCTGGGCATGGTGGCTCATACCTGTAATTCCCATACTTTGAGAAGCCAAGATGAGAGGATTGCTTGAGTCCAGGAGTTTGAGACCAGCCTGGACAATATAGTGAGCCCTCCTCTCTACAAAAATAAAAAATAAAATTAGCAGGGCACGGTGGTGCGTACCTTTAGTCCCAACTACTCAGGAGGCTGAGGTGGGAGAATTGCTTGAGCTCAGGTGTTTGACACTGCAGTGAGCCATGATTGAGCCACTGCACTCTAGCCTGGACCACAGAGTGAGACCCTGTCTCAAAATAAATAAAATAAAATAAAATAAAATAAATAAGGCATATGCTATAGTTCTGGACAATGGAACATAAAAGGAAACTGCAGAAGGGACGTCTGGGAAAATCTCTAAGTCTTCAAAAGGAAGCAAGGTACTCTGGCCTTGAGATGTTGTTAAGGACATAGAGCTTGAACTGCTATTGCCATCTTGCAAACATAAAGAGGAAGGTAAAGGCAACAGCTGCAGAGTGGCAGAGAGAAAAGGTGGACAAGCATGGTTCCTTGAGAACATTGCTGAGCTATGGAATTACCCAACCCTGGAACTGCACAACTTCTGAATTTTTTTTTTTTTTTTTTGAGACAGAGTCTTGCTCTGTCGCCCAGGCTGGAGTGCAGTGGTGTGATCTTGGCTCACTGCAAGCTCTGCCTCCCGGGTTCACGCCATTCTCCTGCCTCAGCCTCCCAAGTAGCTGGGTCTACAGGCGCCTGCCCCCATGCCCAGCTAATTTTTTGTATTTTTAGTAGAGATGGGGTTTCACCATGTTAGCCAGGATGGTCTCCATCTCCTGACCTCGTGATCTGCCCACCTCAGCCTCCCAAAGTGCTGGGATTACAGGCGTGAGCCACCGTGCCCGGCCCTGAATTTCTTTTGTAAGATTAAAAAAAAAATCTTATCATGAAATGCTTTTGAGTTGGGCAGTTTCTACTTGAAGCTCAAAGTACATCGTTTTAGATAAGCAATAAAGATTCTGGTTAGAAGAGGGCAAAAACAAACACTTTGAGGCAAGACTTTCTTGGAGACAAGAAAGCTCAAAGCGTATTTGGGGAGGATTGGTGGAATAGCTTGACATTCATTCATAAATTCATTCACTAAGTATTTGTTGACGCCTACTGTGTGCCAGGCACTGTTCTAAGATCTAGTATTCTGCAGGAAACAAGATTGACAGGGTACCTCTTATGGAGTTTATTACCTTGTGGAGGAAAGAGGGGTGCATGTGGACAGTGGCTACTGTATTGAACAGCACAGGCATAGGGTCTGGGAAGGCCTAATTCAGGGAAAGCATGAAAGGATGAAACTGTGAGTTTTGGCAATGGCTTTAGGCTTCTGCTGCTCTGCTCTCGATTCATTCTCCAAAGAGATTTATTAGGTCAAAGGGCATAAATATTTTTAGGACTTAAAATTACTTTCCTAATTGGTTACATCAATTTATGGTACTACCCAAGGAATACAGGTCCTGATATTACTGGGTTTGGATTTAGGGATTTCCATTTTAATTTGGTAGGGATTAATTTAGTAAAGGAGTTCATTTAATAAAGTTAATTTAATTAATTTAGTGAAAAAATACCATGCTTCTTTTAATTTGCTTCTTTTTGATAATTAGTAAAATTGACTACTTTTGTGTGTTTGTTAATACTTGTTCTTTTGTTAATTGTTTTGTTAGTTTTTATTCAGTTATCAGCTGAGATCTTAATGGGATTCTTATCAACTTATCTGAGTTCTTGACATAGTTCTTGTTGTAAATATAACTCCTGGTATGTTGTTTGTTGTTAATTCTGGTGATGTATTACATATAAAATTTATTTATAAAGAATTTTTAATTTTTTTGAGACAGAGTCTCACTCGGTCACCCAGGCTGGAGTGCAGTGGTGTGATCTCGGCTCACTGCAACCTCCGCCTCCTGGGTTCATGCCATTCTCCTGCCTCAGCCTCCCAGGTAGCTGGGACAACAGGCGCCTGCCACCTCGCCTGGCTAATTTTTTGTGTATTTAGTAGAGACGGGGTTTCACTGTGTTAGCCAGGATGGTCTTGATCTCCTGATCTCGTCATCCGCCCGCCTCGGCCTCCCAGAGTGCTGGGATTACAGGCGTTAGCCATCGTGCCCAGCCTAAAAAAATTTTTATGTAGTTAAGTACTTTAATATTTTCTGTGTAGTATACTATATTGCTATACTAGAAGCAATGTACTATTGCTTATACTATAAGCAATTAGTATTGCTTATAATTATAGAGTCATCTTCCCACTACTGTTTTGACAAATTTTCAATCCTATTTTCTTCTGAACTTCACAGTATTAAATGTTTTTAAGACTTGAAATCAAACAAAATTAATTTTAATATATAAGGTGTGGATCTCAATTCTTCCCTTCCCTCTTAAACTGCTGGTCAGTTATCCATCCACCATTTATTGAAAAATATTTGGCCAGCCATGGTGGCTCATGCCTGTAATCCCAGCACTTTGGGAGGCCAAGGCGGGCAGATCACCTGAGGTCAGGAGTTCGAGACCAGTCTGGTCAACATGGAGAAACCCCGTCTCTACTAAAAATAGAGAGATTAGCCGGGAATGGTGTTGTATGCCCATAATCCCAGCTACTTGGGAGCAGGAGAATCACTTGAACCTGGGAGGTGGAAGTTTCAGTGAGCTGAGATTGCGCCACTGCACTCCAGCCTGGGTGATAGCAAGACTTTGTCTCAAAAGAAAAAAAAGAAAAGAAAAAGAAAAATATTTGTTGATCTCATTGTATCATGATAGCTTTATCATACACTGGGTTATTTATGAAGAAAAGAGATTTGACTCACAGTTCCACAGGCTTAACAGGAAGCATGACTGGGAGGCCTGGGGAAACTTAAAATTATGGCAGAAGGTGAAGAGGAAGCAAAGCACATCTTTCCATAGTGGAGCAAGAGAGAGCTAATGAGTGAGGGGGGACGTGCCACACACTTTTAAAACATCAGATCTTGTGAGAGTTCACTCACTATCGCGAGAACAGCATGGGGGAAATCCACTGCCATGATCCAATCACCTCCCACTAGGTCCCTCTCCCAACGATGGGAATTACAATTCAGCATTTGATTTGGGTGGGGACACAGAGCCAAAGCATATCAGGGTGTATATTTGATATGATCTTTCTATTATATTACAGAAATCTGTCTTTTTTTTTTTTTGAGATGGAGTCTCACTCTATCACCCAGGCTGGAGTGCGCTGGCACAATCTTGGCTCACTGCAACCTCCACCTCCTGGGTTCAAGTGATTCTTCTGCCTCAACCTCCTGAGTAGCTGAGACTACAGGTGTGTGCCACCAGCCTGGCTAATTTTTGTATTTTTAGTAGAGACGGGGTTTCACCACGTTGGCCTGGCTGGTCTTGAACTCCTGACCTCAGGTGATCTGCCTGCTTCGGCCTCCCAAAATGCTGAGATTACAGTCACTAGCCAATCTGTCTATCCTTTTTTTTTTTTTTTTGAAATGGAGTCTTGCTCTGTCACCAGAGCTGGAGTGCAGTGGTGTAATCTCGGCTCACTGCAATCTCCTCCTCCCGGGTTCCAGCAATTCTCCTGCCTCCGCCTCCCGAGTAGCTGGGATTAGGTGCCTGCCACCATGCCTGGCTAATTTTTTGTATTTTTAGTAGAGATGGGGTTTTGCCTTGTTGGCCAGGCTGGTCTTGAGCTCCTGACCTCGTGATCGCCCGCCTTGGTGTCCCAAAGTGCTGGGATTACAGGCGTGAGCCACCGCGCCCGGCCTGTCTATTCTTAAATCAAGACTTCAATACAGGAAGCCAGGTGTGGTGGCTCATGCCTGTAATTCCAGCACTTTTAGGGGCTAAGGTGGGAGATTACTTGAGGCCAGGAATTCAAGACCAGGTTGGGTAACAGTGAGACCCCATCTCTAAAAAGAAAAAACTTCAATATTTTATTTTTTTTATAGGTTTTTACTTTTGATAGATCTCGTTCACCCTCTTTCATTCCCTTCTGCAACAGATTTTCTTTCTTTTTTTTTCTTTTGAGTCAAGGTCTCTCTCTGTTATCCAGGCTGGAGTGCATTGTGCAACCATGGCTCACTGCAGCCTCGAACTTCTGGCCTCAAGCAATCCTCTCACCTTGGCCTCCCAAAGTGCTGGGATTACAGGTGTGAGTCACTGTGCCAGGCCTGTTTTCTTTCTTGCCTGTTTAGAATTTTCCTTTTATTCCTTTCTTTTGTCATATGTTTAAAAACATCCTTCTGGGATTTTTACCAAGATTCTGCTAAATATGTAACTTAAATTGTAGGAAACACATATTTATATAATATTTAGGTTTCCCATCTAGGAACTTCTATTTTTCCATTCATTCACATCTTTTCAGACAACATAGAAGTTTTTTTTTTTTTTTTTTTGAGACAGAGTTTTGCTCTAGTTGTCCAGGATGGAGTGCAATGGTACGATCTCAGCTCACCACAACCTCTGCCTCCTGGGTTCAAGCCATTCTCCTGCCTCAGCCTCCTGAGTAGCTGGGATTACAGGCATGCACCACCACGCCCAGCTAATTTTGTATTTTTAGTAGAGATGGGATTTCTCCATGTTGGTCAGGCTGGTCTTGAACTCCTGACCTCAGGTGATCTGTCCGCCTTGGCCTCCCAAAGTGCTGGGATTACAGGCGTGAGCCACCATGCCCGGCCATCACATAGAAGGTTTTATAGATTTCTTTATAAAGAAATGTATGTATATACATATATTTTGCATACATACATTGTATCTTAGACTGGGTGCCATAGAAACGGACTCTGAGATGGAGAGTTGTCTACAGAGGGTGTTTTACAGAAGACACACCTGTAGCAAGATGGCCTGCAATGGAGCTGCAACTGGGAACTTAGCTGATTCCAAGGTGGGAGGTAGTGGTGGGGATTGGGGGAGATCCTCTGAAACTGGAATGGGACTTTGAAGTTTAGCAGTTTACAATTAAAATACAATCTTTGAGTGGACTAGGATGCTCAAGTCAGCCTGATCATTATATGTTCTCTTCTTAGATAAACCTCAGAGACAGCCAGGTTATCCAGAGATGCTTAAGAAACATGAAATCAGACCAAGGAGTGAGCTAATTTCAAGAATTATCTCCCAGCTAAGGCAGCTTATGGCTAAGTCTGGAAGTATACATGGAAGTCTGCTTGGCAAAGAGATTCCTCCCCACTTAGCCATGTTTAGGGGGAACTGATGTGTTTGCCTGATTGACTAATTCCCCCACATGCACTAGGTCTTTTTCCAACTAGGGTTCAAGTTTCCGTTTGAGGCATTACTGTTACATTCTTCTTCTGCCTCTCAGAAATTATTCCCAGAACACCAGGACTGGAATACTTCTCTTCTTAATCTCTTCAGTCACAAATTACAATCTTTATATTTACCTTCAAATATGTAGCTGATCACATTTGTGGTATGAGGATCTTACTAATTTAATTTTGAGATTAATTTTCTGTCTAGTTTTTTTTAGAGGCAACTTATTGTGATCTCTAAGGATTGACAATGGCTTCTACAAAAATCATAATTTAATATGATGTCCAATATTAGGTACTCTTTATTAAGAAGACTCATTCTAGCTCTACTAGCCCTTAAAAATGAATGTATATTGAATATTAAATGCCATTTTTGCATTTATAGAAAAAATCAAACGATTTCTTTTGAGCTTAATAGGTTGTGATATTTCCAATTAAGATATCCTTTTATTTGGGGAATTAAGTCCTCCTTCTGTTAATGAATTATTTTGAATACGCAATGTACGTACATGGCACAAAATTCAGAAGGTATGTATAGGTATCTGGTGGAAGTCAGTCTCCCTTCCTCCCCTGACTTCCATCCACTTAATTCCTTTCCTTGGGGCAGCTGATGCTATCAGTTTCTTGCGATTATTCCAAATGTGTCTTATGTATTTTCAAATATTCTTCCCTGTATACATAAATAGTAGCATACCAGCTTGAACCCAGGAGGCAGAGGTTGCAGTGAGCTGAGATCAGGCCACTGCACTCCAGCCTGGGCAACAGAGTGAAACTATGTATCAAAAAAAAAAAAAACATTAGTAGCATACCATTCTGTACTATTTAACATATTGCTTTTCTTGATTAATAATATTTATTTGATATAGTTCCATATTAATAGGTATAGAATTTTTTCATTCCTTTTAATGGTGGCATATAATTCAATATGAATGTAATAATTTATCACTCCCTTATTAATGAACAATTAAATAGTTGTTAGCCAATTTGCTTTTACAAACAATGCTGTAGCTAGCATCCTTGTGCAGGTCATTTTCCATACATGCAACTATATCTGTAGGATAAATACCTAAAACTGGAATTGTCGGGTCAAGTTCATTTTTGGTTTGAAAGTTATTGCCAAATTCCTGGCCATAGATTTATGCCATTTACCATCCCCTCAGCAACAAATGGGTGTGCTGGTTTCTTCTTGACAATATTGGATATGATGAAGCTTTTTGATCTTAGTCAATCTGGAGTTGAAAAATGACATCTCATTGTAGTTTCAAAGTGCTTTTATCTTTAATAGTGTGGTCAAGTTTTTCTTATGTTTACCAGCCATTTGTATCTCATGTTGAAGCTAAAGTTTGTAGTATAGTATGATTTGGCCTCTGGACCTCAATTTTTGTGTTGCAGAACCCAGAACATGCCTTTTCCATCTCTATAGCTTTTGCATTCATTTAATTATTATTATTTTAAGAGATGGGTCTCACTATGTTGTCCAGGCTGGCCTAGAACTCCTCAGCTGAAGTGATCCTCCTGCCTCAGCCTCCCAAATAGCTGGTAATATAGGTACACTCAACTGTGCCCAGTTCGTTTAAGTTCATTTTGACTGCAAGTAACACAAAACCCTGACTCAACTGACTTTTACGATGAGGAAAATCAATTAGCTTACATGATGACATCATGTCATGGGATAGAGTAGCTCTAGGGTTGGTTAATTCAGCTACTCAACAAAGTCATTGAAGTCCCTGGTTTTTCTGTCTTTCTGGTTTGCCACCCTCCAGGTAGATTATCTCATGGTCACGAAATGACCACATTACAGCCAGGAATTTCACTGACACAGTAAAGTATCTAGCTGAAGGAAACAAACTGTTTCTTTCTTTCTTTTTTTTTTTTTGAGATGGAGTCTCGCTCCATTGCCCAGGCTGGAGTCCAATGGTGCAATCTCGACTCACTGCAGCCTCCGCCTCCTGGGTTCAAGCGATTCTCCTGCCTCAGCTTCCAGAGTAGCTGGGATTACAGGTGCCTGCTACCATGCCCAGCTAATTTTTGTATTTTTATAGAGACAGGGTTTCACCATGCTGGCCAGGCTTATCTCAAACTCCCGACCTCAGGTGATCGGCCCGCCTCGGCCTCCCAAAGGTCTGGGATTGCAGGCGTGAGCCACCGTGCCCGGCCAAAACAGACTCTTTCTTACCATGAGTCTCTTTAAGAACAAGGAAACCTTTTCCCAAGCCTGTTCCTGGAAGTTCTTTCCCTGGAAGTTCTTTCCTGAAATTTCGTTGGCCAGACTCGGGTCTTATTATACTCATTCCTAAACCAATAATTGGCAAGGATCCTGGGATCGTGATGATTGGCTTATGTTAGTCAGGAATTCCCCCTAAATTATATAAGTAGTAGTAGACACTCTCTCTCCATGCCTTCCCAAAATAATTGACATACTGCAAGGAACACAGGGATTGGTTATGGGACAGACAATCAACTGTGACTGCCACAGCATTGCACATGCGATTCCTTTTGCCTGAAACCTCTGTCCTCCATTTATTTTCCCACCTAACTTACAACCTTTCAAGTCTAGGCTCTGAGTAGCTCCAAGGAAATCATCTTTATGCCCTCTAGGTTGGGTAGATAACTTCCTTCTACTCCCTGGCAGCCTGTGCTACCCTCATCACACTGCACTGTAGGCTTCACTTGTCAGCCTCCCACCATTCCCCAGCTCCTTGAGGGCAGGGCCTGGGTCCCATATTTTTCTGTATCTCTAGCCACTAGGACAGTGCACAGCACTGGGCAGACACTGAAAGAAATCTATTTGCTAGTATTTTATTTTGAAATTTCAAGTCTAGATTCACAACAGAGATCCATTTCCAGGCTTTTCTTTTGTGTGCGCATGTGTGAATGATTTGTTTGTTGGGATTTGGAATTAGGATGATCTTTTCCACATAAACCAAACTGGAGAGTTTCCAGAACAAGTTGTTTAACTTGTGGATTATTGGTTCCTTAAAAGCCCAGAGGCTCAACACATATTTCCTGAACACGGACTATGTGTTGGGGCACTGTATAAGTTGGCACTTTATACAAGAGTAGTATGAGAGCTTGTCTCTGAATGCATAGTTTATGCTTTAAGGCAGCATTTTTCAATTGTGGGTAATGAAATCAATTTCGTGGGTCAAAACCATCATTAAAAGGGGAAAAAAGAATTCAATGGAGTAGAACAAAATATATCAGAGTATATTACTTTTGCTAAAACTTTTGACCCAGTTGTGTGTGTGTGTGTGTGTGTGTGTGTGTGTGTGCGCGCGCGCGCATGTGATGTACCAGATCAAGATATAAAATGTACTTTTACAAATGGGTCACATTTGTAAAAGTTTAAAGCCATTGCTCTAAGGGTCAGTATATTTTCTTTTCTTTCTTTCTTTTTTTTTTTTTTGGAGACAGAGTCTCGCTCTGTCACCCAGGCTGGAGTGCACTGGCGTGATTTTGGCTCATTGCAAGCTCCGCCTCCCAGGTTCACGCCATTCTCCTGCCTCAGCCTCCCGAGTAGCTGGGACTACAGGCGCCCACCACCACACCTGGCTAATTTTTTGTATATTCAGTAGAGACGGGGTTTCACCGTGTTAGCCAGGATGGTCTCGATCTCCTGACCTTGTGATCCGCCCGCCTCAGCCTCCCAAAGTGCTGCGATTACAGGCGTGAGCCACCGCACCCAGCCTAGTATATTTTCTTTGCTCTTTCTCTTTGGAGTTTTTTTTTTTTTTGAGACAGAGTCTTGCTCTGTCTTCTAGGCTGGAGTACAGTAGCACAAACTCAGCTCACTGCAACCTCTGCCTCCTAGGTTCAAGCAATCCTCTCACCTCAGCCTCTCGAGTAGCTGGGACTACAGGCGCCCACCACTACGCCCAGCTATTTTTTGTATTTTTAGTAGACATGGGGTTTTGCCACATTGGCCAGGCTGGTCTCAAACTCCTGACCTCAAGTGATCTGCCTGCCTTGGCCTCCCGAAGTGCTGGGATTACAGGCATAAGCCACCGCACCCAGCCCGAGTATGTTTTCTTTTAACTCGCAATGTCTGGGCTCTATGAAAAGAGGGAAAGACAAGGATTTGAGATTCTGTCTCCCACACTACACTCCTGCCCTGCCAGCCCCCACCCTTGGATTTGTTAGCCTGGCATAGACTTTAGAGTCAGGGGGCAGAAGTCAATTCTCAGGTCCAGGACCTACGAACTCAGCAGCCTTGAGCAAGTCACTGGACCATTCAGAACATCTGTTTCTCTCTTGTGGAATGGAGATAATAATACCTGTTTCACAAGGCAATTAAGAGGATCGAGTGAAATATGTGAAAATATTGTTTAGTAAACTCCCTTTAGGTCCTCAGAGAAGAAAAGCAAACTTCATCTGTAGGTTAAAAAACATCCTGTCTCCTGTGAAGAGGGGAATGGCTTCACAGAGAAAGTTGACGGGATGCTAACACCCACAGGCTGCAGATATTTAAATCAAAAAAGGGGAAAAATCAATGGGAAAAGGTCAGGACTCTCTCATTTTTCTAACGAGCAGTTATTTTTTATTTCTCCATGGAGTGCACTGTCACGGGGAGGCTGGAAGTGCTGACAGTGCACGCTGCTGAGTCAGGGGAGGGGAGACGTTGCTGACACTGTTCCCTTTTCATAAACTTAGCAGGAAGGACCAGCCAGTGGACTCTGTCCTCCCTTTCACCCTTGGCAGGGGGTGCAGTGGGGGTCACCCAGCTTGGTGATCACTCAGGTTAGGAACTGTGGTTGAAGGTTGAGGAGAAATAGGGTGGGGGTGACAGCTCACAGCAAGCCAGTCAGAGCAGTGGGTCCATCGTGAGGGTCAAACCTCACACTTCCGAAATTCTCTCTTATATGGCAGTCTCTGAGCAATGGTCACAGTGGAGAAGTTGGGCCCAGGCTGTGCCATGGTTCATTTTCTCTAGCTACAGGTAGCCTACCTCCCTTGCAAATGCTCTGTAGGCTTCATAGCCTGGGTTCTCCTGTTGTCAGCTGTATTAACAGGGAGTCATAGATGGGCTTCCTTAAATAAAAAGTTATCTTTACTTATTTGTCGTTATCCTCGAATTGCTGAGACTTTTTTTTTTTTTTTTTTTGAGACAGAGTCTCACTCCAGGATGGAGTGCAGTGGCACAATTGTGGCCCACTGCAGCCTCGACCTCCTGAGCTCACATGATCCTCCCACCTCAGCCTCCCGAGTAGCTGGGAATACAATGTGTACCACCTTGCCCGGCAACTTTTTGGTTTTGGTTGTTATTTATTTATTTATTTATTTATTTTGGTAGAGATGAGGTCTTGCAATATTGTCTGGGCTGGTCTTGAACTCCTGGCTTCAAGCAATCCTGCAGCCTTGGCTACCCAAAGTGCTGGGATTACAGGGATGAGCCACCATGCCCGGCCGAATTGCTGGGATTTGGAAGAAAGACTTTGTAGGGGATCCTCCCCTACACACACACACACACACACACACACACACACACACACCCCTTGAGACAAGACGAGGAAATGAGAAGCTGGCTCACCTTGGCAGGCAGGCAGAGCAGCGGAGGTTGCTACCTACCTGGGCTGGGACTTGTCCTTAAGGGACATCCTAAGGGAATGCAGAATAAGAGGAAGAGGTAATTCCCAGTGTTTCAGGTGAAGACTAGGGATCCCCCCAAACCCAGTGGTTCTTCAGTTGGTTGGTTGGTTTTTTTTCCAGACACTCTGTCCTTAGGGAGTCACATCCGGGATCATGGCAGTTCACACCCTGTTCTTTAACACACTTCAAATCTGCCTTGGCCCCAAGGGTGCCAGCGTTCCCCAGTGTGCTCAGTAGAAGGAGATTGTGAAACAGGCAGGGGGGTCATACTCACACCCATACAGGGCAGAAGAAAGCCCTGGGCCATGTGTGAACAGCTGCTGCTCCATCTCCCCAGCACAGCTGGGCACATCTGTCTGCCAACACTCATCTCTAGTTGTGCTATCTTGAAGGTCAGTGGTGATCTTTTAGTCATCAATTCCAGTGACCTTTACTCAGGCCTCATCTTCCAACCGACCAGCTCTTCTTTCTGAAATGCCCACCCGAGTGAGCTAGTTCTTTCCCTACTCCTGTCACAACTCTTACTTGGGTTCTTCTTTCTCTTTTTCTGCATTTTATGTCTTTCTCAAACCTCTGTCTTTAGCCCTTTTCTTTCTCTGCCATCTCTCTCTCTCTAGGAAACTTCGGTTTCTTTTGCGACACGAAGTAGTATCTTGTCAAGACTTTATTTTTGTCAAGTAACAGTACCTACTCCAACTAGCTTAGGCAAAGAAGGGGTCTTCAGGGCCCAGTAGAGAAGTGTGGGTACTCTGGGCAGGGGCTGAAGCCAGGACAGGTAGCATTTGCCGAAGCACTGGTTTCTGCACTCTGTGTGTCTGCTCAGATCTGCTTCCTAGATAATCTCTATCTCTTCCTCCTCTCCTCTCCGGGGCCACCATTTTACCTGGAGCTTTCATGACCTCTTTAGTGATTTCCCTACTGTTGGGTGTATCTTCCATCTAAGCTATCTTATTTCACTGGCTGTGCCCTCTGCCTATGGTCCCATGTTTTAGAGGATCCCATGCTTTAGAGGGCCTCACTCTGGCCCACTTTGGCTATACCTCTCATGGCGGAAAGAACCCACCAATGGGATGTTCCCACTCAGAGCCCATATTCCCCTTCTAGAGCCTAATTCCTGGGCCTGGGCCACTTCTGCAGGTACACTTCCCCAAGGACAGACTGTACCACTAATGTACTTATTCCTAGGCATGAAAGGTGTGCAATAAGTGTGATGAGGTAAGAGTGGGAATGTGGATGGAGCTTGGTCATGTCTACGTGAATGTACTCAAGGCCCTTTGTCATGTGGGACAGTGCCTGGGCTAGGAAGATAAGTGGGGGGTGGGTCAGGGGCCAGCTCTTTCCATTCCACTATGTCCCCGCATGGAGCTCTGAGAAGTTCAAGAATTCCATATTTGAACCTGGCCTTCCAGATTAGCCCGTTTCTTTCTCTTTTTCAAGGGCTGTATATTTGTATCTGTGTGTATATTTTGTGTTTATGAGGGGATATTTGTCAGTATAGGGGAATTGAAATATTTTATTTATCCGTTTGTTAGTGTAATTTACAACTTTTATATATGTAGTATGTGGACTTCCATCTGCACTCGTGCCCAAGGCCCCGCAAATCTTAGCGGCAAGTCTGTATTTTATTACGGCCAGACTTGTAAAGAATTATATTCCCCAAACAAAGCTCTATGTAATCAACTGCTTGATGATAACCACTACTACATACTGGGAAGTAAGAGGCTCTGGCTGTTCATTCCTTTGGATGAAAATAACAGTCAAGTGGGACCTGCCTTTCACTAGAAAAAGGGTCAGGCTGGGCTAGAGCTGGTGAAAACTCGCTGGGGAAGACCAGCCTGGCCAACATGGCAAAACCCTGTCTCTATTAAAATTAAAAAAATTAGCCGGGCATGGTGGTGCACACCTGTAATCCCAGCTGCTCAGCAGGCTGAGGCAGGAGAATCGCTTGAACCTGGGAGGAGAAGGTTGCAGTGAGCTGAGATTGTGCCACTGCACTACAGCCTGGACAAAGAGCAAGAGTCTGTCTCAAAAAAAAAAAAGAAGTAGCCAGTCTGAAGTTGCTGAGGAGAATGAGGAGAACAGGTCACACATCATCAATGTAAAGGAGACTTCATTCCTAAGGTCACTTTTTGCCTCTGTTTCAGATTTTCCTATAGTTCCCATGTGCTGGAACTCATCCCAGCCCAATTCACGTAAGACCCTTCTAGGGTGCGGGAGCAGACCACAGGAACCTGGCTTAGTACTTAGCATTACTTAGCAACAGCTTCTAAGGAGCAACGCAGGACAATAATGAGCATACAGTGTGGATAATCAATCTTCTATTGATATCTTTAAGGGGAAAAATTAGGGGGATAATCCATTTGGACCAGGAAGAAGTATAAGTGGGTAGGACTGGAAGTCGGAGGAGGTAAACTAGGGCAAGATGAAGTTCCATAACGTTCTCCACACTTCGGAAGTTGAGTCAGGTGCTTGTGCTGGGAGAGAGGACCGAATCCAGGATAAAGCTTCTGTTCAGCACAGCTCCATCTGCCAATGCAGATAACTTGGGATATTTTCATGCCAGATGTGCAAGGATCAAGAGATTCACAGAAAAGTTGTTGAGCTTGAGAGACAAAGAGGTAATTTTTAAAATAGGGAATATGGAGGAATGTATATTCTAGGAAAAGCCTTGAGTATAAAACTTTTAAAGTTTTTCTTTTTTTTTTTTTTTTTTGAGACGGAGTCTCGCTCTATCGCCCAGGCTGGAGTGCAGTGGCGCGGTTTTGGCTCACTATAAGCTCCGCCTCCCGGGTTCACGCCATTCTCCTGCCTCAGCCTCCCAAGTAGCTGGGATTATAGGCGCCCCCACTACGCCCAGCTAATTTTTTGTATTTTTTAGTAGAGACGGGGTTTCACCATGTTAGCCAGGATGGAATCCATCTCCTGACCTCGTGATCCACCCGCCTCGGCCTCCCAAAGTGCTGGGATTACAGAGATGAGCCACGATGCACGGCCTAAAGTTATATATATATATATATATATACACATACACACACATACACATACACACACACACACATATATATATGTGATTTAAATATATAGATAGATATACATATGTAACTTTTTTTCTCTTGAGACAGAGTCTCACTCTGTCACCCAGGCTAGGTGCAGTGGCGCGATCTTTGCTCACTGCAACCTCCACTTCTCGGGTTCAAGTAAGTCTCCTGCCTCAGTCTCCTGAGTAGCTGGGATTACAGGCATGCGCCACCACGCCTGGCTAATTTTTGTATTTTTAGTAGAGGCAGGGTTTTGCCATGTTGGTCAGGCTGGTCTTGAACTTCCGACTTCAGGTGATCCACCCGCCTCGGCCTCCAAAAGTGCTGGGATTACAGGTGTGAGCCACTGTGCCTGGCCCATATTTAACTTTTTAAGTTAAATAACGTACACAGCTTTCCTGGACTTCAAAACCTGGTGTTAAGGACAGACTTTCCAATATAGAGATACTAGGCTGTTTTTATATAAAATTGCTTTATCTCAAACTCATTGGTGTAGGCTCTAATGGAGGGAAGGGGATGCTGATGTCTTAGGACAGCTGCCTGTGAGAAGCTTGAAGAGCTGACTTTTGCAGTGCTTCTTAAGCCGTAGCATGCGTCGGAAACACCTGTTAGTGCTGGTTTAAAATGCAAAATTTGCAAGACTTTTTTTTCCTTATTTATCTACTATGGTTTGAATGTGTCCCCCAAATTTCATGTGTTAGAAACTTAATCTCAAAATGTGACCGTATTGAATCTTTAAGAGGTGATTGGATCAAAAGGTTTCAACCCTTATGATTAATCCATTTATAGGTTAATGGATTAATGGGCTAATAGACTAGCAGGTAATCATGAGAGTGGAACTAGTGGCTTTTTAAGAAGAGGAAGAGAGACCTAAGCAAGCATGTGAGCTCACTCAGCCCCTCACCATGTGATTCCCAGTGTGGCCTTGGGACTCTACAGAAAGTCCTCACCAGCAAGAGTCCCCTCACAGTTGCAGCCCCTCAATCCTGGACTTCCCAGCCGTCATAACTGTAAGACATAAATTACTCTTCTTTATAAATGACCCAGTTCCACATATTCTATTATAATCAACAAGGAACGAACTAATACATTATCTAAAATTATCTCCTGAAAGCAATTACAGTAAGGATCTTGCTTTTTAGAAAACAAAAAATTATTGTATACATTTTAAATTTTAAAAAACTACTTTAGCCAGGCGTGGTGGCTCATGCCTGTAATCCCAGCACTTTGGGAAGCCAAGGCAGGTGGATCACGAGGTCAGGAGTTCAAGACCGGCCTGACCAAGATGGTGAAACTCTGTCTCTACTAAAAATACAAAAATTAGCCAGGTGTGGTGGCAGGTGCCTGTAACCCCAGCTATTTGGGAGGTTGAGGCAGAGAACTGCTTGAACCTGGGAGACAGAGGTTGCAGTGAGCCGAGATCACGCCACTGCACTCCAGCCTTGGGGACAGAGCAAGACTCCGTCTAAAAAAAAAAAAAAAAAACTAGCAATACCAGGAGAAAATAAGCCCAAGCCCGGTGGCTCACACCCATGATCCCAGCACTTTGGGAGGCCAAGGCAGAATGAAGGCTTGAGGCCAGGAGTTTGAGACCAGCCTGGACAACATACCAAGACCCCATCTCTACAAAAAAAAATTTTAATTTTTAAAATTAAAAAAAAATTTTTTTTTAGATGTTATGCACTAGTAGCTACTTGGGAATGTTAGATGTTATGTCCCAGCTACTTGGGAAGCTGAGGCAGGAGGATTGCTTAAGCCCAGGAATTCACTGCTACACTCCAGTCTGAGTATACCCTGTCTCAAAGAAAAATAAAAAGAGAAAATAAAATTTTATGTGCAAAAAGTTAGGAGAGGGCAAAGTCAAGTAAAATTTCCCCATATTAACTTAGAAATAGTAATAAGGGCAAAATGTTCTAAAGGTTTCATCTGTTAGTGTCCTAGCCTGGAAAAAAAAAAAAAGGATGCCCTTAAATTGAGTCATTTAGGAAGAGTGTAATAAAGTCACTATTTACAAAGCATGGACTGGGCTTAGACAAAGCAAAAGGGATGTGCACTACCCTTGGGCTGGTGAGTGCAAGAGCCACTACCGCCACCATGTCTGTAAGGACAAGGCAATGGAACCCATTAAAGGAACCTAGAAAGCTGATAGAGAGGGCCACCTGGCAGGAAGGAACCAGAGAAATAAATATGCCAACCTCCTTGGCCAACCCCTAGAGGCTGGAGGGCAAAAGCAGCCTACTGATGTCATCCTTGTGACTCAGCCTCATGGGCAGAGAGCAGGGCAAAGAAGGGTGGAGAGCAGATTATGAGTAGCAAATGGGGAAAATCTAGCACCTGTCAGAGATGGCTAACGCACTGGAGTGGCTACTGTGTATCTTAACAAGCACTGAAGACAACAGTACAGAGATTTCCTTTTCTATCATCTCGTTTATATAACCATGCAGTAGGTTTATAAGAAACCTACCATTAAGTGGCTGGGTGCAGTGGCTCATGCCTGTAATTCCAGTACTTTTGGAGTCCGAGGTGGGCAGATCATTTGAGGTCAGGAGTTCGAGAACAGCCTGACCAACATGGTGAAACCCCGTCTCTACTAAAAATACAAAAAAATTAGCCAGGAGTGGTGGCGGGTGCCTGTAATCTCAGCTATTTTGGAAGGCTGAAGCAGGAGAATCTCTTGAACCTGGGAGGCAGAGGATGCAGTGAGCTGAGATCGTGCCACTGCACTCCAGCCTGGGCGACAGAGCAAGACTCTGTCTCAAAAAAAAAAAAAAGAAAAGAAAGAAAGAAACATCACATCAAGTGTTATGGTTTTGTACTGTGTCTCATTCCAGAAAAAGCCCAGAAATCTGAACTTCAAGTAAGAACTCAAGCTGAGGGCAGTGGTTCACATCTGTAATCCCAGCACTTTGGAAGGGCGAGGTAGGGGGACCGCTTGAGCTCAGGAGTTTGAGAACAGCCTGGGCAACAGCAAGACCTTGTCTCTACTAAAAATAAAAAAGGAGTCCCTAGAACTCAGTGATAGTCTCTCTTCTCTTGGTCCCTGTCAGGGCTGTACAGAAACCCCAGAGTCTCTCAAGCCAGCTTAGTCCTGCAACAGACATGCAGAGGGAACATCTGTAACCTGAAAGAGGAAGGTCAGACACTGACCTGGCTTCACGGGACCCTACGAGTCTTTAGGCATGAGTGGGCCCAGGCTGCTGGCACTGACCAGGCTCACCTTATCTTGGCTCCTGGGCTGAATGGCTGAGCTTTCCAGGCTTGGGCTGGGGAGGTCCCTCTTATTTAGCTTCCTTGTCAGCAGTTTCCAGAAGGTGAAAGTTACCTGCCCAAGGTAGTAACCTTAAACTGCAATAGAAATAACTCTCTGGGCTAGAGATGCCAAGGTTGTACCGAAAGTTTCCAAGGCAGTAGAGCACTTAGCCCTGTCTCTGTGTCCCCGTGAAGGCCCTAGTCTTCCTCCTTTGACTGGTGTGTTGGCGACCTGTAAAGCTTGGGTATGGGCTGGGCAGGGCAGGCCGCAGGGCCCAGTCTGGCTTCCCGTGGAAGCCAGTGAGTTTCCCGCAAAGAGAAAGTTCTGGCTGTAGGCCTCAAGGGCAGGGAGAGAGGCCTTCTTTAACCCCAGCAGTAAGAAAATGCTCATTCTATACCGTGTAAAGGGACCCTTAGTGTTTCCTGGGCTGACACAGAGAAGAACTATTTATTTCTCAGCTATCGTTCTCTGACTTGGCAAGCTCAGGCTGGAGTGGGGAAAAGCAGATCCAAGACAATCATGTGATGGAATTACACCTGCTGAGGTAAAGCACAGTGCTGCTCCCCAAGCAAACATTCTTGCAGACTCTGCACTGCAAACTCAGCTCAGGAGGCGCTGGGCTAATTTGTCTTTTGCCAACTAAAGGCAAATGGAGGAGGGCAGAGCCTGGCAGCTTCTCCTACTGCCTGGTGATTTGAGGATCACTCTGCCTCCCTCCCCGCTCCACCACTCTCTCACTGATGCCTAAATAACAGGTAGGAATTCGCTCCACTTCGCCAAGGAGCAAGGAAATGCACATCACTTTACTTTTTAAAATCAAATGGAATCATGCTGTGAGCCCCACCTTGCCCTGGCTGGTGCAATCCCCAATATTAATGATTATTGAAATCCCCTCTTTTCTGTTGGGCCGTACTAGAATCCGGGGCCCTGCTTGGTAATAGCAAAATGGGGCAGGGGATTGAGTTAGCCAATAAAATAGCCACCATTATTAATGTTGCTACTTTTGTTATGTGACACAGCTATTGGACTAAAAGGTTTCACCTCAAAGTGCCTACTTTACCTGCAGGCTCTGCCACAGGGGCCCTTGTGGATATTTCCAAGGTTATATAGTTAGAGATTGTCCTTGAGGTATTAGTCATGTGCCAAGTTTGAGTGGTGGTGGTAGTAGAAGGAGTGTTGAGGAAACTTTAGATCTTCTCCCCGTAATCTAGGTCAGCATCCCCTGTTCCTTGTTGTAGGTAATTAATATTTTCTCATTTTCATGTATGTAGCCATGTAAACAGCTTAGAGCATCCTCTTCCCCTCCCAGCCTTTCAATCAGATTGCTGCCCCTAAACCCCTCCTACAGAGACATTCTGACTTCCAGGCACCAACTGCTCCCCTAGACACCAGCAACCTCCAGAGCCCTTTACAGAAAAGGCGCAAGGCTCCAGACTCATAGAATCCAATTCTCTCTCTCATCCACAAAGCCCTAGCTTCTCTCCAACCAATCCCCACCTCATCCTCTGGGGTACTGCCATCTAATTCCTTCTTGGGTTTGACCCTTGAATTATAGAGAAACCATTAGCTAACTGCTGCCACCACTACCCCCAAGACAAAATGAGGAACTAAGACTGACCGCTAAACACAAAGCCTTAGCTAACTGGGGAGCTAGGAGGTCAGTGAAGAGGAATAGAATTTTTTCTTCCACCGGGTGTAGTGGCTCACGCCTGTAATCTTAGCACTTCGGGAGGCTGAAGTGGGTGGATCACCTGAAGTCAGGAGTTCAAGACCAGCTTGGCCAACATGGTGAAACCCCATCTCTACTAAAAATACAAAAATTATCCAGCCATGGTGGTAGATGCCTATAAGCCCAGCTACTCAGGAGGCTGAGGGAGGAGAATTGCTTGAACCTGGGAGGCAGAGGTTGCAGTGAGCCAAGATTGCCTCATTGCACTCCAGACTGAGTGACAAGAGTGAAATTCCATCTCAGAAAAAAAGAAAAGAAAAGAAAAATATATTTTTTTCTTTTTTTCCTATAGCAGAAAGGGAAAAAAAAAGCCTCATTCGATTATCATCATTTGATGATCGTTCTGTTACCAGCGTCATTCCTTTGGGTGAGTCATTGCTGCCTCCAAGGGATCCCATATTAGGATGCCCCCTTGGGAGGGATAGGAAGCATGACTAACACCTGAGTATAAAGAGGTTCACCCTACACTTCCTGACGTGGCAGGTGAGAGAGTGTGGGTGGGGAATTGGGAGGGGACTGCCTTTCCTTACTTTAGAGTCCTGTCCAATGGCTGGCTTTGTGGTTGGCTCCATTAGGGAGGGCCCACCAGGAAGCCTTCTCTTCTTTCCGTTGAAGACAAGCATGCAAGTTTTCTGTGGTTTGTTAGGGCTGGGCCACCATGTCCTTAGTAGGCAGCAAGGTGGGGTGATGACCTCTGATATCAAACCATCTGGGAGTTACTGCTGCTTTGTAAAAAAACAAAGGCCCAAAGGTAAAATGTGGAGAGAGCAGGGTACTGGAACACCGGCTCACATATCTGGCAGAGGCACTGAGGCCACTACTGCTGGCCTCTTTTCCGTGCCACCTGAGTTGATTTCATTCAACTCATGTGGTCAGGGGCAAGCACTGGGACAAAGTTCTCCCCAGGAGAGGTAAGAACCAGAAGGGAGCTTCTGGGTCTCATCTGGATTAATAGAAGCCATGAGTACTTACTCTGGCGGGAGCCAGGTTCCTTCACTTACTAGGTGTGTGACCTTGGGCATTTACTTATGTTCTGTGATTCAGTGTTCTTATCTCTAAAATGGGGATAATATGTCTACTCCACAGAAGTGTTGCAGGGATTTGTTAGTGTATTTAAAGTACTTGGAAGAGTGCTTGTCACATAGCAAGTATTATAAAAATGTCAACTGCTGTAGTTACTGTTGTTGCTGTCTACAGAAGCCAGGTGTGGACCACAGAGCCAGAAGCCTCGGGCAAGTCTCCAGAGTTGAAACTAGAAAGAATTATTTATAACAGTTCCCATCCTGCCTAGGGCTACAGATGAGACAATAGCTGTAAAACAGTCTCAGCTTCCCTGGGAGGGGCAAAATACCCAGATTCACTGCTAGAATACTCGAACAGAGGCTATTTCTTTAGGGCTCTGCAGCCTAAGCAGACCCTACCCTTAGGTGGTTGAGATACCCCCTTAATGGCCATGATTTGAGGGCCCCCAACACATCTCCATCATAGGCTTGCCTCAGTATCTAAAATTTTCTTCAGGGCTTCCAGTTTGGAAGATGTGACCTATTTTACAGCCAGACTGTCTATGTGTAAACCTCGGCTCTGTCACTCACTAGCTGCATAATCTTGGACAGGTTACTTAATGTCTGCACCTCAGTTTCTCATCTGCAAAAGTGAGGGTAATGACAATAGTCTCTTGATAGAGGCAGAGTGCAAATCACATAAAATAGTGTGTGTGAAGTTTTAGCAAAGTGCCTGGTACACCCTGAACTGGTGGTAATGGTGGTTTGACTAGAGAAGGCATAAATTTGCAATTTAATAGTGACTTCTGGATGAACTTGGAGGACATTATGTTAAGTGAAGTAAACTGGGCACAGAAAGACAAACACCACATGATTTCCACACATATGTGAAATCCAAAAGAGTTGATTTCTTAGAAGCAGAGAGTAGAATAGTGGTTACCAGAGGCTGGGGAGGGTAGGGAGGGGAGGAGAACAGGAGAGGTTGGTCAACAGGTAAAAAGTTACAGTTAGGAAGAATAAGTTCTAGTGTTCCATTACATGGTAGGGTGACTGTAACTAGTAACGATGCAGTCTATGTTTCAAGATAGTTGGAAGAGAAGATTTTGAGTATTATTACAAAGAAATGATAAATGTTTAAAGTGATGAGTATAGTAATTACCTTGAGTTGATCATTATAAAGTATACACATGCATTGAAACATCACATTGTATCCCATAAATATGTACAATTATTTTGTGTGAATTATAAATAAATTAATAAAAATATTTATTAAACCATAGATACTCAATATTTAAACACTTTTTAATAACAATTATCACATGTACAAAAATGTTGAAAACTAATGCAAGTAACACCTTTAAATACATCATTTACTTTTTTTACATTATTATTATTATTATCATTTTTGGAGATAGGGTCTCACTTTGTTGCCCAGGCTGGAGTGCAGTAGTATGACCTCCTCAGGCTCAAGCGATCCTCCTACTTCGGTCTACAGAGTAACTGGGACTACAGGTGCATGCCCGGCTAATTTTTGTGGTTTTGGTAGAGATGGATGGGGTTTCTCCGTGTCGTCCAGGCTGGTCTTGAACTTCTGTGCTCAAGTGGACAGCCCCATCTTGGCCTCCCAAAGTGCTGGGATTATAGGTGTGAGCTACCATGCCCTGCATAATTTACACTGAATAATTGTTTTATCTATGTCTTTGCCATTTTGTTTTCTGCTGTTATTTGTGTTTTTTTGTGCTATTATTTTACTGTTTGGTGAGTACATATATTTTCCCCTTAATAATTTGAAAATAAGTTGCTGAGCATCATGACACTTTAAATACTTAACAGCATATGGTTACCCCAAATAAGGACATTCTCCTACACAACCAGAACACTATGACCACATCTACAATAACTAATAATTATTCTTTAATATTATTTAATACTGAGTCCATATTCACACTTTTTCAGTTGCTCCCAAAATGTCTTTTAGAACTGTTTTTTTTCCTATTAAGAACCAATCTTTTCTTTTTTAGGGGCACTGACTTTTGAAGAGACCAGGGCATCTGTTTTACTTTTGGGGTTTGTCTTACTGTTTTCTTGTGATGGTGTTTTTAGTGAAGTTTTGAAGAAGGATGCAAACAATCTGGAGCTTGAGCTGGAATCCCTGGGCTGCCCCAAGGACACATGCTCTGCTGCCCGTCGAAAATGAGAGAAGAAACCAATAAACAAGGCACATTCATTTTCTTGTGTATTGCAGCAAAACATACATAACATAAAATTCATCATTTTAACTATTTTTAAGTGTACTATACAGTTCAGTGGCGTTAAGTACATTCACGTTGTTGTGCAACCATCACCACCATACATCTCCAGAACTTTTTCATCTTCCCTAGCTGAACCTCTGAGCCTGTTCAACACAAACTCTCCATTCTCCCCTCCCCTCAGCTCTGGCAACCGCTATTCTACTTTTTATCTTTGTGAATTTCACTACTCCAAGTATGTTACACACTACTTGTCTTTTTGTGATTGGCTCATTTCACTTAGCATGATGTCTTCAGAGTTCATCCATGTTATACTGTGGTCAGCATTTCCTTCCCTTTTAAGGCTGAATAATAATCCATTGTATGCATGGAACACATTTTATTTATCCATTCATCTGTTGACTGACACTTGGGTTGCTTCCACCTTTTGGCTAATGTGAGTAATACAGCTATGAACGTGGGTTTACAATTTTCTGATTGCATCCCTGCAAGGCACACTCTTTTTTTTTTGAGACGGAGTCTTGCTCTATCACCCAGGCTGGAGTGCAGTGGCATGATCTCTGCTCATCGCAATCTCCGCCTCCCGCCTCCTGGGTTCAAGTCATTCTCCTGCCTCAGCCTCCCGAGTAGCTGGGATTACAGGCACACACCACCACACCGAGCTAATTTTTGTATTTTCAGTAGAGACAGGGTTTCACCATGTTGGCCAAGATGATCTTGATCTCCTGACCTCATGATCCGTCCGCCTCAGCCTCCCAAAGTGCTGGGATTACAGGCATGAGCCACTGCACCTGGCCAGGCACACTCATTTTTACCTTATGTTGTGGGACTAGCCCTCATGCATCCTCTGATAACTGGTAATTTTACAAATCATGTTTCAAATCTGCATGATTCTCTCCCTTTTATCAAAATCTAACATGAAACAACTCTGTCAGTCTTGCCATTAGCTGGGTTTACAGCCATCTATACCAATAATAGAAATGTGGGCACGACTCACAGCAGGTGTTTCTGCATTGCTTAATGTGGTAAGTGTACTGATTATACCATTATGGAGTAAGAAGACAAACATTCCAAGCTTTTAAAGCTAAATTCAAAGGCCAGAGATGCCTTTTTAAATCAACCTAAAGCATTTTTAATCTGTTAGGCTCCCATACTTCAGAGGACTGGCCTATTAAAGGCACTTGTTCCAAGATTCCAAATGTACACATGTGATTTATATCTAGCTATCCACAAAGTATGAGAGGAAGCAGGGCAAAGTAGAATGAGCTCTGCACTGGATAATGAGGAGATGGGGATCCAGTATCCGGACTCTGTTGATAACCATGTGACCTGGGGCAAAGCCTCAACATTTTTGTGCCTGGGTTTTCTCATCTGTCAAATGGGAAGTTGGCTTATAGCCCTCAAATGCTATGATGGGCTGAGCTACATTTTATTTTTTATTATTATTGTTTGCAGAAGTCTATAATAGAAAGTCAGGTGTGGAAATGGGGAAGCACTGAAGTTGAGTTCACAACTTAGTGAACACAAATTAGTTGGGTGACCTTGGAGAGATTCTGTAATTTTATGAGCCCATATTTTCTCAAAAAAATTGTTCTGCAAAATGGGGATGGTAAATGCTGCAGAGCAGTGATGAAGATGGTAAGTCATCAGGTATGATGAAAGAACTTTGGAAACTTTCAAGGTGCTATACAATCACATGAGAGTGATTACATGGTGATTTTAAACTGTAAAGAGCTCTATAAAGCCAGGCATGGTGGCTCATGCCTGTAATCCCAGCACTTTGGGAGGCCGAGGCAGGCGGATCATGAGGTCAGGAGTTCGAGACCAGTCTGACCAACATAGTGAAACCCCGTCTCTACTAAAAATACAAAAATTAGCCGGGCGTGGTGGTGTGCACCTGTAATCCCAGCTACTTGGGAGTCTGAGGCAAGAGCATTGCTTGAACCTGGGAGGCGGAGGTTGTGGTGAGCCGAGATTGTGCCATTGCATTCCAGCCTGGGCAACAAGAGCAAAACTCTGTCTCAAAAAAAAAAAAAAAAGCTCTATAAATGTAAGGATCTACTAGAGACCTTGTAAGGATACTTACTAGGACTAAATTACTATTGTCCTAAGTAAGGGCACTAACCTTACTGACTCATAGAAACTCAGTATTTTACATTAAAAATAGACTATGGCCGGGTGCGGTGGCTTGCACCTGTAATCCCAGCACTTTGGGAGGCTGAGGCTGGGGGATCACCTGAGGTCAGGAGTTCAAGACCAGCCTGGCCAACATGGCGAAACCCTGTCTCTACTAAAAACACAAAAATTAGCCGGGCGTGGTGGCATGTGCCTGTATTCCCAGCTACTTGGGAGGCTGAGGTTGGAGAATTGCTTGAACCCGGAGGTGGAAGTTGCAGTGAGCAGACGCTGTGCCATTGCACTCCAGCCTGGGCGACAGAGCAAGAGTCTGTCTCAAAGAAAACAAACAAACAAACAAATAAATAAATAAATAAATAAATAAATAAATTATAACTCCCATTCTCCTCTCCCCAAGAATCCACTTTTAGTGGCCTTGGGTATTTCCTGAAATCGCTGGGAATGTTGTGGTAGATCCTCCCCTATCTCTATTTTATAAACTTTCATCAGCTGTTTGAAATGCTTTCTTTCTTTCACTCCAGAACTTGTTGCAGCATATCTTGTTTCAACAACCCTCCAGCCTGCCAATGGAGCTTTGGTTTCGCCAGTTGTGATGACTCTGAAGCTCTTTGTCAGTTCTTTTTATTCCTGGAACACTTGATCAGCTAGTTGGGTTGCATGTTGTTTTAACCCCTGAAGAGCAGATTCCCAGGCTTTGCTGTTTTACAATCTATGATTTAGCTATGATTGTTCTAACAAGTGTTCCCTGCCAAAGCTTGAAATAGTCCCTGTCAACAATTGTTCCCTCTACTCTTTCCAATAGCACAACGCTGTCTTCTAAGGAGCATGCTGTGTTTTCAGTTCAAAAGGGGGACTGTTTGAGGGAAAGAATACAGGAATTGATGAGCTGAGAATTAAGCTAATGACTCAATGGATTACAGATTGCTTTAGAAGCTGGGTGTGGTGGCTGTAGTCCCAGCTACTCAGGGGGCTGAGGTACGAAGATTACTTGAGCCCAGGAGTTCGAGGCCAGCCTGGGCAATATAGCAAGACCCCCATCTCAAACAAACAAACAAACAAACAAACAAAAAGCCCAAATTGCTTTAGGGTCAAGGGTGATACGCAATGCTAAACAATTAGTATGCATAGGAATCACCTGGAATTAAAAATAAAAGTGCAGATTTCTAGACCTGACCCCAGATATCCTCTGATTAAGAAATTCTGTCCTCATTAGCCGGGCGTGGTGGCTCACACCTGTAATCCCAGCACTTTGGGAGGCTGAGGCGGGTGAATCACAAGGTCAGGAGATCGAGACCATCCTGGCTAACATGGTGAAAACCCGTCTCTACTAAAAATACAAAAAATTAGCCGGGCGTGGTGGTGTGTGCCTGTAGTCCCAGCTACTCAGGAGGCTGAGGCAGGAGAATGGCGCGAACCTGGGAGGCGGAGCCTGCAGTGAGCTGAGTTTGCGCCTCTGTACACCAGCCTGGGCAACAGAGCAAGACTCTGTTTCAAAAAAAAAAAAAAAAAAAAAAGAGAAGAAATTCTGTCCTCATAAATGAGACTCAAAAAAAAAAAGAACTTCTGGAGTAGGTAATGAGGTTTAGGACACACTACCTTAGCATATTGGATATTTTAAACTGAAGGAATTTGAGACATGGCAGGTACAGAAAGGACTTTCTTTTCTTTTTGAGATGGAATCTCACTCTGTCTCCTAGGCTGGTGTACAGTGGTGTGACCTCGGCTTGCTGCAACCCCTGCCTTTCGGGTTCAAGCGATTCTCATGCCTCAGCCTCCTGAGTAGCTGGGATTACAGGTGCCCGCCACCAAGCCTGGCTAATTTTTGTATTTTTAGTAGAGATGGGGTTTCACCCTGTTGGTCAGGCTGGTCTCGAACTCTGACCTCAGGTGATCCACTGGCCTCGGCCTCTCAAAGTGCTGGGATTACAGGCGTGAGCCACTGCACCTGGCCTAATTTTTGCATTTTTAGTAGAGACAGGGTTTCACCATGTTGGTTAGGCTTGTCTCGAACTCCTGACCTCAGGTGATCTGTCCGCCTCGGTTTTCCAAAGTGCCGAGATTACAGGTGTGAGCCACTGCGCCCGGCCAGGAAGGACTTTCTGCCCATTTCCTGAAGGAGGTCATAAAACCCTCATGTGAGAGATGCCCTCTCTATACTGGCAAGAAATGAGCATCCTTGCCTCTAAAGACAAAGGGACACAGAGAAGAATCTGAACTCCCAGGCCTTGCTGTTTTCCTCAGTTTACCATGCTTAGCTCACACCCTTTTGTCCTATCTCATTTCTCCACCACTCCCCACTCTTCATCAAACCTAGCATAAAACCACTCAGGTTTTACCACTTCTTTGAGTCTCCATTTCTTTATGAAGGCTGCCATGCTTTCTAAAACTTTACACTTATTAAATAAGTTTGTATGCTTCTCTCTTGTTAACCTGTCTTTTGTTACAGGGGCCCCAGCCAAGAACTCAGAAGGGTAGAGAAAAGCTATTTTCCCTCCCCTACAGTGGGGTCATTTTACATGTGCTCCTGGGTGATTCTGATGCAGGGGTCCACATTTTTAGAAACTTGGTGGAGAACACTGGTTCTCCTACTATTGTAAATAAGTTGACTCTGAACAGACCACAAATTTACTTTGCCTCAGTCTCCACACTGACAAATGGCTATAAAAGCAGTAACCATCTTTCCTACCTCACAGGTTTAAAATAGGAGTAAAATGAGATAACAGATCCAAAACCATTTTTTTTTGTTTTGTTTTGAGATGGAGTCTTGCTCTGTCACCCAGGCTGGAGTGCAGTGGTGAGATCTCGGCTTACTGCAACCTCCACCTCCCGGGTTCAAGCAATTCTCTTGTCTCGACTCCCAAGTAGCTGGGATTACAGGCACCCGCCACCATGCCCAGCTAATTTTGTATTTTTAGTAGAGACGGGGTTTCACCATGTTGGCCAGGCTGGTCTCGAACTCCTGACCTCAGGTGATCTGCCCGCCTCGGCCTCCCAAAGTGCTGGAATTACAGGTGTGAGCCACCGTGCCTGGCCTCATTTTGAAAAGTAAAGAGCTCCTGCTAGTGCAAGGCGCCCTTATCGTTCTCAGCATTCTTTTGCATCAATGGAGCAGACTCCAGCCAACAACCCATCTTGCCTTGTCCCCCATAGACACTTTTAGGTATTTGCTTGAAGGGATGAAAGCCTCAAGAACCTGCCTTTTGTCCATCTGGTCCAGACAGGCTCACATAAGCTTATTCCCTTCCAAACAGAGTATGACAGGACCACACACATTTCTGCCTGAAATCTTGCCAAGATAGAATCTGAGATGACTCTCCTAATAGGCCTAAGTCTTCCTTGAAATCTAGGCACATCTGCATCTTTAATGATCCCATTAACTTCATTTTCCGCAGTGTCACATCATTCCTGGGCCACACTGGATTGCACATGTGTCTTCTCTGTGAGCCGGGGCTTACACCTGAGGGCTTGCCGTCCACACACACCCCTCATGCTTTGGCCGTGTACAGTACATCCCAGGTACAGTGTGTACCTTTTGAAGTTTTGAGTGATCAACTTCACATTAATCTATTCTCCCTCACTCTATTCTAATCCTTTTGGCAAGAACCTGTTCCAAGGTATTCTCCCCTTATTTGGCCACATTCAACTTGAAACAGAATAATCAGAGTTTTACTTCCAGTTAAAGCACAATGCTGTTTTCTTTTAGATATATTAGGCAGCCTACTGCTAGACCCTCAGCTGCTTTGTAACTTCATTAAATACTCTGCAATGTCTGATGAGTGTCTGAGTATCTGCAATTACCCTGCCCTCCTAAAGAGCAAAGAGGGGCATGATTCCCCTCCTGAGACCTAATAAATTCTTCCTCTCTCTCTCTCTCTCTCTCTCTCTCTCTCTCATTCATTTAACAAATAATTATTGAGCATCTAGTATTGTAAGAGGCATGTGAACAAGAGCAACTCCATCTTGAATAGGAGCTGGGTAAAATGAGGCTGAGACCTACTGGGCTGCCTTCCCAGATGGTTAAGGCATTTTAAGTCACAGGATGAGATAGGAGGTCAGCACAAGATACAGGTCATAAAGAGCTTGCTGATAAAACAGGTTGCAGTAAGGAAGCCAGCTAAAACCACCAAAACCAAGATGGTGATGAGAGTGACCTCTGGTCGTCCTCACTGCTGCACTCCCACCAGCGCCATGACAGTTTACAAATGCCATGAAAATGACAAGAGGTTGCCCTATAGGGTCTGAAAAGGGGAGGTATGAATAATCCACCCATTGTTTAGCATGCAATCAATAAATAACCATATAAATGGGCAACCAGAAGCCCTTGGTGCTGCTCTGCCTATGGAGTAGCATTCTTATATTCCTTTACTTTCTTTTCTTTTTTTTTTTGAGACAGAGTCTTGTTCTGTCGCCCAGGCTATAGTGCAGTGGTGCGATCTTGGCTCACTGCAGGCTCTGCCTCCTGGGTTCAAGCAATTCTCCTGCCTCAGCCTCCTGAGTAGCTGGGACTATAGGCATGCGCCACCATGCCCAGATAGTTTTTGTATTTTTTAAAAATAAACTTGCTCTCACTTTATGGACTCACCCTGAATTCTTTCTTGCACAAGATCCAAGAACCCTCTCTTGGGGTCTGGATCCAGAACCCTTTCCTGTAACAGTATGTGTCTAGCACTGGAGAGACAGCACAAGACAGACAAAGTTTCTACCCTTATGGAATTTATATTCTAATAGAGAAGACAGTAAGTAGCCGAATGAGAAAATTTAAGGTAACAGTAAATATTATGAAGAAAATGAGACACTGTAATGTTGTGCAGAGTGAATGAGGCAGGGAAGTTGCTACTATAGACTGAGTAGTCAGGGAAAGGCATCTCTGAGGAAGTGAGATTTGAGCTGAGACTTAAATGGACCAGACTTAGAAAGACTGGACATTGGAAAACTATTACACTAGTTTTTCCCCGATGGCTTCTGTGGGGTTTGTTTGCTTGTTTTTTGGCGGAGAAAAGAAATCCTGTCTTATGCTTTGATCACAATGACATTATATGTTATTGCTAGGATATGTACCCAACAGCCCACCAGAATGAGTATTCAGCCTATACCCTACCACAGCTCTGTGCTTTTCAAAGCATCACTTTGGTTAGTAGTGGCAAGATGATCCAAAGGATCCCTCAGAATAGACTCTTAAAAGGCCTACCTCATCTAATTAAATTAAGCAGCTTACTATAGTGTCGTATCTTAGAGCCCTGGGAAATGACTCCTGCCCCTCAAAATATCCTAGACTTTCCAGCTATGCTCTGGAGATTGAAATTCTTTTAAACCAGTTTTTCATTGTACAGTCAGTTAAAAGGTTTAAAATGTAATACCCTCAGGAGAAGTGGCAAATTGGCCCTGTGCACACACCATGGTTCTGAAGAGGCTACAGATTCCTTCTGTAAGAAGGGAGGGGAGAGGAAGAGACATGTGCCAGAGACTACTGGAAAAGAAAATGTAGAGAAAAGCGAAGAGCTGAGAAAGGGGAAATGAAAGAGAGAAAAGACTCTGTGTCCTTAAGCAACCGATTCCCTAAGGACTGCAACATCTCCAGATTTCTCCAGAGCTCTAAGAAGTCAGATGTACTTTGGAGCTGGCCAGAGGGGTTGGTGGTGGGCTCTCTTCTCCTGTCCCCATCCTGAAGACTCGTTTCTACATTACAGAAAGTGGATTTCCCCATGGGATGGAGCAGTGTGTATCCTGGACCATTTTGCCTTGGGGGAGGTTTAAAGGGAAGGCCTGAATCATTAATTTATGAGGAGGATAAGAAAGTGGCATCTCATTAAGGAAATGACTCTTCATCTTTAGAGTCTAGAGCATAAGAAAGCCTCAGTGGGATGAGATCTCCATTAGAAAGGGACCACTGTTAGAGTCCATTCCACAGGAACACTGTGAAGTCTAGCAGGGCAGGAGATTGAAAATCTAGAGGGATCCTCCCAGCACTGAGCAACTACCCTTATTTTGTAACCCTGGGCCCAATTTGGAAGGGTGGTAAGCATGGAAGAAAAGGATGGAAAGAAAGTCCTAAAAAGCTCTGTGGAGTGATTTAAGGACTATTTAGAATAATAAAGTAACCCAAATAAATTCTGAAGCCCTCAGGAGGCTCAGTTTCCCCAAATCATAATCAAAGAAGGTAATCCAGAAACCAAGAAGAAATTTAACATGCACTGCAATCTTTAGAGATGCAAATCTCTAAAAGAACACTACAGGGAATTCGATTCAGAACCCAGAGAACACTTCTGAAATTCTCTTTTCTCTCCTTAATCCACATCTGACAAAGGCTTTTACCCACCAAATCCTGCAAATTGTCCCCAATACCCAGGCCATGTGTTTATTCCCTTCCTTCATTCCCCCATCTCTTTACTCCCACCTCTCCAATCCCATTTCTTTATCTCTCCCAATTCTTTCTTCATAAGAAAAGCTGGCAAACTGATTTGGAAAAGAAAGTATCTTTATAGCAGTGCTGTTTCATGGAAATATAATGTGAGCCACATAAATAATTTAAAATTTTCTAGTAACCACTTAAAAAAAAAGTAAAAGAACATAGGCAAAATTACTTTTTTTTTTTTTTTTTTTTTGAGACGGAGTCTCACTCTGTCGCCCAGGCTGGAGTGCAGTGGTGCGATCTCGGCTTACTGCAAGCTCCGCCTCCCGGGTTCATGCCATTCTCCTGCCTCAGCCTTCCCGGTAGCTGGGACTACAGGCATGTGCCACCACGCCCGGCTAATTTTTTGTATTTTTAGTAGAGACGGGGTTTCACCGTGTTAGCCAGGATGGTCTTGACCTCCTGACCTTGTGATCCGCCCGCCTCGGCCTCCCAAAGTGCTGGGATTACAGGCGTGAGCCACCTTTTTTTTTTTTTTTGGGACAGAGTTTCGCTCTTGTTGCCCAGGCTGGAGTGCAATGGTATGATCTTGGCTTACTGCAACCTCCGCCTCCTGGGTTCAAGCGATTCTCCTGCCTCGGCCTCTTGAGTAGCTGGGATTACAGGCGCCTGCCACCACGCCTGGCTATTTTTTTGTTGTTGTTGTTGTTTTTGTTTTTTTTGAGATGGAGTCTGGCTCTGTCGCCAGGCTGGAGTGCAGTGGCGTGATCTCCGCTCACTGCAAGCTCCGCCTTCCGGGTTCACGCCATTCTCCTGCCTCAGCCTCTTGAGTAGCTGGGACTACAGGCGTCCGCCACCACTCCCAGCTAATTTTTTGTATTTTTAGTAGAGACGGGGTTTCACCGTGTTAGCCAGGATGGTCTCGATCTCCTGACCTGGTGATCCGCCCCGCCTCGGCCTCTCAAAGTGCTGGGATTACAGGCATGAGCCACCGCGCCCGGCCTATTTTTTGTATTTTTATTAGAGACGGGGTTTCACCATGTTGGCCAGGCTAGTCTCGAACTCCTGAGACCTCAGGCAATCCACCCGCCTTGGCCTCCCAAAGTGTTGGGATTACAGGCGTGAGCCACCATGCCCGGCTGCAAAATTACTTTTAATGATATATTATGTTTAACCCAGTATGTCCAAAATACTATTATTTCTACACATAATCAATATACAAAATTATTGAGATATTTTACATTTTTTATACTATGTCTGAAAGTCAGCATATATTTTACGTGTAGAGCACTTAAAATGAACTAACCACATTTTAAGTGCCTAATAACCACATGCGGCAAGTGGCTACCCTGTGGGGCAGTTAAGCCTTACAGATTAGGTGAATGGGCAGGAAAAGAGGAAAGACCAGGCCCCAAATATGGGGACATGGCCTGCTTCATGAAGAAATTGTCACAAGTTAGTGCAATGGCA